>NC_000019.10:38756025-39059055 GCF_000001405.40 Homo sapiens | reverse complement strand
TATATCAGCCTGTTGGTAAAGGCTTAGCTGGGTGGCCGCAGCGGGCTTCCCAACACCCCCAAATTGAACTTACCATCTAAAATGGAGGCTCCTTGGCCAGGTGCAGTGGCTCATGCCTGTAATCCCAACACTTTGGGAGGCCACGATGGGCCGATCACCTGAGGCCAGGAGTTCAAGACCAGCCTGGCCAACATGGTGAAACCACGTCTCTACTAAAAATACAAAAACATGTGCTGTGTCCACTCAGGGTTAAATGGATTAAGGGCGGTGCAAGATGTGCTTTGTTAAACAGATGCTTGAAGGCAGCATGCTCGTTAAGAGTCATCACCAATCCCTAATCTCAAGTAATCAGGGACACAAACACTGCGGAAGGCCGCAGGGTCCTCTGCCTAGGAAAACCAGAGACCTTTGTTCACTTGTTTATCTGCTGACCTTCCCTCCACTATTGTCCCATGACCCTGCCAAATCCCCCTCTGTGAGAAACACCCAAGAATTATCAATAAAAAAATAAATTAAAAAAAAATAATAATAAAAAACAAAAAAAAATAAAAATAAAAATACAAAAAAAAAAAAAATTAGCAAGTCATGTTGGCGCACGCCTGTAATCCCAGCTACTTGGGAGGGAGGCTGAAGAAGGAGAATCGCTTAAGCCCAGAAGGCAGAGGTTGCAGTGAGCCAAGATCTCGCCACTGCACTCCAGCCTGGGTGACAGAGCAAGACTCCATCTCTAAATAAATACATAAATAATGGCGGCTCCTCTCTAGCTGGTTTATAGGCACAAGAATAAGTTCCACTAAACCATGGGTCCTCCCCCACCGTCACCCCCAGGGAAGGCATGAGGGACAGAGACAAACTGCAGCTGTTCTTCCTCCACTTGTCCTTCCTGGAGAGTGCAATAAAAACACCTCCTTTATTTGGTAACATAAGGAATGAGAAAACCCCTTTCAAAGACACGCCAAAGAAGAGATCAACTGCCTTAGTAAACAGATCTACACGTAATGTAGACCGCCAGTTAGGGATGAAGTTAGAATCTCACCACATGATGGATTCCTGTGTCTTCACCTTCGACCAGTACTGGGATCCTTTCAAGAGTGTCATCAGCACCTTCACAGATAGCTCTGCAAAATGGCGGCTAACCTATGGCTCCATTGTCAAGTCAACAGCCCACACTATTTCCCAATGTAAGATTTCACCGTGGTCAGCTGGCCTCATGACTTACATTCCTAAAGGAAATGCATTATCTGACCATTTACTTCCTTCTTTTGTGGCTTTCAGTCCACACCTCTGAAGTCTTGGGGTGTAGCCATCATCTAACTTGTAGGTGTCCTCCCTCATTCCTTCTTCCATGTCATTCTGGAAACCACAGACTCTTACTACAAACCTTAGATCTGTGATCCTCTTTTTTCTACACTTTTTCAGAACATCCTCCTCCCCTTGCACCCCATTGGCCAGAACTAGGTTGGATGCCCATTCCTGAACAAGTCACACCACAGAAGATTAGACTCATTGGATGAATCAGGATGAACGCCGGGGGCTGGGTTAGGCCTCTGCCCTCTTGGGTCCTTACCGGAGAAAGGGTTGAGTGGGAGTAGAGGGTCTTCCCCAGTGTCCACTGCTCTTAGATCTGGGGGTCATGTCCATGGTTTTCCCACATACTGGTCTGCTTCAGTGAGTCCCCACTGGGGTGGACTCCCCAATACCAGTCCACCACCTGGCTGGTGAGCTACCAGGAGACTTTGCTCTGTACTTAAGGCTCCCCTTGTTGGCTGGGTGTGGTGGCTCATGCCTGTAATCCCAGCACTCTGGGAGGCTGAGGTGGGAGGATGGCTTGAGGCCAGGAGTTCAAGACCAGCCTGGGCAAAATAGAAAGACCCCATCTCTACAAAATAATAATAATAATTTTGTAAAAGTCGGCCGGGTGCGGTGGCTCACGCCTGTAATCTCAGCACTTTGGGAAGCCGAGGCGGGAAGATCACCTGAGGTCAGGAGTTCAAGACCAACCTGGCCAATGTGGTGAAACCTTGTCTCTACTAAAAATACAAAAAATTAGCTGGACGTGGTGGCATGTGCATGTAATCCCAGCTACTCGGGAGGCTAAGGCAGGAGAATCACTTGAACCTGGTGGGGGCAGAGGTTGCAGTGAGCCAAGATTGTGCCACTGCACTCCAGCCTGGGCAACAGAGTTAGACTCCATCTTAAAAAAAAAAAAAAAATTGGAAAAACCTACCCGGGGGTGGTGGCGTGCACCTGTGGTCCCAGCTACTCAGGAGGCTGAGGGAGAAGGATTGCTTGGGCCCAGGCGGTCGAAGCTGCAGTGAGCCATGATCGCGCCACTGTACTCCACTCTGAGTGACAGAGCGAGACCTTGTCTCAAAAAAAAAAAAAAAAAAGGGATAAGAACAAGCAGCCAGGCACAGTGGCTCACGCCTATTATCCCAGCACTTTGGGAGGCCGAGGTGGGCGGATCACCTGAGGTCAGGAGTTCCAGACCAGCCTGGAAAGCATGGTGAAACCCCATCTCTACTAAAAATACAAAAATTAGCTGGGCGTGGTGGCGGGCGCCTGTAATCCCAACTACTCAGGAGGCTGAGGTAGGAGAATCACTTGAACCCAGGAGGCGGAGGTTACAGTGAGCAGAGATCGTGCCACTGCACTCCAGCCTGGGTGACAGAGAGAGACTCTATCAAAAAAAAAAAGAACAAGGAAGTGGGGAGCCTGGACTGACAATGGCCACCGTCCTTGCTCAACAGGGAGACCAGTGCAGAATGGACCTGACCCTGTAAATGACAGGTGACGACAGGTCACAGTATAAGTCACCATTTTGTCTCTGCATGTTGTGAACTACCAGTGCCCCCTTAACCATGGCAACAGGGTTGATGATGCTCTTAAGCCCTGTAGATTAGAGAACCAGCTGCAGATGAGCTTCCCTGAGGCTCTGTTCTCCTAGAACCACCATCAGTCAGGACCTGATTATCAGTAGGCTGAATAACGACCCCCAAATATATTCAGGTATGCGATGGTCTCAATGTTTGTATCCCCTCTGAAATTCACATACTGAGGCCAAGAGCAGTGGCTCACGCCTGTAATCCCAGCACCTTGGGAGGGCAAGGCAGGAGGATCGCCTGAGCCCAGGAATTCAAGGTCAGCCTGGCTAACATAGTAAGATCCCTATCTCTACAAAAAAATTAGCCAGGCATGGTGGGATGCACCTGAAGTCCCAGACACTTGGGAGGCTGTGGTGGGAAGATTACTTGAGCCTGGGAGGTTGAGGTTGCAGTGATCTGTGACTCCAGCCTGGGCAACAGAGAGAGACCCTGTCTCTAGAAAAAACCCCCAAAATTCATATATGGAAATCCCAACCCCCAAGGTGATGGTATTAGGAGGTGGGACCTGCGGGAGGTGATTGGGTCAAGAGGGCAAAGTACACATGAATAGGATTAGTGCCCTTATAAAACAGGCCATAGAGAGAGCCCTTGCCTCTTCCACTCTGTAAGAACACAGGGAGAAGACCTCCTCTATGAGGAAGCAGGGCCCTTATCAGACAGCGAATCTGCCAGCACCTTGATCTTGAATGTCCCAGGCTTTACTACTGTGAGAAATAAATTTTTTAAACCTCCCAGTTTATGGTATTTTGTTCTAGCAGCCTGAATAGACTAAGACAGCAACCCAATCCCTGGAACCTATAAATGTTATGTTATACAAAAGAAGCGTCTTTGCAGATGTAAATTAATGATTTTTTTTTTTTTTTTTGGAGATGGAGTCTCGCTCTGTCGCCCAGGATGGAGTGCAATGGCACAATCTCAGCTCACAGCAACCTCCACCTCCCAGGTTCCAGCAATTCTCCTGCCTCAGCCTCCCAAGTAGCTGGGATTACAGGCACGCACCACCACACCTGGCTAATTTTGGTATTTTTAGTAGAAACAGGGATTCGTCATGTTGGCCAGGCTGGTCTCGAACTCCTAACCTCAGGTGATCCATCTGTCTCGGCCCACCAAAGTGCTGGGATTACAGGCATGAGCCACCGCGCCTGGCCAAGTTAATGGTTTTGAGATGAGATTATCCTGGACTACCTGGTAAGCCATATATGCTGTCACAAGTGTCCTTATAAATTAGAGGCAGAGGGAGGTTGCACACAGAAGAGGAGAAGGCAAAATCACTCCAGAGGCAGAGATTGGAGTGATGCAGCCACAAGCCAAGGAATGCTGGCAGCCTCCAGAAGCCAGGAGAGGCAATGAATGGCTCCCCCGAGCCTCCAGAAGGCAGGCAGTCCTTCCGCTCCTTTGACTCCAGCCCAGTGAAACTGATTTTAGACTCTGGCCTCCAGAGCAGCAAGAGAATAAATGTGTTTGAAGGCACCAAGTTTGTGGTAATTCGTTACAGCAGCAATGGGAAACTAATAAAGGACTCCAGCAGAGAGGCTGAGCTGACCAGCCCTCCTGGAGCCTGCGTACAGTAACAGGGAAGGTGGCCATGGCCAGTGGCTGGATGAGTGGGATGGTGAGAGGAAGCTGTGAAGTCTATGGAAGGTTTCCAAGAAAATCAGAGTAGGCAAAGGGGGTAAAAAGGGCAGTGTGGTGGCCAGGTGTGGTGGCTCACACCTGCAATCCCAGCACTTTGGGAGACTGCGGTGGGATGATCACTTGAGGCCAGGAGTTTGAGACCAGACTGGGCAACATAGTGAAACCCCATCTCTATTAAAAATTACAATTATAAGTGCTGGGTGTGCACCTATAGTCCCAGCTACTTGGGAGGTTGAATCAGGAGGAATCCCTTGAGCCTAGCAGTTCAAAGTTGCAGTGAGCTATGATCACGCCACTGCACTCCAGCCTGGGCAACAGAGCTAGATCCTATCTCAAAAAATAAAAATAAAAATAAAAAATTAGGAGTTCAAAAAAAGGCAGGGTGGTTAAAGTATTAAAGGCAGTGGTCAGGGGAAGCCTGGCTGGGAAGGCAAGATTTGAGCAAACATTGGAAGGAGGGTAGGGAGTGACCTATGGGGAGGGGCAGCCAAGCAAAGTCCCCGTGGTGGGAACAGAATAATAAGCAGTGGCCAGGCTGGGTGAGCAAGGAGGCTGTGGGAGGCCACAGAGTCAGAGTGGGGCGGGGCAGATCATGTGAGGCCTGGTGGGCCGTAGGGGAGGACTTTGCCCTTTACTCAGGGCAGGATGGCACCCCGGGAGGGTTCTGGGCGGAGGAGTGACACAGGTGTTCACAGTCTCCCTGTGGCTGTGGAACAGATTGCGAGGGTGGGGTGGGAAGGAGCAGGGAGTCTGTGGATGGGAGTGATGGTCCAGATGGAGACAGGGGTGGATGGGGCCAGGGTGGTGGCCATGGTCGGGCGAGAAAGGGCAGGTGCTGTGCAGATTTTGTGCACCTGGAGCTGCCTGGGTTTGCTGAGAGGTTGGGCGTGGGCGTAAGAGATGGACTCAGCCTGGGTACCACAGGATGGAGCTGCCTGGTACTGCCCAGGGCACAGGCCACAGTGAGGCTGCCCGTGCCAGCCCTGTGGGGGCCGTGCTGCCTTCTGGTTCCTGATTGTGAGCCAGGATGCAGCACGGTGTCCTGGATATGGACAGGCTGACGATGACTGTTTCCCACTGTCCCCAGGTGGATGGCAATTTCCCAGCCTCTCCCACAGGCCTTTGTATGGGGACCAAGCAGGGCCGGCGGCACCTGGGCCAGGTGGGGCTGTGGCCAGCTGGGTTAGAGCAAGGCACAGAGGCAGGAATGGATGGGAATGAGGCCCTATGGCCCCTTGGGCGCAGGCGGGAAGCCCCCCAGTACCCTGACTCCTGGAAGGAGGAGGCAAGTGGGCAGAGGGAGGCTCGGAAAAGCCCGGCCTAGGGCAGAAAGGGGTTGAGGTGGTTCTGTGAGCCTAAAGTGGGCCTGGACTCAGAGCACACTAAAATCTGCCACCTCCTCCATCTAAGGCCTCGGCAAGGTCTTTCTGAGCCTCCCTTTGTTCCCCCTAAATGGGATCAAAATGCTCATTGTTGATGAGACTAAATGAAGTCATTTATGAAAATGTTCAGCAGCATCAGTGCTTTACAACCTCACGTGGAACTGGGGCAGGCGGTGTCGCCCGGGGGTTACGAGGGAAATGGTTTCACATCCTTGCTCGGTGCCTGTGGGCTTTTCTGAGCCTCAGTTTCCCCAAAATGAAGCCCTGATTTTCCTATTCCTTCCCCCAGTCCTGCACCATTCCCCTTCCCAATAAATGGCAACATGACTGGAAACCTTGGAGAAATCCAAGTCTGGAAATGCTGGACTTTGCTGTTTCTCTCACACCCACCAGGAGCATCCTTGGACCAGGCAAGTGGGCATCCTACACTGTGTGGCACTTTCCTCTAAGTCCCTCTCCAGCAGCTGGGGCCAGCCAAGCCACAGTGCTCTCAGGGCAGGGTACTCCCAGTTCAGACCAAGACCTGTGTGGGCCTGTCCCGTTTCTCCCCTTTAGGGTGCTCTGCAGAGATCTAGTTCCACCTCCACCAACGACCCCGTGTGCATAGGTTCAGCTGGAAACTACCAGGAACTCTAGGACTCTTGCCCTGTGGCGTGGTCCTGGGGCCCTGTGGCTGGACCCCAGTTCCAGGACTGCTGCCTGGCAAGCACATGGCGCCCCCTGGCGGCCACCAGAATGGTGCTGCCACGAAGCTTCTGGACGTACCCTGGGCACAGGACACATTCAGGACACTGGGTCATCAATGGTCCATGACCACCTCTTAGCGTGGAGCCAGGTAGATGGGTCCATGTATCAACTTTCTTTTTTCTTTTTTTTGAGACAGAGTCTCGCTCTGTCACCCAGGCTGGAGTGCAGTGGCGCGATCTCGGCTCACTGCAACCTCTTCCTCCAGGGTTTAAGCGATTCTCCTGCCTCAGCCTCCCAAGTAGTTGGGATTACAGGTGCTTGCCACCATGCCCAGCTAATTTTTGTGTTTTCAGTAGAGACAGGTTTTTGCCACATTGGCCAGGCTGATCTCAAACTCCTGGCTTCCAGCGATCCACCTGCCTCGACCTCCCAAAGTGCTGGGATTACAGGCATGAGCCAGCATGCCCAGCCAAAATACAGATTATATACACGTAGGATGTCATCTGGTACTTCATATCTAAACGGCCTATCATCTCAGAATTGTACTTTCCCCAGTGTTTAGACTGAGGCTAGTTACTTAGTAAACTTGGATTTACAATAAGGCAATGCCCCTTTATTTTATTTTATTTTATTTATTATTGTTATTTCTTTTGAGACAGAGTCTCACTTTGTTGCCCAGGCTGGAGTGCAGCAGCCTGATCTCCACCCACTGCAACCTCTGCCTCCCGGGCTCAAGCAGTCCTCCTGCCTCAGCCTCCCCCAGTAGCTGGGATCACAGATGTGTGCCACCATGCCCAGCTAATTTTTGTATTTTTCTGTAAAGATAGGATTTTACCATGTTGCCCAGGCTGATCTTGAACTCCTGAGCTCAAGCGATCTGCTTGCCTTGGCCTCCCAAAGTACTGGGATTACAGGCGTGAGCCACCGTCCCTGGCAGGCAATGTCCTTTTAGAAAGGAGCTGTTTTTTTCCCTTGCCATCTGCAAAGATTCCTTTATTTCTCCCACAGAAACTAGTATTCATGGCCTGTAACTCCTGCTGCCAGGAAAAGAGACATCAAGCTCTTGAAGAACTGGCCAGTTTCTTCTCCATAATGGGCAAATTGTGCCTCTCCCCTCCCAGGGTTTTCGAGACCGTGACTCCACAACATGATGGGCACCCGATGCTCTCCGGTCAGCTACAGCTGGGCTCCAGGAGGGACAGACACGTGGTCACTGTATTTGCTTTGCTTATTCTCACAGGTTGCAGGGATATTGAAGGCTAAGACAAGGTCAGTGTTGAAGGACTCTAGGGGCCAGGCACGATGGCTCACGCCTGTAATCCCAGCACTTTGGGAGGCTGAGGCAAGAGGATCGCTTGAGCCCAGGAGTTTGAGATCAGCCTGCGTGACATAGTGAGACCTCAGCTCTAAAAATAAAATTGTAAAAAGTTTTAAAAATCTTGGCTGGGTGTGGTGGCTCATGCCTGTAATCCCAGCACTTTGGGAGGCCGAGGCAGGTGGATCACTTCAGGTCAGGAGTTTGAGACCAGCCTGGCCAACACAGGGAAACGCCATGTCTACTAAAAATACAGAAAAATTAGCCAGGCGTGGTGGCATGCACCTGCAGTCTCAGCTACTCGGGAGGCTGAGGTGAAAGAATTGCTTAAACCTGGGAGGCCAAGGCTTAGGTGAACTGCGATCGCTCCGCCTGGGTGACAGAGTGAAACCCTGTCTAAAAAAAAAAGAAAAAAAAGGCTTTTTGAATGCGGGGATGGTGGCCTAAAGACAGACTTGGGTGGAAGGTGTGTGGTTCTACATTTCCACCAGGAAATTCCAAATATGATCATTTAACATGACCAGAAAAGTTCTTGCTCACATTACTCTGGTTAAAACTTTTTGGGGCCAGGCGCGGTGGCTCACACCTGTAATCCCAGCACTTTGAGAGGCCGAGGCAGGTAGACCATGAGGTCAAGAGTTTGAGACCAATCTGGCCAACATGGTGAAACCCCATCTCTACTAAGAATACAAAATTAGCCGGGCGTGGTGGTGCACGCCTGTAATCCCAGCTACATGGGAGGCTGAGGCAGGAGAATCACTTGAACCTGGGAGGCAGAGGTTGCAGTGAGCCGAGATCACACCACTGCACTCCAGCCTGGTGACAGAGCGAGACTCTGTCTCAGAAAACAAACAGACAAACAAACAAACAAACAAAAACTTGCTTTTGGCTGGGTGCAGTGGCTCACGTCTGTAATCCCAGTACTTTGGGAGGCAGAGGCTGGAGGATTGCTTGAGACCAGAAGTTCGAGGCCGGCCTGGGCAACAGAACAAGACCTCACCACTGCTAAAAAATATTTGAAAAATTTTTAAAAGACACTGAGGCAGAAGAATTGTTTGAACCCGGGAGGCAGAGGTTGCAGTGAGCCAAGATCGTGCCACTGCACTCCAGTCTGGGTGACAGAGTAAAACTCCATCTCAAAAATAAATAAATAAATAAATAAATAAATAAAAGACTTGCATTTGATCCTTTTGTAGTTCGTAAACTTGATGATTGGGTTTTCATGCTCTTAAGTGAGATGCGTGAAATGGTTTGGCTGTGTCCCCACCCAAATCTCATCTTGAATTGTAGCTCCCATGATTCCCATGTGTTGTGGGAGGGACCCAGTGGGAGATGATGGAATCATCGAGGCGGTTTCTCCCATACTGTTCTCTTGGTAGTGCATAAGTTTCACGAGATCTGATGGGTTTTTTTTTTTTTTTTGAGATGGAGTCTCGCTCTTTCACCCAGGCTGGAGTGCAGTGGCGCGATCTCAGCTCACTGCAAGCTCTGCCTCCCGGGTTCACGCCATTCTCCTGCCTCAGCCTCCCTAGCAGCTGGGACTACAGGCGCCTACCACCACGCCCAGCTAATTTTTTTGTATTTTTAGTAGAGACGGGGTTTCACTGTGTTTGCCAGGATGATCTCGATCTTCTGACCTCGTGATCCGCCCGCCTCGGCCTCCCAAAGTGCTGGGATTACAGGCGTGAGCCACCGTGCCCGGCGGATCTGATGGTTTTGTAAGGGTTTCTCCCCTTTCACTTGGTTCTTATTCTCTCTCTTCTCTGCTGCCATATAAGACGTGCTCTTTGCCTTCCACCATGATTGTGAGGCCTCCCCAGACACTTGGAACTGTCAGTCCATTAAACCTCTTTTTCTTTATAAATTACCCAGTCTCAGGTGTGTCTTTATCAGCAGCGTGAAAACGGAGTAATACAATGCGCCTCCCTTTTAAGCCTTCTTATGACATCAGCACATTACTGTCTGACAAGAAGAATAAAGATTGGCATTGGCATTTGTGTTTGTCATCCACTCAGCCCAAGAAAACCTCTGACGAAGTCACCAGAAGCCGGTATTCATGGATGTCACAACAGATGAAGCAGCCTCCTGGGGCAGTGTCATGAGGAACGATGTGACCAGTGTTAAACAGATAGCCATAGAGATCAGCAGAGGTGGCCAGGCGCGGTGGCTCATACCTGTAATCCCAGCACTTTGGGAGGCTGAGGTGGACAGATCACCTGAGGTCAGGAGTTCGAGACCATCCTGGTCAACATGGTGAAACCCCGTCTCTACTAAAAATACCAAAATTAGCGGGCATGGTGGCGCATGCCTATAGTCCCAGCTACTTGGGAGGCTGAGGCAGGAGAATCACTTGAACCCAGGAGGCGGAGGTTGCAGTGAGCCAAGATCACACCACTGCACTCCAGCCGGGCGACAGAGCAAGACTCTGTCTCAAAAAAAAAAAAAGATCAGCAGAAGCAAGGATGTTGAGTGTAACAGCAATGCTGCCTCTTTTGCATGCTGAGGGATATTAAATTAGCCCAAAATGACACAGGATGACAAAAAAGGGACATGAGGAGATGGTACCTGGACGCTTTGGTGGATTTCACGGTGGTGGGTTCAACAAAAAGCAAATACCTAAGTACCTCTTCTCTGTGCATTATTCTCTATCACTGATAAATCACTATACCTCACTTAGGTCCATGAATTTTGTAACAAATTTTTCTTTTTTTAAAATTTTCCTTTTTTTAGGGTGCTGGTAATCCCAGCACTTTGGGAAGCCAAGGTGGGCAGATCCCTGGAGCCCAGAAGTTCCAGACTAGCCTGGGCAACATGGCTAAACCCTGTCTCTAGTCAAAAAAGAAAAAAGAAATTAAATTGCTTTTTCCCTTTTTTAAAAAAATAGAGATGGGCTCTCTACATGTTGCCCAGGCTGGTCTCAAGCTCCTGACCTGAAAGGATCCTCCCACCTCATCCTCCCAAAGTGCTGGGATTACAGGCGTGAGTCACCACACCTGGCCACATCTTTCAATCAAACTGTTTCTATAGACAAGGACTTCACAAAAAACATCGCCTGATATCCTGAACGTGTTCTGTGTGGCCCAGCATCCCATGCCCAATTCTTCAGCAAATCCTGTGGGCACCCTCAAATCTATCCAGAATTAGCCACTTCTCCTGGCTCCTATGCCCCGGTCCTGGGCTGGTCCACCCTCCTGTCTCACCTGTCTCTGAGCAGCATCCTTCTTTCTCTGTTCCTTACTTCCTCCTGTCCCCCCACACAAGAAAAACAAATCCAGTTTCTCCTGCTGTATTCTCACAACACAGAATACTTCAGGGACTCTGGGTGTATAGGGGGGTTTTCTGTCCCACACCAAGCAATTTGACAGCAGACACCACTTGGGTGTTTTCTCATTCAGTTCAGTTCTGACACTCACTGGGTGTGGTGGCTCATGCCTGTAATCCCAGCACTTAGGAAGGCCAAGACGGGCGGCTCACTTGAGGTCAGGAGTTTGAGACCAGCCTGGGCAACATAGCAAGATCGTGGCTCTACAAAATAATTAATTAATTAAAAAAATTTCAGGCCAGGTGCTGTGGCTCACTGCTGTAATCCTAGCACTTTGGGAGGCCAAGGCAGGAGGATCGGCTGAGCTCAGGAGTTCAAGACCAGCCTCGGCAAAATAGTGAGAACCCGTCTTTGTTAGGTTTTGAAGCGATGGTGAGGGTTAAAGAAAGATACACAGAAAGAAGGGGGGGCTGGACATCAAATACAGGCTTTATGTCCAGCATAAAACTTACAGAAGTGGGGGACCAGCCTAATGCCAGAGCCCATCACTGCTTACAGGCTGGGGCAATTTATAGGTATGGGTGGGAGGGGTCTGGGCAGTATGGCTTGCTGCCCAGCAGGATATTGATAAGACGCTCCCATGATAAGGCAGTTCTGGCCCTTGTTCCAGTAGGATATCATCATGGTGTTCCTTGGACTTTTGTCCAGCAAGATATGATAAGGATGTTTCTTTTTTTTTTTTTTTTTCTTGAGATGGAGTCTAGCTCTGTCACCCAGGCTGGAGTGCAGAGGCATGATCTCAGCTCACTGAAACCTCCACCTCCCAGGTTCAAGCAATTCGCCTGCCTCAGCCTCTCGAGTAGCTGGGACTACAGGTGCACACCACCATGTCCAGCTAATTTTTGTATTTTTAGTAGAGACGGAGTTTTACGATGTTGGCCAGGCTGGTCTTGAACTCCTGACCTCAAGCGATCCTTCTGCCTCGGCCTCCCACCGAGCCACCACGCCCAGCCAATTGTACATATATCTTATTGTAAATCACAATATCACAATGCCTGAATCAGATAACATCCCTACTTCAAACCCTCCCATGGCTGCATCTCACTCAGAGGAAAAGTAAGTTCCTACCACAGACCACAAAGCCCCCACAGTCTGCCCCCATCACCTCTCAAAGTGCATTTCCTACCAATCTCCCCTTGGCTCTAGCCCCATGGCCTTCTTGTCCCTTGCTCCTGCCTCATGGGCTTTGCACTTGCTGTTCTCTATTCTAAGAGCACTCCTTCCCCAGATAGTGATCTTGATGCTGGACAGGAAAGCATCAAAATTGGGGCTTAGCCTGGGAGGGTTCTTGTCTTCACCCAGGAAGGAATTCAAGGATGAGCCCGTGGTGTTTGACAACAATCTTTCATAGAACAGTGCTGCTCCTTGCAGAACAGAACCGGCTCATAGGCAGTGCACCCAGAGTAGACAACATATGAGCTGTTGGCAACTATTTACACTCACTTCTACCCACTTTCAGTTACATGCAAATTAGGGGGTGGGTTAATGCAAATTGAGAGGGTGGGTCATTTAGAACTGTGTGAAATGGGAGATAACTTCCTGGTAGAAAAGGGGCGGTAACTTCCAGGTCGTTGCCATGGCATTTGTAAACTGTCATGCTCTGGTGGGAGTGTCTTATGCTAATAGACAATGAGAGCAGCTAGGGATTGCTGCCTAGGGGTCGGCTGGTTCCTGCCAGTTTCTTTACTTCATCCCGTCTGGACCAGATCCTGTTTTGGTCAGCAAGATTGTGACCAGAAAACAAGTCCTGCTGGTCTCCTACCTCAGTCTGGCTTAATCCTTTATCCCCGCCAGATCTCAGCTCAAACGTCAGCTTCTCAGAGAGGCCTTCCCTGGGTGCCCTGCCTGAAACTTACAACTCCCTCCCCCTCTTCCTACCACCTCCCTGGCTTAGTTTGCTTTCTGCCTCCATAGCACTTACCACCCTTGTAGGTTCTACTTATTTACATCCTTCCTTACTGCCTGTTTTATGCTATAGAACATCAGTTCCTGGATAGCAGACATTTTACCCCTCTCTTTCACTGTTGTGTCCCCAGTGCCTAACCCAAAGCCTGGCAAAAAGCTGGTGCTCAGCAAATGCTTGTGGAATGTGAGGGAGGATGGCACTTCCTCGCAGGGCCATGGTTTCATTTTAACTAGCTTCTGTGTGGGGCTGCCACGTGAGGACAGTTACGGGCCATGTCAGGAAATCATTGCCTGGCTATGGGAATAAAGGTGACAGCCCACGTTTAATTCAGGAAGAAATTTTTTTTTTTTTTTTTGAGATGGAGTCTCGCTCTTGTCACCCGGGCTGGAGTGCAATGGCATGATCTAGGCTCACTGCAACCTCTGCCTCCTGGGTTCAAGCGATTCTCCTGCCTCAGCCTCCCAAGTAGCTGGGATTACAGGCGCCTGCCACCACACCTGGCTAAGTTTTGTATTTTAGTAGAGACGGGGTCTCACCGTGTTGGCCAGGCTGGTCTCAAACTCCTGACCTTAGGTGATCTACCCGCTTTGGCCTCCCAAAGTGCAGGGATTGCAGGAGTGAGCCACTGCACCTGACTTTCTACTTCTGATTTCTTTTTTCCTTTTTTTTTTTTTTTAATGGGGTCTTGCTATGTTACTGAGGCTGGTCTCGAACTCACAGGCTCAAGTGATCCCCTTGCCTCAGCCTCCCAAGTACCTGGAATTACAGGCACACACCACCGCATCCTGCTGCCAGCTGGAAATATTTGATGGGCAGAACTAATGACTTCAAAAGTCCTTATTTCCTTCTGCCTCATCTGTTCTTGCTTCAAAGGTCAGCTCAGCCTTGCTGGGAAGACTCTCCTCTCCCATAAATGATATACATTGGGTTATTTTCTCCTTTTTCTACATATTGTTGTTCCAAAATTATTACACTGTATAGCATTGTTTTATGTGCTTTTTGTTTTGTGTTTTGAGACAGAGTCTTGCTCTTTTGCCCAGGCAGGAGTGCAGTAGCATGATCTTGGCTCACAGCAGCCTCAACCTTCTGGGCTCAAGCAATCCTCTCGCCTCTAGCTGAGACTACAGGCACATGCCACCATGCCTGGCTGATTTTTATATTTTTTTGTAGACAGGGGGTCTTGCTATTTTGCTCAGGCTGGTCTCAAACTCCTGGCCTCAAGCAATCTTCCCTCCTCAGCCTCCCAAAGTGCTGGCATTACAGATGTGAGCCTCTGTGCCTGGCCAAGGTTGTGGTTTTTGCAGTCTTTTGTGATAGTTTTATAATCAGCCACACAAGTGTGAGAACCCTCTCTTCATGGCCTTCCCCAGCTCTGTTTTTCAGGGTTTTCTTAATATTAGTGACTCCATAGTGACTCTGACAACTTTCACCTTTCCCCTTTTTGATTAAGATCTTTCTCCAAAAGCATCACTGATTGATCATCCTGTATTTGGGTTTTGATGTATCTTGATGCTGTGATGTACCTGTCCCAATTGCTGATCTCAATGCATATTGTGGGGGAGTGACTGGTGTCTAGAAGTCAGTATCAAAACCCTATCAACCCCTCTCCTTTTTTTTTTTTTCTTTTTTTGAGACAGTCTCACTCACTCTGTCGCCCAGGCTGGAGTACAGTCGCGTAATCTTGGCTCACTGCAACCTCCATCACCCAGGTTCAAGCGATGCTCCTGCCTCAGCCTTGTGTAGCTGGGATTACAGGAGCACATCACCACACCTGGCTAATTTTTGCAATTTTAGTAGAGATGGGGTTTCACCATGTTGGCCAGGCTGGTCTCGAACTCCTGACCTCAAGCGGTCCGCCCGCTTCGGCCTCCCAAAGTGCTGGGATTACAGACATGAGCCACTGCGCCCAGCCTCAAAACCCTTTTAATCTAAAGCCTGAGAAGGAACTGAAAAAAACAACATATTTGAACAACAAGGGAAGTGTGACGGGAGTGGCTCTCAGACTAAGTTTTCATGGTGTCCGTTATTAAGTTCAGTTTTATCTGTTCTGTAGTCTTTTATTAACATCTCAAAATGTTAGGCCAACATTATTTTGTTAGGAGTTGTACTTAATGCAAAAATTTAACAACATACAAAGTTGTTTTGTTTGGTTTTGTGTTTTGTTTTTTAGACACAGGATCTTGCTTTGTTGCCCAAGCTGGAGTGCAGTGGTATGATCCTAGCTCACTGCAGCATCCAACTCCTGGGCCCAAGTGATCCTCCTGCTCACCTGCCAGGTAGCCAGGACTACAGGCCCATGCCACTATACCTAGCTAATTTTCTTTTTTCTTTCTAGCGATGGGGCCTGGCTGTGTCGCTTAAGCTGGTCTCGAACTCCTGGCCTCAGGCAATCTTCCCACCTCAGCCCCACAAAGTGCTCGAATTACACATACAGGGTTTTAAAATGGAGAAATACAAAGTAAAATTAGTAGTAATATGAAAATTCCACTCTTCATAATGCTTTCAGACAACTTCATAGGCTTACAGAATGAATTGAATGAATCAAAAGGCCTTAGGAAATTAGGTGAGACCAACTGTAACCAAGTGATCTGTTTTCTTCTTTTATGTATATGGATCTCAACTTTTCCCGGAAGAACTGGCCTGTACTACAGGTACAGCATGTAGTATTAGCAATAGCGCAGACATGTCTTAGTTAACCAATGGATACTAAAGGATTTCTTAAGTTAGGTTTTGTTAAGTTGCCAATGGAAGCTATTGGTCATGAAATTTCAACTACATCATTATCCTGCCAAATGAAAAAGATAGCATTGAGGGGGTACAAATCTTATTATGAGTTAGTCTTCTTCCAAATGTCTTGGGAAAAGCTGTCTGCAGTGTGAAAACATCAACTTCTGATTTTCACTTTGTGTGTCTTTGGTCATGATGTCAGACAGTTTGGTGAGCTTTTGTGTGGCCCATACATTGGGCACAAAGTTTGTTCCTTAAAATTGGTCTCATTTCAGCGTATAGGGCTTTGGAAACAGAGCAGCTTTTACTTTATTTATTTATTTATTTAGACAGAATTTTTTCTGTTACCCAGGCTGGAGTGCAGCAGCGCAATCTCAGCTCACTGCAACCTCCACCTTCCAGGTTCAAGCAGTTCTCGTGTCTCAGCCTCCCGAATAGCTGGGTCTACAGGTACATGCCACCAAGCCTGGGTAATTTTTGTATTTTTATTAGAGATGGGGTTTCACTGTGTTGGCCAGGCTGGTCTCGAACTCCCAATATCAAGTGATCTGCCCACCTCGGCCTCCCAAAACGCTGGGATTACAGGCGTGAGCCACCTCGCCCATCCAGCCGTTGCTTTTAGTCAGAGAGTTGTAGCAATATATTGGAGGAAGTCAGGAGAATTCAGGAACTCGTCCAGTCTATAGGTAGATAACAAGAACTTAAAAACAGTGCACAGGGCTGCAATCTATTAATAGGTATATTATAGTTTTTCTTTAGAAATGTAACTTTTTCTCTCCACATTTATCATATAGGAATCTCAGATTTAGAAACCTCTTGAGGCTCAGAAGCCAAACCAAGGCAGACTTTAGATTTTACCAACAGGTTCTTAAGGTTCTTGGGCCTGCCAGAAAGGGGCCATTTTTACTCATTCATTGTAAGACTGGGAACTCTTGAAGCCAGGCATTTATGTATATTTTAAAATATAATACTTCAGGCCAGGCATGGTGGCTCACACCTGTAACCACAGCACTCTGGGAGGCCAAGGTGAGTGGATCATCTGAGGTCAGGAGCTCGAGACCAGCCTGGCCAACATGGTGAAACCCTGTCTCTACTAAAAATACAAAAAAAAAAAAAAATTAGCTGGGCATGGTGGTGCACACCAGTGATCCCAGCACTCGGGAGGCTAAGGCAGGACAATCACTTGAACCTGGGAGGCAGAGGTTGCAGTGAGCTGAGATCGTGCCACTGCACTCCAGCCTGGGCAACAGAGTGAAACTTGGTCTCAATAAATAAATTAATTAATTAATTAATTAAAATAAAATATGACACTTCAGTCAAAGCCTTGGTGATATAGCCAGTGTTTTCTATTATATCTTGCTTATAAAGAAAGGGCAGACTTTTTCTGAACTTATGTAAATAAAAATAAGAATACTCACGAAGAGTTTCCAGATTTTGGAGGAATCAAGTGAGGAGAAAAAGCAAATGCTTTCACCTTTTGTTGTTGTTGCTGTTGTTTTTGGAGGAGTCTGGCTCTATCACCTGTTACCCAGGCTGTAGTGCAATGGCAAAGTCTTGGCTCACTGCAACCTCTGTCTCCTGGGTTCAAGCAATTCTCCTGCCTCAGCCTCCCAAGTAGCTGGGATTACAGGTGTGTCCCACCATGCCTGGCTCATTTTTGTATTTTTAATAGGGACAGGGTTTCACCATGTTGGCCAGGTTGGTCTCGAACTCCTGACCTCAAGTGATCTGCCTGCCTCGGCCTCCCAAAGTGCTGGGATTACAGCCATGAGCCACCACGCCTGGCCAAGACCTGATGGTTTTATAAGGGGCTTTTCCCCTTTTGCTCAGCACTTCTCTCTCCTGCTGCCCTGTGAAGAGGGGCATGTTGATTCCCCTTTTGCCATGATTGTAAGTTTCTTGAGGCCTGCCCAGCCATGCTGAAGAACTGTGAGTCAATTAAACCTCTTTCCTTTATAAATTATCCAGTCTTGGGTATTTATTCATAGCAACTTGAGAACGGACTAATACAGTAACCTTAAATTTTAGTGAAAACCTGGGAAGCAAGAAATATTGCATTGCCTGTCACATATGAGTATTTTATAAACGAAAATCATTTAATAACTTTACAAACATGTTTTCCCATAATTTTCGTGTATTAATAGACTCCAAAATATTTAGTTTTTATAATTATAAGAAGCCAGCTGGAGCTGGGCATGGTGGCTCATGCCTGTAATCCCAGCACTTTGGGAGGCTGAGGTGAGTGGGTCACTTGAGGTCAGGAGTTTGAGACCACTCTGGCCAACATGGTGAAACCGCATCTCTACTAAAAATACGAAAATTAGCCCAGCACGGTGGTGGGTGCCTATAATCCCAGCTACTTGGGAGGCTGAGGCAGGAAAATCTCTTGAACCCAGGAGGTAGAGGTTGTAGTGAGCTGAGATCATGCCACTGAACTCCAGCCTGGGAGACAGAGCGAGTCTCCATCACAAGAAAAAGAAGAAGAAGAGAAAAAGAAGCTAGCTGGGCACAGTGACTCATGCCTATATCCTAGCAATTTAGAAGGCCAAAGCAGACAGAACACTTGAGCCCAGGAGTTCAAGACCAGCCTGGGCAACATAGCAAAACTTTGTCTCTGCAAAAAATAAAAAACTTAGCTAGGCATGGTGGTGCACACCTATAGTTCCAGGTACTTGGGAGGCTCAGCTGGAGGATCACCTGAGCCCAGGGAGATTGAGGCTGCAGTGTGAACCTAATTAACAAACAGAGAGAGGTTCTATAAAAGAAGAGATGTTTGCACCAGGCACGTTGGCTCACACCTGTAATCCCAGCACTTTGGGAGGCTGAGGTGGGCGGATCACCTGAGGTCAGGAGTTCAAGACTAGCCTGATCAACATGGTGAAATCCCATCTCTACTAAAAATACAAAAAAAAATAGTTGGGTGTGGTGGTGGGCGCCTGTAATCCCAGCCACTCAGGAGGCCAAGGCAGGAGAATCACTTGAACTGGGGAGGCAAAGGTTGCAGTGAGCCGAGATTGCGCCACTGCACTCCAGCCTGGGCAACAGAGCCAGATTCCATCTCAAAAAAAAAGAGAGAAAAGAT
Source organism: Homo sapiens (assembly GCF_000001405.40). Lineage (NCBI taxonomy): Eukaryota > Metazoa > Chordata > Mammalia > Primates > Hominidae > Homo > Homo sapiens. Next base: position 39,040,114 of record NC_000019.10, on the reverse strand, counting down.
GTTTGTTTGGGAATACAGCACTGCAATGAGAATCTGCATGCCATAGTGAACTATGTGCAGATTCAGGAAGGTAAAGGAAGACAAAGGCTCTTACAAGAAAAAATGAGGAGTACATAATTGTTTTGAAATAATTATCCTTGACTACAAAGATCAAAATCGAGGGTGATGCCCGTTCGAGGTCAGACAGGCAGCTCTTCCACGGAGGGCTTTGTAGAACCATTTTTTGTGTAAAGTTGTAATGCCCTTTGGGCAAGTTTATGGTTTCTGTAGAGTCTTTTGTAATCATTTTTGTTATCAGGCGTATAAACATGAGAACTCTGTCTTTATGGCGTTCCCTGGCTCTATTTGTCAAGGTTTTCTTTTTCTTTTTTTTTTTTGAGATGGAGTCTTGCTCTGTCAACCAGGCTGGAGTGCAGTGTGACGCCATCTCGGCTTACTGTAACCTCCATCTCCTGGGTTCAAGCGATTCTCCTGTCTCAGCCTCCTGAGTAGCTGGGACTACAGGTGTGCACCACCATGCCTGGCTAATTTTTGTATGTTTAGTAGAGATGGGGTTTCGCCATGTTGGCCAGGCTGGTCTCAAACTCCTGACCTCAAATGATCCACCTCCCCTTCAGCCTCCCAAAGTGCTGGGAATAAGGCATGAGCCACTACGCCCGGCCTACCCAGGAAAGAATTCAAGGGCAATCCAGAGGTAGAAGAAACAGCTTTATTGAAGTGGCAGTGTCACAGCTCGGTGGTCGCTACTGCAGAGCAGGGCTATTCATAGGCAGGCAGTAGCAGCCCAGGGCAGTTCCACAGTCATATTTATACCCACTTTTAATTTTGCATGCAGATTAAGGGGCGTTTCATGCAGAAATTTCTAGGGAAGGAGGAGTAATCATTGGGTCATTGCTGTGGAAAGGGGCAGTAACTCGTGGTGTTGCCATGGCGATAGTAAATTGACATGGCACACTGGTGGGCCTGTCTCATAGAAAGCCGTTTCCGGCTGAGCGCAGTGGCTCACACCTGTAATCCCAGCACTTTGGGAGGCCCAGGTGAGTGGATCACCTGAGGTCTGGAGTTCGAGACCAGCCTGGCCAACATGGTGAAACCCCGTCTCTACTAAAAATACAAAATTAGGCAGGTGTGGTGGGGTGCGCCTGTAATCCCAGCTACTCGGGAGGCTGAGGCAGGAGAATCGCTTGCACCTGGGAGGCAGAGGTTGGAGTGAGCTGAGCTTGTACCACTGCACTCCAGCCTGGCCGACAGAGCAAGACTCTGTCTTAATAATAATAATAATAATAATAATAATAATAATAATAATAATAATAGAAAGCTGGCCGGGCGCCGTGGCTCGCGCCTGTAATCCCATAACTTTGGGAGGCTGAGGCGGGCGAATTGCGAGGTCAGGAGATGGAGACCATCCTGGCTAACACGGTGAAACCCAGTCTCTACTAAAAACACAAAAAATTAGCCGAGCGTGGTGGCACATGACTGTAGTCCCAGCTACTCGAGGGGCTGAGGTAGGAAAATCGCTTGAACCTGGGAGGCGGAGGTTGCAGTGAGCCGACCAACTCCAGCCCGGCAACAGAGCGAGACTCCATCTCAAATAAATAAATAAATACATAAATAAATAAAACTGCTTCCCACCCTCCTGCTGTCCTCCACCGCCCTGTTCTACCAAGTCCTCAGTCTGATCTGGTGTCCAAGCCACGCCTCTGGAGTCGAGTCCCGCCTCCTACCTCACTCTAATCCTGTTAACAATGGCCTCCAGGGAGAGCTGTAGTCCAGAAAGCCGCATTGGTGGAACCTCTAACACCCTTGGAATTAGTCGTGCAGCCCACTTCTCTGTTCCCGGAGGTCCATGACATTTCTACTTCTGCAAACTGGACCAGCAGGACTTTCCCCAGCTTCCCACCCACACCCCTAGCAGAGAGAGAAGACTGCAGCCCCCACTCACGTTTGCTTTGCATCAGTGTTGCTCAACCTCATCAGAGCCAGTGCTCCCGATGTATAGCAAATAATTTCTTACCTTGAAATGAAACACTTAGATAATAAAACCTAGCTCCAAAATGCCCTAACTATAAGGTAAAGGGGAAATAAAAGGAGAGAAATTTAAGTTAGCAGAGCCTGGTGGCGTGTGCCTGCAATCCCAGCTACTCGGGAGGCTGAGGAAGGAGAATCACTTGAAGCCAGGAGGCGGAGGTTGCAGTGAGCCGAGATCGTGCCACTGCACTCCAGCCTGGGCAACAGAACGAGACTCCATCTCAAAAAAAAAAAAATGTGTATCAACATGCAAGGGATGTTTGGCTTGATTCCTGTAAGATTCAGCTACTCAATGCTTCGTCCTGGGAGCATAGGCTTTGGCATCTTCTGGGAGTTTGTTACAAATGTGGGCCTGATGATTTGGAATCCCCAGGGGGTTTGGTATATCTCTAGAACATTTCCCCCTCTGTGTGGAGTCTCTGAAGCAACAGCTCCATAAAACCCACAGCTGGCCCTCCTGAATTAAGAGATTTCCTGGTTTGCTGAACTGAAGAACAACTCTGCTTTATCCATTACAAGGAAGGTAATTTTGAAAGTGCCAATCCGTTTTTTTGTTCTCTGTTTCTGCTTTCCTCAGCCCTTTTCTGGCTATAAAGTATAGGGACAAGGCCAGTGTGATGGCTCACACCTGTAATCCCAGCACTTTGGGAGACCAAGGCAGGAGGATCACTTGAGGCCAAGAGTTTGAGATGAGACTGGATGGACATTGTAGCAAGACCCCATCTCTGCAAAAAAAATTTTAAAATTACCCAGACATGGTGGGACTATAGCTGTGCCTATAATCCCATGTATTCGAGAGGCTGAGATGGGAGGATCACTTGAGGCTGGGAGGTCACAGCTGCAGTGACCTGACTCATGCCTGCAATCCCAGCACTTTGAGAGGCTGAGGTGGGAGGATGGCTTGAGCCTGGGAGGTCAAGTCTGCAGTGAGCCAGGATCACACCACTGCACTCCAAACTGGGTGACAGAGTGAGACTTCATCTCAAAAGAACTTTATAAAATTTTTAACAAGTGAAGGGACAAGTGAAACTTTCCATCCACCGTCTCTGAAGGCTTGATAATTTGAGTCTCTGAAATAAACTTGACAGTAGACAAATGAACTAGAGAAAAGGCACACAAATCCATTATGTGCACACACAGAGAAACCCCACAAAGTATGAGATTCAAAGAAGGTCCAGATGGTTGAAGCTTAAATAGCATTTTGAGATACAGAAATAGATAGGGGCTAGGAGGCTTCTGGACCATGGTGGTGACAAGCTAAGGTAGGGTGAAGGGCAGAACTGCACTAAGAACAAAGGTCATCTTATTTGCAGATAAAGTCTCTCAGGTAGCAGCCCTCAGAGAGATGGGTGAATCCTGTCTGGGTGTGGTGTCTTTGGGGTGGACACCAAGAGTCTTGCCCTTGGGAGGAGAACCAGGGACTGGAAAAGGACACTGACTTTTCAGTATCTGCCCTTTTGACCTACTTGGAATTTTTTTTTTTTTTTTTTTTTTTTTGAGATGGAGTCTTGCTCTGTCACCCAGGTTACAGTGCAGTGGCTCAATCTCAACTTACTCCAACCTCCGCTTCCCAGGTTTGAGCGATTCTCCTGCCTCAGCCTCCTGAGTAGCTGGGACTATAGGTGTGTGCCACCACACCCAGCTAATTTTTTTATTTTAAGTAGAGATGGGGTTTCACCACGTTGGCCAGGCTGGTCTCGAACTCCTGACCTCAAGTGATCTGCCTGCCTCGGCCTCCAAAAGTGCTGGGATTACAGGCATCAGCCACAGTCCCTGGCCAACCTACTCAAACTTTTTAAACCTTTTAACTGTTAAAAAAAAAATCAGGCCAGGTGCAGTGGTTCATGCCTGTAATCCCAGCACTTTGGGAGGCCAAGGCGGGAGGATCACCTGAGGTCAGGAGTTTGAGATCAAGCCATTGCATTCCAGCCTGGATGACAAAGTGAAAAAAGTTTTTAAAAAAGTCAAATACTTGAGTCATCATATCTCATTATCAACAAGATTCCCACTGCTTATATATTACATTAAAACTAATATATTAGTTTTAGTGGGCACAGTTGCTCATGCCTATAATCCCAGCACTTGGGGAGGTGGAGGCGAGAGGACCACTTGAGCTCAGGAGTTTGAGACCACCCTGGGCAACAGCAAGACCTTGTCTCTCCTTTAGTCCCAGCTACCCCAGAGGCTAAGGCAGGAGGATGGCTTGACTCCAGGAGTTTGAGGCTAAAGTGAGCTACGACAGAGTGAGACCTGGTCTCAAATATATATATATAAACAGTTTTTTTTAGACAAATTTTCACTCTTGTCGCCCAGGCTGGAGTGCAATGGTGGGATCTCAGCTCACTGCAACCTGTGCCTCCTGGGTTCAAGTGATTCTTCTGCCTTAGCCTCCTGAGTAGCTGGGACTACAAGTGCGCACCACCATGCCCACCTAATTTTTTTTTTTTTTTTTTTTGGTATTTTTAGTAGAGTTGGGGTTTCACCATATTGGCCAGGCTGGTCTCGAACTCCTGGCCTCGTGATCTGCCACCTCGGCCTCCCACAGTGCTGGGATTACAGGCATAAGCCACTGCACCTAGGTTTTTGTATTTTTAGTAGGGACGGAGTTTTACCATGTTGGTGAAGCTGGTCTCAAACACTTGACCTCAGGTGATCCACCTGCCTCGGCCTCCCAAAGTGTTGGGATACAGGTGTGAGCCACCGTGTCCAGTTGAAACAAAATTTTAAAAATGAAAATATACATATTGAGAAGAAATTAGACCAGCATAATAGTTCATCCATCTCTCCTAATTCAGGGTCTCCCTCTCCTATCCACCCAACCCAGCCTCGTTATGCCCCATTTCCCTTCTCTGCTCTAATTTTTCACAGCACTAATCACTTTTTAACACACACACACTTATTATGTTTACTGTTCATCATGACAGAAGCACATTACAGGCTAGTTTGAAGTGTATACACTAATACAACCGTTTCATTCTTTTTTTTACTTGTTTTCTTTTTCTTTTTCTTTTTTTTTTTTTTTTTTTTTTGAGACAGGGTCTCGATGTGTAGCCCAGGCTGAAGTGCAGTGGCATGATCACAGCTCACTGCAGCCTCAACCTCCCAGGCTCAAGCCATCCTCCCACCTCAGCCTCCCAAGTAGCTGAGACTACAGGTGCACACCACTATTTGCAGCTACTTTTTAAATTTTTTGTAGAGACGGGGTTTCACTGTGTTGCCAGCGCTGGTCTCAAACTCCTGGGCTCAAGAGATCCTCCTGCCTCGGCCTCCCAAAGTGCTGGGATTACAGGTGTGAGCCCCCATGCCAGGACCCATTTAATTCTTTTCTGCATTTGTGGAGAGGATTCTAAGAGGGTCAAAAGGAGGTTTTATTTATTTTATTTATTTAAGACAGCTTCTCACTCTGTCGCCTAGGCTGGAGTGCAGTGGTGAGGTCTCAGCTCACTGCAACCTCTGCCTCCCTTGTTGAAGTGATTCTCATGCCTCAGCTTCCCGAGTAGCTGGGATCACAGGCATGCGCCACCATGCCCGGCTAATTTTTGTATTTTCAGTAGAGACGGAGTTTCGCCATTTTGGCCAGGCTGGTCTCACACTCCTGACCTCAAGTGATCCGCCTGCCTCAGCCTCCCAAAGTTCTGGGATTACAGGCGTGAGCCATCATGCCCGGCCTGGAGGTTTTATATTTAATTATTTCCCTGATACTACGTAATTTGCTCATTATGCCAACTGTTTATCATGTCTCTCCCTCTAGAAGGTAAGTTCTTTGTGGGGAAGAATCCATGTCTGGTTTTGTTTGTTGATGTCTTAAACTATGTATACAGCTCACGTTATGTCGAAGCCAAATAAAATATAGAGATATAGAGACAAATCTCTCGATTTAAAATGTTTTGTTGCGGTGGCTCATGCCTGCGATCCCAGCACTTTGGGAGGCTGAGGCGGGCAGATCACCTGAGGTCGGGAGTTTGAGACCATCCTGGCCAACATGGTGAAACCCCGTCTCTACTAAAAATACAAAAATTAGCTGGGCATGGTGGCATGCGCCTGTAATCCCAGCTACTCGGGAGGCTGAGGCAGGAGAATCGCTTGAACCCATGAGGCGGAGGTTGCAGTGAGACGAGATTGCATCACTGCCCTCCAGCCTGGGCGACAGAGCGAGACTCTGTCTCAAAAAAATAATAAAATGTTTTATTTGGGAAGCAAGAATTGACATTCGAGGCATCCACACAGACCAGGCGGTCTTCAGAACTTTCAAAGAACAAAGAGGTTAGAGGTTTTTATAAGAAACAGAAATGTTAGGTATTGTTTTGCAAGAAAGTTCATTGACACTAGCAACGTTCTGGGGAGCTGGCAAGTTCTGACTGGTAAGTGACAGCAGAGGGAAAAACTAGTCTTAGAGTCACGGCAGGTTTTTTCAGTACCAGTTAGACTGCTTCCAGGTTACAACAGGCAGTTTTAACAGCCAGGCTTGCAGAGAATCACTTTCTTGGAGCAATGGTATCTGCCCTAAGTGTTTTCCCCCCGGCCTCTCAACTTTGTTTTAGTTGGATATGACAAGAAGGATCCAATTCACATGATCAACTTTCACAATTTTTTTTTTCTGTTTGTTTTTTGAGACGGAGTCTCACTCACTCTTTTGCACAGGCTGGAGTGCAGTGGTGCAATCTCTGCTCACTGCAACCTCCCCCTCCCGGATTCAAGCAATTCTCCTGCCTAAGCCTCCAAATTAGCTGGGATTACAGGCGCGTGCTACCACGCCCAGCTAATTTTTGTATTTTTAGTAGAGACGGGGTTTCACCATGTTGGCCAGGCTGGTCTCGAACTTCTGACCTCAAGCGATCCGCCTGCCTTGGCCTCCCAAAGTGCTGGGATTACGGGCATGAGTCACCGCACCCAGCCACAATTGTATTTTTATTGGACAGAGCTGATCTAGAGGTTAAAATGAGGAATTCCGGAGCTAGGCTGGCTGGATTCAAATCCCTACTAGCTGGTGATCATAGACAAGCCACTTGGCCTCTGCTGGTCTCAGTTTTTTCACCTGTGAAGTAAAGGGCATAACAGCACCTACTTCATGGGGTTGCCACCCTGGCTGGCAGTAAAACCGTCCATAAAAGTTGGCTGGTGTTACTATTGGTTGCATTAATTTTTAGCAGCCGGAGCCTGTTTTCTCCTGTGAAATGAAGATAACCACGCCCGACCTTAAAGGTGATGGAAATTTTTTAACACGTTAACGGATACGAGGCCTCCCACTCAGAAGCCTGACCAAAATAACAATGGTTGCTCAGAGCCAGACGTCTCATTGCTACTAACGAATTAGGGACACTTCAAGGGGCCGGCTGGAGGGGACGGCTGTGAGCAGCAGGCCTTGGCTCCTGGCTGCACCTGGCCCCGTCGCGGGAAGCAGGTTGGGTTTGGAGAGCGGGAGGGAGCAGGCGGGAGGGGCTGGCGAGTAAGAAAGAGGATGCAGGGGTGGGTGAAGCTGGCTAGTAAGAGGGGAGGGGCCGGCGAGTAAAAAGGACGCAGAGGGGCGTGGGGAGCTTGCGGCACAGCTAGGGCATCCCGGCGAGGAGCGCCGCCAGGCCCCGGGGTAGGACTTGGGGTGCGGTGTCGGTGCGGCCGCCGAGGGGGGCTGATTGCATGCAATTCGGGGCATACACACAGACCGCGGGGTCTCCGGGATATCGGGGCTATCAAGGACGGGCTGGGGGATGGGGACTTGGGGACGGGGCCCAGGGATGGTGAAGACGGGGGTGCGGCTGGCAGAATCAGGGCAGGCAGAGGCTGCGCGCCGCGGAGGCTGCTGGTCCCTGACGCCTTGACCCTTCCTCTCCCGCAGCCACAGCCGGGCCTGGCGGGGGGACCATGGGCGCCTCGGTCTCCAGGGGCCGGGCCGCCCGGGTCCCCGCGCCGGAGCCGGAACCCGAAGAGGCGCTGGACCTGAGCCAACTACCCCCAGAGCTGCTTCTGGTGGTGCTGAGCCACGTCCCCCCGCGCACGCTGCTCGGGCGCTGCCGCCAAGTGTGCCGGGGCTGGCGAGCCCTGGTGGACGGCCAGGCCCTGTGGCTGCTGATCCTGGCCCGCGACCACGGCGCCACCGGCCGCGCGCTGCTGCACCTCGCCCGCAGCTGCCAGTCTCCCGCCCGTAACGCCAGGCCTTGCCCCCTGGGCCGCTTCTGCGCGCGCAGACCCATCGGACGCAACCTTATTCGCAACCCCTGCGGCCAAGGTGGGATCTCGGAAGAGGAAGTCCAGGATGCTGGGCCACAGTGGGAGCGGTAGCGGGGCCGGAGGGGCGGGGCCGCACTGGGACCGGTACTAGGGGCCGCAGGGGCAGGGCCGCAGTGGGACCGGTGGGAGGAGTCGGAGAGGCGGGGCAGCATTGGGAGCCGGTGTGAGGTGCCGGAGGGGCGGGGCAGCATTGGGAGCCGGTGGGAGGTGTCGGAGGGACGAGGCAGCATTGGCACGCAGGGTGCAGGGCTGACTGGGCAGGGCTTCACCGTTTGCCTGTGGGAGGGGTGGGAGTGGGGCAGTTCTGGGAGCCCGAGAGAGGGGTTGGAGGGGCAGGGCTTTGCTGCAAATCAGTGAGAAGGGCCAGAGGAGCGGGGCTTTGCCCTGAGCTGGTGGGAGGGGAAGGGGGCGGGGCCTCGGTGGGAAGGGTCAGGTGAGTGAGCTGCACTGTGAGCACGTGGGAGGGGCTAGGGGCGGGGTCTCACTAGGAACCAACAGGCGGGCGACTGGAACTTGGGCACAAGCCTTTTTTATTTCACAGAAGGCCTCCGAAAGTGGATGGTGCAACACGGTGGGGACGGCTGGGTGGTGGAGGAAAACAGGACAACCGTGCCTGGGGCCCCTTCTCAGACGTGCTTCGTGACTTCATTCAGGTGAATGCCCCTGCTATCCAAAGGTCCGGCCCCTTGTTGAGAAAGGCCTGCCTGTTCTCATTACCCTGTCTCCTGCATTCCCAGCTGGTGTTGCAAGAAGCAGGTCTTGGACCTAGAGGAGGAGGGTCTGTGGCCAGAACTGCTGGATAGTGGCAGGATTGAGATTTGTGTCTCTGACTGGTGAGTGTGACGATTAAAATAGCCCCTTGCTAAGCACTGACTGCATGTGACATGGCCTTTTTATGGGTGACTTAATTTAGGCCTCCTAACCCCTCCTTACAGATAAAAAATCTGAAGTTCAGGCCAGCCATGGTGGCTCACACCTATAATCCCAGCACTTTGGGGGGTCGAGGCAGGCAGATCACTTGAGGTCAGGAGTTCGAGACCAGCCCAACCAGCATGGCAAAACCTCGTCTCTACTAAAAATACAAAAAAAAAATTAGCCGGGCCTGGTAGTGCACACCTGTAGTCCCACATACTTGGGAGGCTGAGGCAGGAGAATCACTTGAACCCAGGAGGTGGAGGTTGTACCACTACACTCCAGCCTGGACGACAGAGTGAGACTCAGTCCTGGAAAAAAAAAAGAAAGAAAAGAAACTGAAGTTCAGGGAGGTGAAGTGAAAAACACACTCACAGTTCTAGTAATTAGCAGAGTACACACTTTCTGCTCATGCCCAAAAGGATGTGGATTGGAAGACAGAAGATGAGATCCAGTACAGAGACCTTTGGCCCAGCTCAGTCTTGTCTGTGAATGAATGAGATGCTCCTTGCCTTAGGAGGAGAAAACAGCATAGTTAGCCAAGAGCTTAGGTTCTGGAGCCAGACCTCCCAGATTCAAACCCTAGCTCTGTGGCTTTGTAGCCTTGGGCAAGTCACAGCATACCTCTGTTTCCCCTGTTTACAAGATAGGGCTCTTGCAATGACAATTATTATATGGCAAACACATAGCAAGTACTTTATGTGAGCACCTTTTTTTGAACCTTGATCCTGTGGGAAGGTGTATTTCAAGCCCTCAGATCATTCAGAGCTTCTCAGGAAATTGAGAGGTTGGGAAAGGGGAGATGGCAGTCTGGGCACGGTGGCTCATGCCTGTAATCCCAGCACTCTGGGAGGCCGAGGTGGGCAGATCTCTTGAGCTAAGGAGTTCGAGACCAGCCTGGCCAGCATGGCAAAACCCATCTCTACTAAAAATACAAAAAATTAGCTGGGCGTCATGGTAAGTGTCTGTAGTCCCAGCTACTCAGGAGGCTGAGGCAGGAGAATCACTTGAACCCGGGAAGTGGAGGTTGCAGTGAGCTGAGATGGCACCACTGCACTCCAGCCTGGGCAACAGAGCGAGACTCCATCAAAAAAAGAAAGGGGAGATGACTTGCCCTGGTCTGGTCACACAGCCTGGGCTTGGCAGAACCTGGCATAAGGCTCAGAGTCAGATTCTGACTCCAGAGCTTGTCCTCTGTAGTGATGGTCTTGAAACTGGGGTGCATGAAGACTTTCCAGGGGATATATGACCCAGATGGTTTTATGGGAGTCAAATTCCAGGTCCACTACAGCCATGAGCCCCCTATTACACAATTAATCTGCTATAGGTTACATCTGTGTGGGAAGTATCATATGATTCTCGTTCCCCAATCTCTTTCTCAGTGTCCCCCTTCTCTAGTTTTATAGGAAAAAAGCCCCTCACTAAGGTGTGGTCCCCAGATGTAAGGACTACTGGGGAGCCAGGCAAAGTGGCCATTGGAAATTTGGGGCCTTAGCAAATTCACTTTTTTTTTTTTTTTTTTTGAGACAGAGTCTCACTAGGTGGCCCAGGCTAGAGTGCAATGGTGCAATCTCAGATCACTGCAACCTCTACCTCCCAGATTCAAGTGATTCTCCTGCCTCAGCCTCCCGAGTAGCTGGGATTACAGGTGTGCACCACCACACCTGGCTATTTTTTTTTATTTTTAGTAGAGATGGGGTTTCACCATGTTGCCCAGGCTGGTCTTGAACTGCTGACCTCAGGTGATCTGCCCACCTCAGCCTATTAAAGTGCCGGGATTACAGGCATAAGCCACTGTGCCTGGCCAGCAAATTCACTCTTAATCAAGGCACCATAACCCTATTCCCCAACTCCATCTCATTAAGAGATACATCTCCAATAAGATTTTTTTTTTTTTTTTTTTTTTTAGAGACAGAGTCTTGCTCTTTTACCCAGGCTGGAGTGCAGTGGCGTGATCTCGGCTCACTGCAATCTCTACCACCTGGCCTCAAAAAATCCTCCCACCTCAGCCTCCTGAGTAACTGGGACTACAGGTGCATACTGGCTAATTTTACATGCCTGGCTAATTTTTGAATTTTTTGTTTTTTTGAGACAAAGTTTCACTTGTCACCCAGGCTGGAGTGCAATGGCACAATCTCAGCTCACTGCAACCTCTGCCTTCTGGATTCAAGTGATTCTCCTGCCTCAGCCTCCCCAGTAGCTCGGATTGCAGGTGTGTACCACCACGCCTGGCTAATTTTTGTATTTTTAGTAGAGACGGGGTTTGGCCACGTTGGCCAGGCTGGCCTCGAACTCCTGACCTCAGGTGATCTGCCCGCCTCTGCCTCCCAAAGTCCTGGGATTACAGGTGTGAGCCACCATGCCCAGCCATATTTTCTGTAGAGACGGGGTTTTGCCATGTCACCCAGGCTGGCCTTGAACTCCTGGATTCAAGCAGTCCTTACACCTCTGCCTCCCAAAGTGCTGGGATTACAGGTGTGAGCCACCACGGCTGGCCAGATTTTATTTTTTGTTATTACTTATCAAACTATGTAACATATTTGTGTTGTTTTGATCAGTGGGTACTATTTGATTGTGATAATCAGTGGCTCCCAAATTTTGCCGCACCTCATAAAGGTAGCTTTTAAAACATAAAATGCCCAGGCACCATTCATACCCATTAAATCTGAGCATCTGAGGGTGAGAGCCAGGCACCAATATTTGTTTGTTTTTTGTTTTTGAGACAGGGTCTCCCTCTATCGCCCAGGCTGGAGTGCAATGGTGCGATCTCAGCTCACTGCAACCTCTGCCTCCTGGGTTCCAGCGATTCTCCTGCCTCGTAGCTGGGATTACAGGCACCTGCCACCACGCCTGGCTAATTTTTGTATTTTTAGTAGAGACAAGGTTTCACCATGTTGGCCAGGCTGGTCTCGAACTCCTAACCTCAAGTGATCCACCCACCTCGGCCTCCCAAAGTGTTGGGATTACAGGCGTGAGCCACCTCGCCCAGACAGGCATCAATATTTGTGAGAAGTTTAGAGCTTGCTACAAAGTTCGGGGATGGAATCCCTAAGACCATCCTCGCTTCTGACATGATATGTCACAACAACACAAATATGTTATGTAGTTTGATGAGTAATAATTAAAAACAAAATCTGACTGGGCATGGTGGCTCACGCCTATAGTCCCAACACTTTGGGAGGCGGAGGCAGGAAGATCGCCTGAGTCCAGGAGTTCAAGACCAGCCTGGGTCACATGGCAAAACCCCATCTCTACATCTTTACCAACTACAAGTTTGGAGGACTTCCAAAACCACCTTCACAATTCAATAATTCACTGGACGAACTCACAGAAAGCTACTACACACTTCTGGTTTATTACAGGGAAAAGATACAGATTAAAATCAGCCAAGAAAAGGAGGGCATAGAGCAGCATCCAGGGAAAAGATCAAACACAGAGCTTCTGTTGTCCTTCTCCCATGGCATCAGGACATGTTACCGTGCTGGCACTGATGTGTGACAAGATGCATGGAATTTTGTTGACCAAGGGAGTTCACTTGAGCCTCGGTGTCCAGAGTGTTTCTTGGGTTCATCACAAGGCCTGATGGATTGATCGATTGCCCACGTGGTTAATCTCAGCCTCCAGGTCAACTGACGTTCCCTGACTCCCAGCCCCCACCGAAAGTCACATTGTGGGTCTTTCCGGAGACTCCCCACTGAGACTATTTATATGAGTGTGGCTGGCCCCTGCCCTAAATCATATTGGTAGATTATCCAGTACCACCTGGGTCCCCATCAAAGACACTCCTGTCTGACACAACATTCCAAAGGTCCAGAGATCACCTCCCAGGAGTCTCTTTAGAGGAACTGGATTTGCACACATGGGAAGGGCATTCGGACAAGGTAGGCAGACACCCAAAGAGATGGGGTGGCAGGTCCAGCCTTCATGGCTCCTTCCTCCCACAGGTGGGGAGCCCGACACGACAGCGGCTGTATGTACAGACTCCTCGTCCAACTTCTAGACGCCAACCAGACTGTTCTAGATAAATTCTCTGCTGTGCCTGATCCCATCCCGCAGTGGAACAACAATGCCTGCCTTCACGTGAGTCTCCTATGGGGGTTTGGGGAAAGGATGCTGGGGGCCTATTGCTGCAAAATAAATCACCCCAAAACTTAGTGGCTTAAAATCAGTGACAGTCTGGCTGGGTGCGGTGGCTCACACCTGTAATCCCAGCACTTTGGGAGGCCAAGGCAGGCGGATCACAAGGTCAGGAGTTCAAGACCAGCCTGGCCAACATGGTGAAACCCCATCTCTACTAAAAATACAAAAATTAGCTGGGCGTGGTGGCACATGCCTGTAATCCCAGCTACTCGGGAAGCTGAGGCAGGCAATCGTTTGAATCTGGGAGGCAGAAGTTGCAGTGAGCCAAGATTGCGCCATTGCACTCCAGCCTGGGTGACGGGGCGAGACTCTGTCTAAAAAAAAAATCAATGACAGTCATTTGACTACCTCTCGTGATTTCTGTGAGTCAGTAATTTCAGGAGGGCTTACCTGGGCAGTTCTGGCTCCTGTCTTTCAGCGTTCAGACAGTGACATTCTGATGATGCCTGGAGCTGCAGGCCAGGGTGGTGGGTAGTATGTGTGTAGCTGTTGGTGGCTGGCCAAACATCTCTTTCTTCATTTAGTCTCAGAGCTTCTCCATGGGATCTCTCTGCTTGGGCTCCTTTGGGCTTCCTCACACCATGGCGGCTCCTAGGCAGTCAGATTGCTCATGTGGTTGCTCAGGGAGGAGGGTTCCAGAGAAACAGTAGAAGCTGCCTTGCTTTTTCTGACCTAGCCTTAAAAAGTCACTTGGCCAAAGTCACTGAGCATCATTTTCACCACATTCTTGGTGACAAGCAAACCCACCTTGATTCATGGGGAAGGGAGTTAGATTCTACTTCTTTTTTTTTTGAGGCAGAGTCTCGCTCCATCATCCAGGCTGGAGTGTAGTAGCATGATCTCTGCTCACTGCAACCTTCGCCTGCCAGGTTCAAGTGATTCTCCTGCCTCAGCCTCCCGAGTAGATGGGACTACAGGCACGTGCCACCAAGCCCAGCTAATATTTTTTGTATTTTTAGTAGAGACAGGGTTTCACCGTGTTGGCCAGACTGGTCTCGAACTCCTGGCCTCAAGCAATCCACCTGCCTCGGCCTCCCAAAGTGCTGGGATTACAGGCACGAGCCATACCGCACCCGACCAGATTCTACTTTTTAATGAGGGAGTGGAAGATTCTATAAGATTCTAGAAGAACATGTGGCCCAATTGGAGATTTTATAGCCATCCTTGGAAAATAACCATCTTCCAGAAGGCCCTAACCTCAGCTTTGGAGGGGAGGCTGTGGCACAATGGAGCTGAGCCCCTCCTCTGCCTACAGGTCACCCACGTGTTCTCCAACATCAAGATGGGCGTCCGCTTTGTGTCTTTCGAACACCGGGGCCAGGACACACAGTTCTGGGCTGGCCACTATGGAGCCCGTGTGACCAACTCCAGTGTGATCGTGCGAGTCCGTCTGTCCTAGTCCAGCACTACCCTTCTTGCAAGACAGCCTGACTGTGCCTTCCAGGGCCTGGGACCATTGGCTGGGACCCCTCATTAACCAACCAAGCACTTGTACCTCCCTGGCATACTGAGAATTCCTGGGTCCAATCAAAGGCCCTGACGGGCCCTGTCTTCAGGTTCTAGAAACTACCAGAAGAAGCTTCTTCCATCTTATCTACCTACTGCAGCTGCTGCTTTGCGGGGGGGCCCTACTGTACTGAGGGGAAACCCACAAGTGAGCATGGGGGAATGCCCATCCTGGAGAAGAATTCTTGCCCTCCCCTCTCTTCTCCTCCCAACCAAAACCCTCCGATCCAGCCCCAGGCCCCTCTGTACCATCCCCTCCCCTCCGCACCACTGACCTCTTGTCTCCTGTTGTTTCTGCCACAGGGACTTCCTTGGTCCCTTCAGGGAAGCCCTCAACTCATCTCTGAACTTAGAATCTCATCCTTAGGGCTCAGAGAGTCCCAGCCCTAAGGGTGTGAACCTCACCTCCTGGGGCTTCCGAGCTACAGGGCTGGGACCAGGTCATGCAGCTGAAAGTCTACGTTAAAAAAAAAAAGTTTGGGCCAGGCACAGTGGCTCATGCCTGTAATCCCAGCACTTTGGGAGGCTGAGGCAGGCGGATCACCTGAGGTCAGGAGTTCAAGACCAGCCTGGCCAACATGGTGAAACCCCGTCTCTACTAAAAATCCAAAAAATTAGCCGGGCTTGGTGGTGTGCACCTGTAATTCCAGCTACTCGGGAGGCTGAGGCAGGAGAATTGCTTGAGCCCGGGAGGCAGAGGCTGCAGTGAACCAAGATCATGCCACTGCACTCCAGCCTGGGCAACACAGCGAGACTCCGTCTCAAAAAGAAAAAGTTTGGATCAGGCAGGGTGGCTCACACCTGTAATCCCTGCACTTTGGGAGGCCAAGGTGGGAGGATCAGTTGAGCCCCAGAGTTCAAGACCAGCCTGGGCAATGTAGTAAGACCCCCATCGCTACAAAAAATACAAAAGTTAGCCAGGTACAGTAGTACACACCTGTAGTCCAAGCTACTTGGGAGGCTGAAGTGGGAGGATCATTTGTGCCCAGGTTGAGGCTATAGTGAGCCATGATCATACCACTGCACTCCAGCCTGGGTGACAGAGCGAGACCCTGTCTCAAAAAAAAAAAAGAATTTGGAGATGGTTCTGCCCACTCTGGTTTCTCTGAAAAAACGAGGTAATTCCCTGAGCCCAACCCTGATCCTCAAGGACCTGTAATTGTGTGGTATTTAAAATTAAAATAACATTATTTTTATTTTGACTTTTTTTCAAACAGTAAGAATAATATATCAGCAGCATGTATCTGCCAATCATATGTAATAAATTTCTTATTTTGCCAAAACCACTTCAGATCTTTTTAATAGAAATGCAGAGTTACTGCCTTGGTTGAGAATCATAAGTAGTCCCAGTTGAGGAGGGAAAACTGTACGAAAGCAAACACTAGCTGAGGCCGGGCGCAGTGGCTCACACCTATAATCCCAGCACTTTGGGAGGCCGAGGTGGGCGGATCACTTGAGGTCAGGAGTTCAAGACCAGCCTGGCCAACATGGTGAAACCCTGTCTCTACTAAAAATACAAAAAATTAGCCAGGCATGGTGGCACGCGCCTGTAATCCCAGTTACTCGGGAGGCTGAGGTAGGAGAATCGTTTGAATCCGGGAGGTGGAGGTTGCAGTGAGCCAGGATCGCATCACTGCGCTCCATCCTGGGCGAAAGAGCGAGACTCCGTCTCAAATTAAAAAAAAAAAAAAGACAATAGGTCCAGCCTCTAGAGAGCTGACTCCCTGGATCCCCTGGCTGATTTTGGTGAGTGCTGGCTACAATGAGGAAGAAAAGCATGGCCCAAGTGACACCTTTGGCTTTTTTCCCTCTCTTCTGTAGGCTGCAAGAGAAAGGGCCAAGACTTTCCCAAAATGAGTTTTTGGTGGGTCAAAGACAGTAAACAGTTTATAGGTGCTCTTTCCTCCAACTGGGAGTAAAAGAAATTAAATCTATTGCCGGCCAGCTCAAAGCTTTCGATAAGCCAGATGGGAAAAAAAGAATAAGATAAACATACACAGTTGGCCCTCCATGTGGCTAGCTTCTGCATCTGTGGATTCAACCAACTGTAGATTGGAAATATTCGGGAGGCTGGGCCTGGTGCCTCACGCCTGTAATCCCAGTACTCTGGGGGACCGCGGCAGGTGGATCACTTGAGGTCAGTTCGAGACCAGGCTAGCCAACATGGTGAAACCCCGTCTCTACTAAAAATACAAAAATTGCTGGGCATGGTGGCTCACACCTGTAATCTCAGCACTTTGGGAGGCTGAGGCAGATGGATCACCAGAGGTCATGAGTTCGAGACCAGCCAGGCCAATATGGCGAAACCCCATCTCTACTAAAAATACAAAAAAAAAAAATTAGCCAGGCATGGTGGTGGGCACCTGTAATCCCAGCTACTTGGGAGGCTGAGGCAGGAGAATTGCTTGAACCTGGGAGGCAGAGGTTGCCGTAAGCCAAGATCGCGCCATTGCTATCCAGCCAGGGCAACAAGAGCAAAACTCTGTCTCAAAAAATAAATAAATAAAATAAAAATGCAAATTAGCCAGTCGTGGCAGCAGGTGCCTGTAATCCCAGCTGTCTGGGAGTCTGAGGCAGGAGAATCGCTTGAACCCGGGAGGCAGAGGTTGCAGTGATCCAAGATCGCTCCACTGAACTCCAGCCTGGGCGACAGAGACTTTGTCTCAAAAACAGACAAACAAACAAAAAAATTAGCCAGGCATGGAGGCACACGTCTGTAGTCCCAGCTACTCAGGAGCATGAGGTGGGAGGATCACCTGAACCTGGGAGGCGGAGGTTGCAGTGAGCCAAGATCACACCACTGCACTCCAGCCTGGGTGACAGAGCAAAACTCTGTCTCAAACAAAAGACAATATTCGGGAAAGACTGGATGTGGTGGCTCACGCCTATAATCCCAACACTGTAGGAAGCCTAGGCAGGAGAATTGCTTGAGCCCAGGAGTTCAAGACCAGCCTAGGCAACATAGTGAGACCCATCTCTACAAAAAAATTTAAAAAATTAGCTGGGTGTGGTGGGGGAGCGTGTGCCTGTAGTCTCAGCTACTTGACAGGCTGAGGTGGGAGGATCACTGGAGCCCCCGATATTGAGACCACAACACTCCAGCCTAGGAGACAGAGTGAGACCCTGTCTCAAAAAAAAAAAAAAAAAAAAAAAAAAAGAATAGAAAATATTTGGGGAAAAAAACTTCCACAAAGTTTCAAAAAGTAAAAACTTGAATTTGCCCCATGCCAAGTACCATGTTGAATCCGTGAGAATGAAGTGATGTGGAAATATTATATAGTTGACCCATGAACAACGTGACGGTTGGGGTGCTGACCTTCCTTGCTGTTAAAAATCTGAGGATAGCCGGATGTGGTGGCTCACACCTGTAATCCCAGCACTTTGGGAGGCTAAGGCAGGTGGATCACAAGGTCAGGAGTTCAAGACCAGCCTGGCCAACATGGTGAAACCCCATCTCTACTAAAAATACAAAAATTAGCTGGGCGTGGTGGCAGGTACCTGTAATCCCAGCTACTCGGGAGGCTGAGGCAGGAGAATCGCTTGAACCCAGGAGGCAGAGGTTGCAGTGAGCCAAGATTGCACCGCTGCACTCCAGCCTGGGCAACACAGCAAGACTCCATCTCAAAAAAAAAAATCTGAGTATAACTTTTGATTCCCCCAAAACTTAACTACTAATAGCCTACTGTTGACCAGAAGCCTCGCTGATAACATAAATGGTCAATTAACACATATGTTGTATGTTATTATATTATATACTGTATTCTTACAATAAAGTAAGCTAAAGAAAAGAAAATGTTGTTAAGCAAATTATAAGGAAGAGAAAGTACATTTACTATTCAGTAAGTGGAGGTGGTCATCATAAAAGTCTTCATCCTCGTTATCTTCACAATGAGTAGGCTGAAGAGGAGGGCTGGTCTTGCTGTCTTAGAGGTGGCAAAAGTGGATGAGGTGATGGAGGTGGAGAGGGAGGCAGGACAGGCAGGTACTTTACAGAAATACATCATAGTTTCTGTCTGACTTTTTGCTTTTTCATTTCTCTAAAAATGTTTCTATATGGCACCAAAACTTCTTCCACGGTTTGCTTTAGTGTCAGTTCCTGTATCACAGAGGGGTCCATGTTGTGAAAGAAGTCAAAAACATCTTCAGTTAACATCTTCTGGCCAGGCACGGTGGCTCCCATCTGTAATCCCAGCACTTTGGGATGGGGGTGGATCACCTGAGGTCAGGAGTTCGAGACCAGCCTGGCCAACATGGCGAAACCCTGTCTCTGAAACTACAAAAATTAGCTGGGCGTGGTGGCGGGTGCCTGTAATCCCTGCTACTCAGGAGGCTGAGGCAGGAGAATCACTTGAACCCGGGAGGCGGAGGTTGCAGTGAGCTGAGATTTTGCTACCGCACTCCAGCCTGGGTGACAGAGCGAGACTCCATCTCAGGGAAAAAAAAAAAATCTTCTGTTAATTCCTCTGGTGTGGTATCTATTAGCTCTTGAATTTCCCCAAGATCCATGGCTTGAAACCCTTCACCCCCTACCTTTTTTTTTTTTTTTTTGCCATATCCACAATCTCTTTAATGATTTCCTTGATTGGCTCTGTTATAAATCCTGTGAGGTCATGTACAACATATAGACACAGTTTTCTCCTGCAGGAATTTATTATTTTGGCTCAATGGTATTTGTAGCCTTTCTCTAACAAGGATGGCCTCTTCAGTGGTGTCATCCTTCCAGACTTTTCTAATGTTCTCTACATCAGGCTTTTCTTCCATAGTGTTGACAGTCCTTTCCACAGTGTGTAATGAGCCTTAAAGGTCCTTATGACCCCCTGATCTAGAGGCTGAATTAGAGATGCTGTGTTTGGGGGCAATGAGACCACTTCGGCACCTTCATTGTTGCATTCGTGGGGTTCTTGGTGGCCAGGGACACTGTCTAATATCAAAGTAACTAACTGGCAAGGTACTTCCTAACTTCAAGGACAAAGCGTCGGTGGAACCAATCCAGAAGAAGGGTTCTTGTTGTCCAGGCCTTCTTGTTGTACAACTGAAAGACTGGCAGCTTTATCTTTCAAGTCTTGGAGGTTAGCAGTTTTCTGTGTAAGGGCAGCCTCATCATAAATCTGACACCATTTGCACGAAACAGTAGAGTCAGCCTATCCCTACCTGCCTTAAGTGCTTGCTTCTCTTCCTTACTAATAAATGTCCTTTGAGGCATTTTTTCCAGAATAGGGCACTTTAGTCTGCATTACAAACCTCTTCATGACCAGGCGAGGTGTGGCTCCTGCCTGTAATCCCAGCACTTTGGGAGGCCAAGTGGGGAGAATCGCTTGAGATCAGGAGTTTGAGATCAGCCTGGCCAAC
This sequence comes from Homo sapiens, assembly GCF_000001405.40. Classification (NCBI taxonomy): domain Eukaryota; kingdom Metazoa; phylum Chordata; class Mammalia; order Primates; family Hominidae; genus Homo; species Homo sapiens. Next base: position 39,019,954 of record NC_000019.10, on the reverse strand, counting down.
ATGGTGAAATCCCATCTCTACTAAAAATACAAAAAATTAGCTGGGTATGGTGGCGGGTACCTATAATCCCAGCTACTCAGGAGACTGAGGCAGTAGAATCGCTTGAACCCAGGAGGCGGAGGTTGCAGTGAGCTGAGATGGAGCCACTGCACTCCAGCCTGGGCAACAGAGCAAGGCTCTGTCTCAAAAACAAACAAACAAACAAAACAAACAAACAAAAAACCCTCTTTAGGCAGATAACTTTTCTCCTCAATGATTTTCTCATTGGCACCTGGGAACCCATCTGCTGCCTTTTGGTTGGTAGAAGCCACCTCTCCTGTTACCTTGATATTTTTTTCAGCCAAACTCTTTAAAATTATCAAACCATCCTTTGCTGGCATTAAACTCTCCAGATTTATGTCCCTCACCTTCCTTTAGCTTTAAGTTGTCATATAATGGCTACACTTTTCTAGAATTATATTAGAGTCTATAGGTATGTCTTTCTTTTTTTTTTTTTTTTTTTTTTTTTTTTTTTTTTTTTTTTTTTTTTTGAGACAGAGTCTCACTCTGTTGCCCAGGCTGGAGTGCAATGGCACGATCTCGGCTCACCACAAGCTCCGCCTCCTGGGTTCACGCCATTCTCTTGCCTCAGCCTCCCGAGTAGCTGGGACTACAGGTGCCCGCCACCATGCCCAGCTAAGTTTTTTTGTATTTTTAGTAGAGACGGGGTTTCACCATGTTAGCCAGGATGGTCTCGATCTCCTGATCTCGTGACCGCCCACCTTGGCCTCCCAAAGTGCTGGGATTACAGGCGTGAGCTACCGTGCTCGGCAAGTATGCCTTTCTTATAGCAATTCTGCACCCACAGAAAAACTGCATTTTCTTTCTTTCTTTTTTTTTTTTTTTTGTGATAGAGTCTTGCTCTGTCACCCAGGCTAGAGTGCAGTGGCATGATCTGGGCTCACTGCAACCTCTGCCTCCCGGGTTCAAGTGATTCTTGTGTCTCAACCTCCCAAGTAGCTGGGATTACAGGCACCCACCACCATGCCCAGTTCATTTTTGTATTTTTGGTAGAGACAGGGTTTCGCCACGTTGGCCAGGCTGGTCTCGAACTCCTGGCCTCAAGTGATCCACCCACCTCAGCCTCCCAAAGTGCTGGGATTCCAGGCGTGAGCCATCACACCTGGCTTTGCATTTTCAGTATGAGATAAAAAGGTATTTCACAAAAAGTGCAAGGATTTCCTGCTTGCCGGCATAACTGTGACCACTTCGGGAATTTCATTTTCTTTTTTTTACAATGCTCCTCAATGCTGAATTCATCTTGAAATGTCAGGCAACTGCAGCTGCAGACCTCAATCTATGGTACATATCAAGCAAATCAACTCTCTCGTAATGTCATGACTTGTCTACTTCTTGGGAGCACTGTCAGTTTCATCAGTGGCACTTTGCATGGGTCCCGTGGTGTTATTCAGGGTTTACGATATTGCACTCAACAGGATGAAAAATGAACGAGAACCGGAAGATATCACTGTTTACTGCGCTATGCAATTTACTGGAGAAACGAACTCCTGGAGATGATTAGCATCACATGGTGTTTAAGCTGATACAACACTTCAGCTCACTGCAATAACAACAGGAGGTGGCTATGAAATTATTACAGTAGTACAGTATTACTTCAGTTAATTTCGTGCAATTATGATTTCACACTGCCTCTTTGTATTGATTTACATTTGTCTCAACTGCAAATGGTACCATGCAAAGTCTGTGTTTATGTGTGTAAGTTTTGGCCAACATGGTGAAACCCCATCTCTACTAAAAATACAAAAAATTAGCTGGGCATGGTGGCGGGCACCTGTAAGCCCAGTTACTTGGGAGGCTGAGGCAGGAGGATTGCTTGAACCCGGGAGGTGGAGGTTGCAGCGAGCGAGATCGCACCATCGCACTCCAGCCTGAGCATCAAGAGTGAAACTCCATCACGAAAAAATAATAATTAATAAAGTATATGGGAGGATGTGTGGAGGTTATATGCAAATATCACTGCATTTTATATAAGGACTTGAGTATCTGTGGATTTTGGGATCCATGGGAGTTTCTGGAACCAATCCCATGGATACCAAAGGCTGACTGTAGATTCTACCCATTTCTTCAGCCCACAGGTTGCAGCAACCCTGCCTTCTATTCCAACTATTAAGTGTTGAATTTATTGATAGACATTTGAGTAGGTTTGCAATGAGAAAAAAAAAGGGAGAAATTTGAAAAGCTCCTTTGTATTTTGTGACTGTTTCATCTAGATGTATGATTTTTTTTTTTTTTGAGACAGTCTCGCTGTTGCCCAGGCTGGAGTGCAGTAACCTCCACCTCCCAGGTTCAAGTGATTCTCAGCCTCCCAAGTAAGTGGCATTACAGGCACGTGCCACCATGCCCAGCTAATTTTTTGTATTTTTAGTTGAGACAGGGTTTCACTATGTTGGCTGTGCTGGTCTCAAACTCCTGACCTCAGGTGATCCACCCTCCTCGGCCTCCCAAAGTGCTGGGATTACAGGCGTGAGCTACTACACCTGGCCTAAACGTATGATTTTTTAAAATCAATGTAAAATGTTTATGCTTGCACTATACACTATGAGGATCATCTGGATTAGGGAAAGCTGCAAAAATCATTGTGTGTGTATAAAACAAATCCCTTGCTTTTTGCCAACAATGGGAGGATTGGAATTTAAATTCTCTGAGTATTGGAAACAGAACAAGTACAGTGTCTGTAAACGATGATTTCTGCCATGATTTTGGCTTACTGGAGCCTTTGGAGAAAGGAAGAAGCAGTAAAAAGAGCGACGCAATCTCTGGATGGAAATAAACTTTTGGAGTTTCACTTTAAAGCAAAAAAATTATTTGTTGAGGCAGGATCTCACACTCTCACCCAGGCTGGAGTGCAGTGGCGCGATCATGGCTCACTGCAGCCTCGACCTCCTGGGCTCAAATGATCCTCCTGCTTCAGCCTCCTGAGTAGCTAGGACTACAGGCACATGCCACCACACCCAGCTACTTTTAGAGTTTTAAAAAACACTTTCTAGTTTGCTAATAAGCCCTTGTTAAAATCAAATGCTGGACCCTTAAAGGCAGCTGATGAGGCAGCCTGGTGTGCATATTTTTTTGTATGTCTGAAAAAGTTTCGTTTATTTAATATGCTTTTTTTTTTGAGACGTTCTCACTCTGTTGCCCAGGCTAGAGTACAACAGTGCAATCTCATCTCACTGCATCCTTGACCTCCTAGACTCAAGCAATCCTCCCACCTCAGCTTCTTGAGTAGCTGGAATTACAGGTGCGTGTGCCACCACACCCAGCTAATTTTTGTTTTTTTGGCTTTTGGGTTTTTTTTTTTTTTTTTTCAAATTAGAGACAAGGTCTCACTATGTTGCCCAGGCTGGTCTCGAACTCCTGAGTTCAAGTTATCTTCCCACTTCAGCCTCCCAAAGTGCTAGGATTACAGGCGTGAGCCACCGCGCCCAGCCTAGACTTTATTTTTAGAGCAGTTTTAGGTTCACAGCAAAATTGAGCAGAAAGTACAGAGTTCTCCTATATCCCGTTTCCCCCAGCCCCTCACGCACACACACACACACACCCTTCCCGCTATCAACATCCCCCACCAGAGTGGTACATGTTATAATCAATGAACCTATGTTGACACATCCTTATCACCCAAACTCCATAGTTTGTATTAGGGTCACACTTGGTGTCGTGCATTCTCTGGATTTGGACAAATGTGTAACGACATGTATCTACCATTGCGGTATCACACAGACTAGTTTCACTGCCCTAAAAGTCCTCTGTGCTCTACCAGTTCACTCCTCCCTCCCTCAACCCCAGAGGACCACTGGTCTTTTTGTTTGTTTCGTTTTGTATTTGTTTTGAGATGGAGTCTCACTCTGTCACCCAGGCTAGAGTGCAGTGGCATGATCTTGGCTCACTGCAACCTCCGCCTCCCGGGTTCGAGAGATGCTCCCACCTCAGCCTCCCGAGTAGCTGGGATTACAGGTGACTGCTACCACGTCTGGCTAATTTTTTTGTATTTTTAGTTGAGACGGGGTTTTACCATGTAGCCAGGCTGGTCTTGAACTCCTCACCTCAAACGATCTACCCGCCTGAGCCTCCCAAAGTGCTGGGATTATAGGCGTGAGCCACCTCGCCTGGCCGACCACTGATTTTATATTGACTCCATAGTTTTGCCTTTTCCAGAATGTCATATTGATGGAATCATGCAGTATGTATCCTTACCTAATTGGTCTCTTACTTAGTGATATGTAGTTAAGGTTCCTCCAGGTCTTTTCATGGCTTGATAGATCACTTTTAGAGACAGGGTCTCACTCTGTTGCCGAGGCTGAAGTGCAGTAGCATGATCAGACCATGGCTCACTGCAGCCTAAAACTCCTGGGCTCAAGCGAGCCTCCTGCCTCAGCCTCCCAAGTAGCCGGGACTACAGGCGCATGCCACCACACCTGGCTAATACTTTTTTTTTTAAGATGAGGTCTTGCTTTGTTGCCCAGGTTGGTCTCAAACACTTGGGCTCAAGCAATCCGCCCGCCTTGGCCTCCCAAAGTGCTGGGATTACAGGCATGAGCCACCACACTCAGCCTTTTTTTTTTTTTTTTTTTTTTTTTTTTTTGAGACAGAGTCTTGCTCTGTCACCCAGGCTGGAGTGTAGTGGTGTGATCATGGCTCACTGCAACCTCTGCCTCCCAGGCTCAAGCCATCCTCCTGCCTCAGCTTCCCAAGTAGCTGAGACCACAAGGGCACACCACCACATTCAACTAATGTTTTTTTATTTTTTTGTAGAGAGGGGGTTTTGCCACGTTGCCCAGGCTGGTCTCAAACTCCTGGACTCAAGCAATCCACCCACTTTGGCCTCCCAATGTGCTGGGATTACAGGTGTGAGCCACTGCCCCCAACCTTTTTTTTTTTTTTTTGAGACAGAGTCTTGCTCTGTTGCCCAAGCTGGAGTGCAATAGCGTGATCTCGGCTCACTGCAAACTCCATCTTCCAGGTTCAAGTGATTCTCTTGCCTCAGCCTCCCAAGTAGTTGGGATTACAGGCACACACCACCCTTATTGATGAGTTTTAAGAGTTCTTTGTACATTTTGAATAATAGTCCTTTATCAGATATGTCTTCTGCAAATCCCTTCTCCCGGTCTGTGGTTGTCTTCTCTTTTTCTTGAAGGTATGCATTTTTGTTTGTTTGTTTGTTTGTTTTTTTGTTTTTAGACAGGGTCTTACTCTGTTACCCAAGCTGGAGTACAATGATGCAGTCATGGCTCACTGCAGCCTCGACCTCCTGGGCTCAAGCGATCCTCCCACCTCGGCCTCCCAAGTAACTGGGACTACAGGTGCCCACCTCCACGCCCAGTTAATTTTAATTTTTTTTTCTTTTTTTTTGTAGAGACACAGTTTCACTATGTTGCCTGGGCTGGTCTTGAACTCCTGTGCTCAAGCAATCCTCTCGCCTCAGCCTCCCACAGTGCTGGGATTACAGGCACAAGCCACTGCATCCAGCCCGTGCGTGTTTTTGAGTGCACCAATTCCAGCTCTAAGATTGACGAGGTAAAAAGGCTTAGGAAAGCCTTGTTTGTCACTTGCACTTGAAACAGAACCTTCTAGCCTGCAGCATCTTGGCTTTGCTGCTGCCAAAGAACAGCCACTGACTTGTGGCTTCCTGAATTCACAGATCCTACTGGCCTGGACCTGACTGTAAGCCAAAACCTGATACTGCTGTCTGCTCTGTGCTGTTTCAGTCTCAGCATGTGCTGTGCTAAATTAAAAACGGGCGCACACTCCAGGAACAGCACTTCGACTATGAGACCATTGCAGACTTAGGGCACCCTCCGTGGGACCTAAACTGAAAACATCATGGATGCTGACTGGACCATCTGGATCACATAAAAATGCCCACAGGAAAGGGCTTCTTTTTGTTTTTTGAGACGGAGTCTCACTGTCTCCCCCAGGCTGGAGTGCAGTGGCGTGATCTCAGCTCACTGCAAGCTCTGCCTCCCAGGTTCACGCCATTCTCCTGCCTCAGCCTCCCGAGTAGCTGGGACTACAGGCGCCCACCACCACACCCGGCTAATTTTTTGTATTTTTAGTAGAGACGGGGTTTCACCGTATTAGCCAGGATGGTCTCGATCTCCTGACCTCGTGATCCGCCTGCCTTGGCCTCCCAAAGTGCTGGGATTACAGATGTGAGCCACCACGCCAGGCCAAGGAAAGGGCTTCTTCTTTGAGGAAACCATCTACAATCAACTGGCTTCTTGGCTCTATATTTCTTTCTTTTTATTTTCTTTTATTTTTTTTAATTTTTTTTTAGACGGAGTCTCCTTCTGTCACCCATGCTGGAGTGCAGTGGTGTGATCTCAGCTCACTGCAACCTCCACCTCCTGGGTTCAAGCAATTCTCCTGCCTCAGCCTCCCAAGTAGCTGGGATTACAGGCATACGCCACCATGCCTGGCTAATTTTTGTATTTTTAGTAGAGACGGGGCTTCACCATGTTGGCCAGGCTGGTTTCGAACTCCTGACCTCAGGTGATCCTCCCGCCTCAGCCTCCCAAAGTGCTGGGATTGCAGGCATGAGCCACCGCGCCTGGCCATCGAATGTATTTCTAACCTGTGATTCCTGCCAAAAGCTGTAAGTTCAAGGAGGGCACCTCTCAGGGACTGTGACCCCTCTGGCTGCTTCTGACAGGTTGGACACTTGGGAGACGCCTCATTTCTGTTGCCTTGTGCTCAACTTTCTGGATTAGTTGTAGGTTGCAACTGTGGCCTGTAGCCTGACTCTACTTCCCCACTTCTCTCCTGCTACAACACACACCTTAGGAAGGCAGTTTGATTACTGATGCAGCGGTCCCCAGAAAGGGATTGAGCTTTTGCAGGAAGTTCATTGGATGATGATCGGGAAAGAGGTTATAGAAAAACATTTTGAAAATTTAGGATTTCTGTTGTTTGTTTGTTCGTTTGTTTGTTTGTTTGTTTGTTTTGAGACAGGGTCTCACTCTGTTGCCCAGGCTGGAGTGCAGTAGCGCCATCTTGACTCACTGCAACCTCTACCTCCCAGGTTCAAGCAATTGTCCTGCCTCAGCCTCCCAAGTACCTAGGACTACAGGCCCGCGCCTCCACGTCTGGCTAATTTTTGTATTTTTTTAGTAGAGTCGGGGTTTCACTCTGTTGGCCAGGCTGGTCTCAAACTCCCAACCTCAGGTGATCCGGCCTCCTCGGCCTCCCAAAGTGCTAGCATTACAGGCATGAGCAATCGTGCCCCGCTTCTTTTCTTGATATATAAGCTGGTAACAAACAAAAAAAAAGAAGAAAATTTAGAATTTCATCCTGACCAATTCCTGGATGTGATGTGTGTTTCTAGTCAACTTGTATAAAAATGTTTCTTCTGTGAAATGCTTCCATCCCTTTTGTATCCAACCCTTCTGGATGAAACATTTAGATGAGAATTTGAAAATGACGCTGGGCGTGGTGGCTCACGCCTGTAATCCCAACACTTTGGGAGGCCGAGGTGGGTGGATCTCCTGAGGTCGGGAGTTTGAGACCAGCCTGGTCAACATGGAGAAACCCCATCTCTATTAAAAATACAAAATGGGTCGGGCGTGGTTGCCCATGCCTGTAATCGCAGCTACTCGGAAGGCTGAGGCAGGAGAATTGCTTGAACCCGGGAGGCTGAGGTTGCGGTAAGCAAAGATCACGCCATTGCACTCCAGCCTGGGCAACAAGAGCGAAACTGTCTCAAAAAAAAAAAAAAAGGTTAATAAATTCAGGACATTTTTGGGATACAAATCAATATTGAAAATCAGGGCTCGGCCGGGCGTGGTGGCTCACGCCTGTAATCCCAGTACTTTGGGAGGCCGAGACGGGCGGATCACGAGGTCAGGAGATCGAGACCATCCTGGCTAACATGGTGAAACCACGTCTCTACCAAAAAAAAAATACAAAAAATTAGCTGGTCATGGTGGCGGGCACCTGTAGTCCCAGCTACTCGGGAGGCTGAGGCAGGAGAATGGCGTGAACCCGGGAGGTGGAGCTTGCAGAGAGCCGAGATTGCGTCACTGTACTCCAGCCTGGGATGACAGAAAGAGACTCCGTCTAAAAAAAAAAAAAAAAAAAGAAAAGAAAATCAGGGCTCAGCATAGTGGCTTATGCCTATAATTCTCAACACTTTGGGAGGCGAGGTGGGAGGATTGCTTGAGGCCAAGAGTTCAAGACCAGCCGGGGCAACAAAGGGAGACCCCCCCTCCCCCGCCGCCATCTCTGCGAAAAATAAGAAAAGAAAATTAGTTGTATTTCAATACACTAGCAATGCCAATCTGAAAATGAAATTAAGAAAACAATTCTACTTTTACACTGAAAGCTACAATATTGCTGAAAGAAATTAAATAAGAGCTAAATAAATAGATACCCCATGTTCATCAACTGGAAGACTTTATATTTTTAAGATGACAATACTCCCTAAATTGATCTACAGATTCAGTTGCAATGCCTATCAAAAAAAAATTGTTTTGAGAGAGAGAGTTTCGCTCTGTTGCCCAGGGTGGAGTCCAGCGGCACAGTCTCAGCTCACTGCAACCTCCGCCTCCCAGGTTCAAGCAATTCTCATGCCTCCACCTTCCAGGTAGCTGGGATTACAGGCGGGTGACACCACGCCCGGCTAATGTTTTGTATTTTTAGTAGAGACGGGGTTTCACCATGTTGCCCAGGGTGGTCTCAAACTCCTGACCTCGGGTGGTCCGCCCTCCTCAGCCTCCCAAAGTGCTGGGATTACTGGCGTGAGCCACTGCACCCGGCCACTTGTCAAAATTTTAAGAGCCATTTTTTTTGCAGAAATGGACAAGCTGATCTCAAAATTCACATGGAATTGCAAGAGGTTCCAAATAGCCAAAACAATCTTGAAAAAGAACAAAGTTGGAGGATTCACGCTTTCCAGTTTCAAAACTTACTACAAAGCTACAGTAATCAGAACAGTGTGGTCCTGGCATAAGTAATGTTGGACAAGTGAGCCCCAAAGTGAGACTTAGCCCATGAGGTTCTTGGCTTTGCCCAGGAAAGAATTCAAGGCCAAGCCAATGGTAGAAGAAAACAGCTTTATTGAAGGGGCAGTGTTATAGCTCCAGCCCTGTTACAACTCTGATTACTCCTGCACAGCAGGGCTCTGGCAGAGACTAGCAGCTCAGGGCAGTTTTGCAGTCATTTATATCTACTTTAAACACATGCAGATTAAGGGGTGATTTGTGCAAAAATTTCTAGGGAATGGGTAATAACTTTTGGGTCATCGAGTCAATGCCATGGAAGAGACGGGGGATAACCCCCTGGTGTTGCGATGGCAACGGTAAACTGACATGGCAACTGATGAGCGTGTCTTACGGAAAGCTCATTCCACCCCAGCCCTGTTTCAGCTAGTCCTCAATTTGGTCCAGTGTCCGAGCCCTGCCTCTGGAGTCAAGTCCCACCTCCTACCTCATAAGGAGAGACATAAATCAATGGAATAGAATCGAGAGTCCAGAAATAAACTCATACCTCGATGATCAATTGATTTTCAACAACGGTGCCAAGACCATTCAGTGGGGGAAAGAATCATATTTTCAACAAATGGTGCCAGATAACGACATCCAAAGGAGTGCAACTGGGCCCCTATCTCACACCATCTACAGAAATTAAGTCAAAGTGCCTCAAACACTAAGAGCTAAGACTATAACATTCTTAGAAGAATACAGGGATATCTCTTTATGATCTTGATTTGGTAATTGATTTTTAGATAACACTAAAAGCACAAGCAACAATAGGAAAAAAAAAAGTAAATTTAACCTCATCAAAATTTAAAATTTTTAGGCTGGGTGCAGTGGCTCACACCTCTAATCCCAGCACTTTGGGAGGCTGAGGCAGAAGGATCACTTGAGTCCAGGAGTTCGAGACAAGTCTGGCCAACATGGTGAAACCCCACCTCTACTAAAAATATAAAAATTAGCCAGGAGTGGTGGTAGCTGCCTATAATCCCAGCTACTCGGGAGGCTGAGGCCTGAGAATCACTTGAACCCAGGGGACGCAGGTTGCAATGAGCTGAGATCACGCCACTGCACTCCAGCCTGAGGGACAGAGTGAGACTCTGTCTCAAAAACAAACAAACAACAACAACAAAAAAAAAAACCCCACAACTTTTGTGCATCAGAGGACACAACCAAATAATGAAAAGACAACCCACAGACTGGGAGAGAATGTTTTGCAAATTATATATCTGATAAGGGTCTAGTATCCAAAATATATAAAGAATTCTTACAACTCAACAATAAAAGATAAGCAACTCAGTTTTCAAATGGGCAAAGGACTTGAATAGGTATTTTTCCAAAGAAGATATACCAGTGTTCGGTAAGTACATGAAAAGACGTTCAACAGCATTAATCCTTAGGGAGATGCAGATCAAAGCCACAGTAAAATACCACTTCCTACCCAGTAGGATGAATATGAGCAAAAAGAAAAAAAGAAGAAAACAGCAAGTGTTGGTGATGATATGGAGATTATCCTCACACATTGCTGATGGGAATGTAAAATGGTGCAGCTGCTTTAGAAAGCCGTTTGTCATTTCTTCAAAAAGCTAAACGTAGAATTCTACTGCATGACATAGCAATTCCACTCCTACATATATACCCAAGAGGATTTAAAACAAGTGCTCAAATAAAATCTTATACACAAATGTTCATAACTACATTATTCATAAGAGACAAAGAGTGGAAACAAGCAAATGTCCTTCAACTGATGAATGGATAAACCAAAAGTGGTCCATCCATACAATGGGAAATTATTCCATCATAAAAAGGAATAGGCTGGGCATGGAGGCTCACGCCTGTAATCCCAACATTTTAGGAGGCCAAGGCGGGCAGATCACTTGATGTCAGGAGTTCGAGACCAGCCTGGCTAATATGGTGAAACCCCGTCTCTACTAAAAATACAAAAAATTAGCTGGGCATGGTGGCGGGTGCCTGTAATCCCAGCTACTCAGGAGGCTGAGGCAGGAGAATTGCTTGAACTTGGGAGGCAGAGGTTGTGGTGAGCCAGGATTACCCCACTGCACTCCAGCCTGGGCGATGGAGCGAGACTCTGTCTCAAAACAAACGTACAAAAAAGGAATGAAATACTGATATATGCTGCAATATGGATGAACCTTGAAAACATGCTAAATGAAAGAAGGCCACATATTTTATGAATCCATTTATATGAATTGCCCAGAATCGGAAAATCTGTGGAGACAGGAAATAGATTAGCGGTTGCCAGGGAGGAGGAGGGAGGATGGAGAGTGACTGCTCACAGGTACACGGATTGTTTGGGGTGATTTGGGAACTAGATGGTGGTGATGGTTGTACAACATTGTGAATGTACCGAAAACCACTGAATTATATACATTTTTAAATGGCTAAAATAGTGATTTATATATTGTATGAATTTTACCTCCGTAAAAATGGAAAAAAATCTAAAGTTATAATGACCGAATGAGACATACTGATTTTGTAACAAAAAGGCAAAAACAGAGCCGGTTACATTAGCACATGCTTGTAATCCCAGCTACTCAAAAGGCTGAGGCAGAAGGATCGCTTGAGCCCAGGAGTTCAAGTCCAGCCTGGGCAACATAGTGAGACCCCATTTATATTTAAATAAATAAAACCTTCTTTTTTTTTTTTTTTGAGACAGAGTCTCACTCTGTTGCCCAGGCTGGAGTGCAGTGGCACCATCTCCGCTCACTGCAACCTCTGGTTCCCAGGTTCAAGTGAGTATTGTGCCTCAGCCTCCCAAGTAAGTGGGACTATAGGCGTGCACCACCATGCCTGGCTAATTTTTCATATTTTTAGTAGAGATGGGGGTTTCACCATGTTGGCCAGGCTGGTCTCGAGCTCCTAAGCTCAGGCAACCGCTCACCTAAGCCTCCCAAATTGCTAGGATCACAGATGTGAGCCACCATGCCTAGCCAATAAAACATTTTTAAATAGCCAAAACACAGGCAGAGTGCGGTGGCTCACACCTATAATCCCAGCACTTTGGGAGGCCGAGGCAGGCAGATTTCTTGAGCCCAGGAGTTCGAGCCCAGCCTGGGCAACCTGGGCAACATAGGGAAACTCCATCTCTACAAAAAATGCAAAAATTAGCCAGGCGTGGTGGCATGTGCCCGTAGTCCCAACTACTTGGGAGGCTGAGGTGGGAGGATCGCTTGAGCCTGGGAGGCGGAGGTTGCAGTGAGCTGAGATCGCGCCATTGCACTCCAGCCTGGGTGACAGAGAGAGACCTTGTCTCTAAAAATTAACTAGTTAATTAATTAATGTTTGAAAAAAAGCCCAAACACAAACTTGGCATCTGGGGAGATGCAGAGTTGGGGGTGGGCAGTAATGACCTCTGCCTTTCAGAACTACTCCCGAGAACTTTCCCCTCCTCCCAAAGAAAAATAAGAAGAAACACCCGGTCTTGCCTTTCCAAGCTGCTGGACTGATTTGAATTCAAATTGACTGTGACCCTCCATTTGATCCCTATACTTCCACCTGCTCACCTGCCACCTGGGGTGGCCCAGCTCCTGGATATTCCACCAGAACGCCCAGCTGGGGTTGCTGTCCACACTCCTCAGGCAGAGACACTGTTGTCATGGACATGCAAAACCCATCTGGAATTGACTGCCTTGGGCATTCCCTCTGACAGCAAGGACTGAGCAGATCCGTTTGGACTGGTCTGGCAACTTTAGGGCTGGAGGCCCAGGCTGGAACACCACACTGGGGCCCCTGAACCTCTTATGAATGCACCTCCTGCCTGGGGTTCCCTAAAAACTGTAAACTCTCTGTCTCCAGGGGGCACCACGTGTGCCCTCTGGGATTGTACTTTTCTGTATTTTTTTTTTTTTTTTTTTTTGGAGACACCCAGGCTAGAGTCCAGTGGTATGATCTCAGCTCACTGCAGCTTCGAATTCCTGGCCTCAAGTGATCCTCCCACCTCAGCCTCCCAAGGAGCTGTGACTATAGGCGCACACCACCATGCCTTTTTTGCATCTTTTGTAGAGATGGGGTTTCTCTATGTTGCCCAGGCTGGTCTTGAACTCCTGGGCTCAAGTGATCTTCCCGCCTTACCCTCCCAAAGTACTGGGATTATAGGCATGAGCCACAGCACCTGGCCTGGGATTATATTTCGTGTGTGTGTTGTCCCCTGATTATTAGGACACTGTCTCAGCCCTGAACACTGTTCAGATCAGCTTCAACTTACTGGTCAGCTGTACTTGCTGTGCCTGAGTCAATGTCTTGAACCACATAAAACAATTCATACAGAAACAAGGAGGAAGCCACTTGGCTTTCGAAGATAGATCTCTGTGGTTAGCGGGATGTGCTTTTTTTTCTTTTTTCTTTTTCTTTTTTTGAGAAGGAGTTTCGCTCTTGTTGCCCAGGCTGGTGTTCAGTGGCGTGATCTAGGCTCACCGCAACCTCTGCTTCCCGGGTTCAAGCGACTCTCCTACCTCAGCCTCTCGAATAGCTGGGATTACAGGCATGCACCACCACGCCAGGCTAATTTTTTGTATTTTTAGTAGAGACGGGGTTTCTCCATGTTGGTTGGGCTGGTCTCGAACTCCCAACCTCAGGTGATCCACCTACCTTGGCCTCCCAAAGTGCTGGGATTACAGGAGTAGGCCACCTTGCCTGGCCAATTTTTGTATTTTCAGTAAAGACGGGTTTTTCACCATGTTTGCCAGGCTGGTCTTGAACTCCTGACCTCAAGTGATCCGCCCACCTCGGCAGCCTCAAGTGCTAAGATTACAGGCATGAACCACCACTCCTGGCCAGGCCAGTTTTACTTTGCACAGTGTCTCTCCATTTGCTTTTGTCTGATGTTTCTTTATAATTAGATTCAGATTATAACATCTTTGGCAAGAATATCACCAAAGAGACTTTTCTGTGTGTCCCCACTGCATTTTTCATGTGCTGCACAATTTCAATTTGTCCCAGTATTGATGACATTTCACCTTGATCACTTGATTTAAAGTGGTGTCAGCCAACCTTCACTGTCAAGTTACTTTCCTCTTTGTAATTAGTGTTTCATAAGTTCTTTAAAACACTGTAAATATCCCATTCTTCATCAACCTTTGGATTCATTCATTTATCTACATATATCAGTATTGACTTGTGGTTTCCTATTTTATTCAGTGGGCTACAATGTTACTCTCTGTATCCATTGGCTTGGGCTCCCGTAACAAAATTCACAGACTTGGGGGCTTCAACAACAGAAATTTACTTCTCACAGTTCTAGAAGCTGGAAGTCCAAGATCAAGGTGTTGGCATAGCCGGGCGTGGTGGCTCATGCCTGTAATCCCAACACTTTGAGAGGCGGAGGTGGGCGATCACTTGAGGTCAGGAGTTTGAGACTAGCCTGGCCAACATGGTGAAACCCCGACTCTACTAAAAATACAAAAAAATGAGATGGGCATGGTGGCTCATGCTGTAATCCCAGCTACTTGGGAGGCTGAGGCATGGGAATCACTTGAACCTGGAAGGCAGAAGTTGCAGTGAGCCAAGATCACGCCACTGTATTCCAGCCTCAGCCTGGAGGACACGAGACTCTGTCAAAAAAAAAAAAAAAAAAAGGTGTTGGCAGGTTGATGTCTTTTTTGGTTTTTGTTTCTTTTGAGTGTCATGCTCTATCACCCACGCTGGAGTGCACTGGTGCGACAATAGCTCACTGCGGCCTCAACCTCCCGGGCTCCCTGGGCTCAAGCCATCCTCCTGCCTCAGCCTCCCAGAGTAGCCGGGACTACAAGGCGTGCACCACCACGCCCGGCTAATTTTTAAAATTTTTTTGTAGAGATGGGATCTCTCTTTGTTGCCCGGGCTGGTCTAGAATTCCTGGGTTCAAGTGATCCTGCTACGTCAGCCATGAGCCACGGTGCCCAGCCTGGCAGGCTTGGTTTCTCTTAATGCCTCTCCTTGGCTTGCAGATGGCCACCTTCTGGCTGTGTCCTCTCTCTCATGGCCTTTCCTTTGTGGGCACACATCCTTGTTCTCTCCTTCTTCTTATAAAGACATAGCATAATTGGCCGGGTGCTGTGGCTCACGCCTGTAATCCCAGCATTTTGGGAGGCCAGGGTGGGCAGATCACCTGAGGTCAGGAGTTCAAGACCATCCTGGCCAACGTGGCAAAACCCTGTCTCTACTTAAAAAAACAAAAATTATCCAGGCATGGTGGCGCATGCCGGTAGCCCCAGCTACTCAGGGAGTGAGGTGGGAGGATCGTTTGAGCCCAAGAGGCGGAGGTTGCGGTGAGCCAAGATCAAACCACTGCACTCCAGCCTGGGTGATGGAGCTAGATTCCATCTCAGAAAAAAAAAAAAAAAAAACCCAAAGCATAATGGGGTAGGGCTCCACCCTCATGACCTCATGTGATCTTAATTACCTCTCTAAAGACGCTGTCTCTAAATACAGTCACTCTAGAGATTAGGATTCAACATATGAATCTGGGGACAGAGACACAATTCCGTTCATCACACTCTTCTTATTCATTTTGGTTCTAAAATTAGCCGGGAGTGGTGGCTCATGCGTCTAATCCCAGCAGTTTGGGAGGCCGAGGAGGGCAGATCACCTGAGGTCAGGAGTTCTAGACCAGCCTGGCAAAGATGGTGAAACCCTGTCTCTACAAAAATACAAAAATTAGCTGGGCATGATGGCGGATGCCTGTAATCCCAGCCACTCGGGAGGCTGAGGTGGGAGAATTGCTTGAACCCAGGAGGCGGAGGTTGCAGTGAGCCAAGATCGCGCTATTGTGCTCCAGCCTGGGTGACAGAGGGAGACTCCATCTCAAAAAAAAAAATAAATAAATAAATAAAATTGCCCCAGATTTGGCCATTGAGAGATCCTTCAGGCTGATTCCTATGTCATTTTAATATGCCCTCATCATTCCTCAAGCACTTCCTTACTTTTCCGGCACAACGATATGTGCCAAGTTCCTGTCATACTTCCATAGTGGAGGGATGTAGAACACACCAAGCACACCATATCTGGGTGCTTGGTGTATTCATTACTACTGGGGTGTCACCACTCCCAGGACCTCTCAGTGGACAGAACTAGGGAGTGTGTGTGTGTATAATGTTGATAGATGAATACATGGATAGATGGAGATAAACACACATTCTATCTATATTTATTTTTATTTTTTCTTTTTAATTTTTCTTTCAACAGTCCTACTGCAGAAGATATTTATTTATCTAATCCTTTACATATATATATATGTTACAGACATGCGCCACCACGCCCGGCTAATTTTTTGTATTTTTAGTAGAGATGGGATTTCAGCGTGTCAGTCAGGCTGGCCTCGAACCCCTGACCTCAGGTGATCCGCCCACCTCGGTCTCCCAAAGTGCTGGGATTAAAGGCTTGAGCCACAGCACCCGGTCAATACTTTTCATTTCACAAGTGTAACTCCTTGAAAATGCTTTTGCACTTTTTTTTTTTTTTGGAAGTGAGGTCTTGCTCTGTTGCCCAGGCCCAGGAGTGCAGTGGCACAATCATAGCTTGCTGCAGCCTCAACCCCCCGGGCTCAAGTGATCCTCCTGCCTCAGCCTCCTGAGTAAGTAGGACTACATGTGCACCACTATGCCCAGGTAATTTTTTATTTTTTGTAGAGACAGGGTCTCACTATGTTGCCCAGGCTGGTCTCAAACTCCTAGCCTCAAGTGATCCTCCCAAAGTGCTGGGATTATAAGTGTGAGGCAGCGTCTCTGGCCTGCACTTCAAAATCCATCTCAGGATTGCTTCCTAGTGAAGCAGAACCGCATAGCTTCTACCAGGAGTGGTCTGAGAAAGCAGATGGTAACATGAGGCTTGGGAACCAAATCTCTCGGTGCCTGGCTGACAATGAGGACACCATCCCAGGGGGTAGGGGAAGCACAGTCCCTGGCACAGGTGACAGTCCAGTTGTTGAAACTGTCACCCATGGAGGCTTGGGAGAATGTGCTGGTGGAGGAGATGCATGGGCAAATGAGTTGATTCAGCCTTTTGAGATGTACGGCAGGAAAACTAAATACAAGGAAAATGGAACTGGATGATTATTACCACGTTGCCTGGACATCGTCAGGCATCAGATGAAAGACTGGGGGTGAGGCTGGGCACGGTAGCTTACGCCTGTAATCCTAACACTTTGGGAGGCTGAGGCGGGTGGATCACTTGAGGCCAGGAGTTCGAGACCAGTCTGGCCAACATGGTTAAACCCCATCTCTACTAAAAATACAAAAATTGGCCAGGCACAGTGGCTCACGCCTGTAATCCCAGCACTTTGGGAGCCTGAGGCAGGGGGATCACCTGAGGTCAGGAGTTCGAATCCAGCCTGGCCAACATGGAGAAACCCTGTCTCTACTAAATATACAAAAAT
The DNA here is from genome assembly GCF_000001405.40 of Homo sapiens. Lineage (NCBI taxonomy): Eukaryota > Metazoa > Chordata > Mammalia > Primates > Hominidae > Homo > Homo sapiens. The sequence goes on along the minus strand of NC_000019.10, from coordinate 39,002,563 downwards.
TAGCCGGATGTGGTGGCACGCACCTGTAATCCCAGCTACTCAGGAGGCTGATACAAAAGAATCGCTTGAACCCGGGAGGCGGATGTTGTAGTGAGCTGAGATCGCACCACTGCACTCCTGCCTGGGTGACAGAGCAAGATTCCTTCTCAAAAAAAAAAAAATTAATGGTTGAATGAGTTATCATGGGAGTGGGTGAGTTATCGCCACAGTGGGTTTGGTATAAAAAGCCAGTTTGGACTTCAGTGCACCCCTCTTGGCCATGATGCCTTTTGCCATATTATGACACAGTACAAGACCCTCACCAGAGGCTGACCAGAAAAAAAACCCTCAAACTTGGACTCCCCAGCCTCCAGAACTGTAAGAAATAAACCCCTTTTCTTTATAAATTACCCAGTCTCAGGTATTCAGTCACAGCAACATAAAATGGACTAAGACAGTTCTTTAAAGGTAATTTTTCTAATTAAGTTGGATACCTGTTATAGGATTTTGGTAGGTTCCTTTTATCAGATTGAAGACTATTATCATGGCTCACTGTAGCCGCAAACTCCTGGACTCAAGCAATCCTCCTGCCTCAGCCTCCTGATTAACTGGGACTACAGGAGTGTGTGGCTAATTTTTTAATTTTTGTAGAAACAAGGTCTTTCTTTGTTTCCCAGCCTGGTCTCAAACTCCTGGCTTCAAGCGATCCTCCCACCTCGGCCTCGAAAAGGGCTGGGATTACAGGTGTAAGCCACTGTGCATAGCCTAGAGTGTCAAATTCTATCAAATTATTTGTATCTTTTCATCTGTTAATATGATGTATTACATGAATATATTTTCTTTCTAAATTTATTTTTTCTTTTTTGAGATGGAGTCTCTCTCTGTCACCCAGGCTGGAGTCCAGGGGCAAGATCTTGGCTCATTGCAACCTCCGCCTCCTGGGTTCAAGTGATACTCCTGTATCAGCCTCCCAAGTAGCTGGGACTACAGGCGCCCACCACCACACCTGGCTAATTTTTGTATTTTAGTAGAGACGGGGTTTCACCATGTTGGCCAGGCTGGTTTTGAACTCCTGACCTTAAGTGATCCACCTGCCTCAGCTTCCCAAAGTGCTGGGATTACAGACGTGAGCCACTGCACCCGGCCTCTTTCTAAATTTTTGTTGTCAAATACATCGTAGGTACAAAGGCGTGCTGGATGCTGTAATATGCCACCCACACCCCCTCTTTAGGACTGAGGCATTCTTTCTGCCAGCAGCCTGGGGTGTTGGTAGCTGATGGCTTACAGCTGCACCTCTCTCTGGGACTTCAGCTGAAGAAAGCCATCTGGCCCAAGGTTATCCCCAATCCCCAGGGGCAGCCCACATTCTATATCTGGTTCATAAGGAAGTACAAAGGCCTGGCTCCATGCCTCAGCCGGGGATCCCTCGGACAGGCCACCCCAGCTCCGCATTCTCTGCCATCCTGGCTGAGGCTCTGGTGGCAAGCACATCACACTTCCACGTCTCCCTCTGCCCACCTTGCGCTCCTCTCTCCCTTAGAAGTTTCCCCCCACAGAGCACTCCTCCAAAACCATCTGCCTGCAAATCTCCACCTCAGAATCTGTTTCCCAGGAAACCCTACATAAGTAAAAAAGTGTGTGTGCTTGTGTATTTATTTTTAAACAACAATAAAATACTTTTCTGTCCACCAACTAAGTTCTGAAATGGAATATTACCAGTGCTTTAGAAGCCTGCTTTCCTTTCCCTTCCATCATACTCAGAGATCATCAATAATCTGATCTTTTTTTTGAGACAGGGTCTTGCTCTGTCACCCAGGCTGGAGTGCAGTGCTGTGATCTCAGCTCACTGCAGGCTCCGTCTCCTGGGCTCAAGGGATCCTCCCACCTCAGCCTCGCAAGTAGCTGGGACTACAAGTGTGAGCCAGCACACCTGGCTAATTTTTGTTGTTGTTTTTGCTGTTATAGAGACGGGGTCTTACTGTGTTGCCCAGGCTGGTCTCAAACTGCTGGGGTCAAGTGCTCCTCCTGCCTTGGCCTCTCAAAGTGCTGGGATTACAGGCGTGAGCCACCATGCCCAGCCTCTCATTTGTTTTTTAATTTTTATTTATTTATATATATATAATATATAATATATATAAATATATAATATGTATAATATATATTTTAAATATATAATATATATTTTTAAATATATAATATATAATATATATAATAATATATAAAATATATAATTATATATATATATATTTTTTTTTTTTTTTTTTGAGATGGAGTCTCACCCTGTCACCCAGGATGGAGTGCAGTGGTGTAACCTCCACTCAAGGTTGGCCCACGGCAACCTCCACCTCCTGGGTTCAAATGATTCTCCTGCCTCAGCCTCTCGAGTAGCTGAGATTACAGGCATGTGCCACCATGCCCGGCTAATTCTTTGTATTTTTAGTAGAGATGGAGTCTCATCATGTTGGCCAGGCTGGTCTCGAACTCCTGACCTCAAGTGATCTGGCCACCTCGACCTCCCAAAGTGCTGGAATTATAGGCTTGAACCACCACGCCTGGCCTGATTTGTTTTTTTAGAGTGGGAGGCCTCACTCTGTTTTCCAGGCTGGAGTGCAGTGATGCAATCATGGCTCACCGCAGCCTCAAACTCCTGGGCTCAAGCGATCCTCTCACCTCAACATCCCAAGTAGCTGGGACTACAAGTGTGGACCACCATGCCTAACTAACTTTTTATTTTTTGTCTGCAGAAATGGGGTCTCACTATGTTTCCCAGGCTGGTCTCAAACTTCTGGCCTCCCACCTCAGCCTCCCAAGTCACTAAGATTACAGGTGAAAGCCACTATGCTTGGCAATATCCTAATTTTTTGTAATAATCTCTTGCAGGCTTTTTTTTTAGTGTTTGGCCATCTATCGTGTGTGTGAGTGTGTGTGCGTGTGTGTAGTTTTTTTGTTGTTGTTGTTGTTTCTTTTTGAGATGGAATCTCACTCTGTTGCCCAAGCTGGAGTGCAGTGGCGTGATCTTGGCTCACTGTAACCTCTGTCTGCTGGATTTAAGCGATTCTCCTGCCTCAGCCTTCCGAGTAGCTGGAACTACAGGTGTCCGCCACCACGTCCTGCTAATTTTTGTATTTTTAGTAGAGATGGGGTTTCACCACGCCTGGTCTCAAACCCCTGACCTCAAGTGATCCACACACCTTGGCCGCCCCAAGTGCTGGGATGACAGGCATGAGCCACCGTGCCTGGCCTGTGTTTGATATAAATGATATAAATGATACAAATGAAAGCATACCACCTGGATTCTTCTGTGACCTGCATCTTTCATTCAACATTAATATGAGATTCATCCATTTTGATGAAGATAACTACTGTTCATCAATTTTGTCCAATATGGGAGTGGACTACAATCTATGTGTCATTGTGTCCTTAGTGTGCTAGTGCCCCCAGTTTGGGGACTATTTCTCACCCATGTTGCTGTGAACATTATCTACCTTCCTCCAGGGGCCATGGGCAGCAATGTCTGTAGGGCAGAGTTTCTCATTCTTGGTACTGGTGACATTTGGGGCTGGATAATTCTGGCTGGAAGGGCCCACCCTGGGAATTGGAAAATGTCTAGCAGCATTTCTGGCCTCATCTCACTAGATGCCAATAGCACCCCTGCTTCTCAGTTGTGAGAGCCAAAAAATGTGTCCAGATACTGCCAAATATCCCCAGGGGGAAAAATCATTCCCAACTGAAAACCACTGCTTTAGGCAAACCACTTATTTTTTTTGTTTTGTTTTGAGTCGGAGTCTTGCCCTGTCGCCCAGGCTAGAGAGCAGTGGTGCAATCTCGGCTCACTGCAAACTCTGTCTCCTGGGTTCAAGTGATTCTCCTGCCTCAGCCTCCCGAGTAGCTGGGATTACGGCGCCAGCCACCACGCCTGGCTAATTTTTGTATTTTTAGTAGAGATAGCGTTTCACTATGTTGGCCAGGCTGGTCTCGATCTCCTGACCTCTAGTGATCCGCCCTCCTCGGCCTCCCAAAGTGTTGGGATTACAGGCGTGAGCCACTGCGCGTGGCTACAAACTGCTTAATTTCTAAGACCTTTCTCCTCTACATAATAGTGCCAATAAAGTATCTACTTATTATTCTATATATATTATATATTCTACCTACCCATATAATATAACCGTATATACCTGCACAAGCTGCATATTAATATGTGCAATGTGCTTAGAACAAGGTCTGGCCCAGGGGATGACTATTAGATTCTTGTGGTTTTTATTGGCTGGGCATGGTGGTTCACACCTGTAGTCCCAGCACTTTGGGAGGCTGAGGCGGGAGGATCACTAGAGTCCAGGAGTTTGAGACCATCCTGGACAACATAGTGAGACCCCCGTCTCTACAAAATATTAAAAAACTAGTCGGGCCCAGTGGCATGCACCTGTAGTCCTAGCTACTCAGGTGGCTGAGATGGGAGGACCTTTTTTTTTGGAGACAGAGTCTCGCTCTGTCACCCAGGCTGGAGTACAGTGGTGCAATATCAGCTCCCTGCAACCTCTGTCTCCTGGGTTCAAGCAATTCTCCTGCCCCAGCCTCCAGAGTAAGCTGGGATTACAGGCATGCACCACCATACCTGGCTAATTTTTGTATTTTTAGTAGAGACGAGGTTTCACCATGTTGCCCAGCCTGATCTCGAACTCCTGAGCTCAGGCAATCTGCCTGCCTTGGCCTCCCAAAGTTCTAGAATCACAGGTGTGAGCCACCGTGCCTGGCCAGGGGAGGATCTCTTGAGCCCAGGAGTTCAAGGCTGCAGTGAACCATGATTGCACCACTGCACTCCAGCCTGGGTGACAGAGCAAGATCCTATCTCAAAAAAAAAAAAAAAAAAAAAAAATGAGCTGTTATCTTGGAAGCTGAGAGTGATCTTCACCAGAAACTGAATCTTCTGGCACCTTGATTTTGCACTTCCCAGCCTCCAGAACAGTGAGAAAATAAATTTCTGTTTTTTGTAAATTACCCAGTCATAGATATGTTGTCACAGCAGCACAAACAGACTGAGACAGTGATGTTCTGCCTTTATGAACATTCCTAGGGGGCCACAGAGCAACCAGAGGGCTCTTGATTGCCTTCATGGGGGTCTGGAGTGGGAACTCTCTATCAGCCGAACAGGTCATTTAAATGTTAATTTTGTTTTGTTTTGTTTTGAGACGGAGTCTCGCTCTGTTGCCCAGGCTGGAGTGCAGCAGCACGATCTCAGCTCACTACAACCTCCACCTCCCGGATTCAACCAATTCTCCCACCTCAGCCTTCCAAGTAGTAAGGATTATAGGTGCGTGCCACCATGCCCAGCTAATTTTTGTATTTTTTTTTTAGTAAAGATGAGGTTTCCCCATGTTGACCAGGCTGGTCTCGAACTCCTGACCTCAAGTGATCCTCCCGCCTCAGCCTCCCAAAGTGCTGGGATTGCAGTAAATGTTAAAATCTTCTACACTGCTTGTTGAGTGTTCACTGCCAAGTGCCCTCCTTTCTTTTGCTCCTTCTTTGGAGTTTCCTTGTCTCTCCATAATCAAAGGGGCACACAAGGGAGTGTCTGAGACCCTAATCAGGTGCCCCAGCCTATGTCAGCAATGATGGCCACCGCCATACCATGCCATTATTAAACATTGTAGATGTCACCTTGTTCCTACTGTGGCAGATTCTGTTACTTGCAGGCCATCCCCCACTTCCTGGCTAACAGAACCTAGCTATTTTTTTCTTTTTTTTTTTTTTTTGGTGCAGCCATGTGCCCAGCCGTGGATGATGAATTAGAATACACCAGACGTAGCTGGGCACAGTGGCTCACGCCTGTAATCCCAGCACTTTGGGAGGCCGAGGCGGGTAGATCACCTGAAGTCAGGAGTTCAAGACCAGCCTGGCCAACATGGCAAAATCCTGTCTCTACTAAAAATACAAAAAATTAGCTGGGCATGGTGGTGGGTATCTGTAATCCCAGCTACTTGAGAGGCTGAGGCAAAAGAATTGCTTGAACCCAGGAGGCGGAGTTTGCAGTGAGATGAGATCGTGCCATTGCACTCCAACCTGGGCAATAGAGCGAGACTCCATCTCAAAAAAAAAAAAAAAAAAAAGAATACACCAGATGTGGCTAGCTTGTTCCCCTTTGCTGGATGTTTGCTTTCACAGCCTCCTTTGCAGCTAAAGGTAGCCCTTTGACCCAGTTCTGCTCAAGAAGGCATCAGGGGAAGTGTGCTGGGCGCCCTTCCCTTCCTATGTCTTCCTGCCTTTGTGTGTGAAGTTATGGTCCCAGCCGCTGAGGCTGCCAACCTCTAAGACAAACACCAACATGCTGAGGGTGATGGAAAGGAAGAGAAGCAGGCTGGCTCCCTGAAGACATAACTGAGCTGCTAGACCAACCCCAAGATCCCAAGATAGCTTATCTCAAGAGTGCTTGTTAAATAAACAATAAGTACCCTTGTATTAGCAGGCCCCAATGTTAACTGGACTTCCTGCTGCTTGTAACCAAAGTCCTTTTCCCTGATCCAGCATCCTCATAGGATTGCGGGAGGTTCAATTAAACGATACATGAGCAGCCAGGTGCAGTGGTTCATGCCTGTAATCCTAGCACTTTGGGAGGCCAAGGCGGGCAGATTGCCTGAGCTCAGGAGTTCGAGACCAGCCTGGGCAACATGGCAAAACCCTGCCTCTACTTAAAATACAAAAAATTAGCCAGGTGTGGTGACGGGTGCCTGTAGTCCCAGCTACTCAAGAGGCTGAGGCATGAGAATTGCTTGAACCTGAGAGGTGGAGGTTGCAGTGAGCTGAGATTGTGCCACTGCAATCCAGCCTGGGTGACAGAGTGAGACTCTGTCTCAAAAAAAAAGATACATGAGCAAGCTTAGCACTGTGCCTGCCATCATGTCATGGTAGAAACTAAGCAGCATCCCCACAGCCTTTCTTCCCTTCTTCCCTTTAGTTGTAGTGTTCCCTGAAATTTAGCTGTGTCAGCTGAAGAATGATGAGGTTCATACACTTGGAAAGGAGAGCTTTATTTCTCATAAGGGGTTGCAGCCTGCAGGTGGTCTATTCTGACAAGCTCAGAAGTGTAGCCTCTGGCCAGAAGCCAAAAACAGGCACTTTGAAGGTGGGAAGATGAAGACAGGGGTTTATGCTGAATGGGGTGGCCAAATATATATATTCAACAGGTTACAGGAGGAGCTATGAATATTCACAAAGGGGAAACGTGTGCATGCATAGTAGGCCAACATATGCACATGCATCCCATGTTCATCTGGGGTGAATATTTAAATGTATTACAATTTAACATTTAAACACATTACAATTAGGCCCTATACATCAAAAGGTGAAGCAGAGGGTTGGGTGCAGTGGCTCACACCTGTAATTCCAGCACTTTGGGAGGCTAAGTCAGGCAGATCACTTGAGGTCAGGAGTTCAAGACCAGCCTGGCCAATATGACGAAACCCCGTCTTTACTAAAAATACAAAAATTAGCCAGGCATGGTGGCAGGTGTCTGTAATCCCAGCTACTGGGGAGGCTGAAGAAGGAGAATCGCTTGAACCTGGAAGGCGGAGATTGCAGTGAGCCGAGATCCCACCACTGCACTGCACCCCAGCCTGGGAGACAGAGTAAGACTCTCTCAAAAAACAAACAAACAAAAACAAAAGGCGAAGCCGAGGTCATGAGGGCCCTCAGTGTGCAAACTCTGTAGACTGGCCAGAACCACTCTGTGACTGATAGTATCTTATCACGAAGGAATGCTGGTCAGTTGTGTCAAAATCACAAAACAGGTAGCATCGGGCAATTGGTTGATATCAACAGTGGAATGAGCCTTTCAAAAAGGCTGGTTTGGCTGGGCATGGTGGCTCATGCCTATAATCCCAGCACTTTGGGAGGCAGAGGTGAACGGATCATTTGAGGTCAAGAGATCGAGACCATCCTGACCAACATGGTGAAACCCCGTCTCTACTAAAAATACAAAAATTAGCTGGGCATGGTCGTACGCACCTGTAGTCCCAGCTACTCGGGAGGCTGAGGCAGGAGAATCGCTTGAACCCAGGAGGCGGAGGTTGCAGTGAGCTGATATCATGCCACTGCCCTCCAGCCTGGCAACAGAGCGAGACTGTCTCAAAAACAAACTAACAAATAAAAAACAAAACACAAAAGGCTGGTTTCTGTTCAACCCTCAGGGAAGAAGAACTAATGGAGGTTAGTGAGGGAGGGGGTGATATTATTAGGCTGTGTCCCCACCCAAATCTCATCTTGAATTGTAGCTCCTATAATTCTCACGTGTTATAGGAAGGACTTGGGGGGGATAATTGAATCATGGAGGCGGATTCACCCATACTGTTCTCATGGTAGTAAATAAGTCTCACAAGATCTGATTTTTTTTTTCTTGAGCTGGCTTTGTTGCCCAGGCTGGAGTACAATGGTGTGATCTCAGCTCACTGCAACCTCTGCCTCCCAGATTCAAGTGATTCTCCTGCCTCAGCCTCCCAAGTAGCTGGGACTACAGGCGTGCACCACCACACTTAGCTAATTTTTGTATTTTTAGTAGAGACGGGGTTTCTCCATGTTGGCCAGGCTGGTCTCGAACTCCCAACCTCAGGTGATCTGCCTGCTTCAGTCTCCCAAAGTGCTGGGAATACAGGCATGAGCCATCGCGCCTGGCCAAGATCTGATGATTTTATAACGGGGGACCCCTTTCACTTGGTTCTCATTTCTCTCTTGCCTGCTGCCATGTCTCTACTAAAAATACAAAAATTAGCCAGGCGTGATGGCATGTGCCTATAGTCCCAGCTACTCAGGAGGCTGAGGCAAGAGAATCGCTTGAACCCGGGAGACAGAGGTTGCAGTGAGCTGAGATCACGCCATTGCACTCCAGTCTGGGTGACAAGAGCAAAAATCCGTCTCAAAAAAAAAAAAGGATGGGGATTGTGGAGTGGTGAGGAGAAATGGCAGGGAGCTGTGAGAAGAAGGGGCTGAAACTGTCTGTCACCTATCCATTAGCCATCCCCACTTCCTGTCTAATACAGCCTTGAGTTTGTTGGCATCTCCTCCCATTCCCAAGTCTGGAAGGAAATCCTGATGGTTTAGATATCAGGGTGATCCTGGTTCCTCTTGCCAGTGTGCATGTGACTCAGCTCTGATCCGTGACTCAAAAGGAGAAGCCCTTACGGTGGCTTCTGGGAAATGCTCTCAATGCAGAGACTGGGATCTGTGTTCATCAAGCCCTGTCTTGTTTTCCTTCTGGGCACACAGAGCCTGACTACACTTCCAAGCCTCCTCTGCAGTTCAGTAGAGAATGTGGGCAGGAGTGACGTGTTACGTTTCTGGGGCTGACCCACAAATATCTCCCCCATAACTCTCCATGCCCTCATCCCTCTCACCTGCTGGACTGATCCAGTGGAATATTATGAGGCCTGGGAGGATGGTGGGGCCACTAGATGGAAATAGCCTGGATCCCTAAATGACTGCGTGGAGTAGAGCATCTGCCCAGGCAGCCTGGGCAATAACAGGAATGAGAAGTAAGCTTTTACTGTGTGTCCCCATCTTGCCCACAATAAAGCCTCTTGCCCAGAGCTCCCTGTGTTCCCTCTGCCTCCTGACCTACCCTGGTGAGTCCCTGTGTGGTCTCCATAGTATGGCATGTCCCCTCCTCTTGGAATTTGTAAGTACAACAACCTTCCTAATAACTGTCATCTCAGGATCTCTTGGTTTTACTATACCCAAATAATAATAAAGCCTGTGTTAAAATATTGTCCCAGGACCACAGGCCCTTGTATACTGTTCAATGCACACATCCGGATGCCTTTCCCAAAAGTGGGTACCATGTGGAAGAGGAGATGATGCAGAGAGGCCTGCAGCCTCAGATCTGAGGCTCAGATTCCTCTCCTCCTCCCTCACCCCTCCTTTCTCATCTCTAGCCCAGACCCACCTAACTGAACAGCCAAGATATGGTGGTGATCATTTGGAGCCTTGTCCAGAATCCAGACACAGCTGCAGTCCTGCACATCACCCCACCTGGCACTGTGAAGATCTGGCTGTGTCTCAAAAAAACCCCACCAGATCTGGCCGGGAGCAGTGGCTCATGCCTATAATCCCAGCACTTTGGGAGGCCAAGGTGGGCAGATCACTTGAGGTCAGGAGTGCGAAACCAGCCTGGCCAACATGGTGAAACCCCGTCTCTACTAAAAATACAAAAAAAAAAAAAAAAAAAAAAGCAAGGTGTGGTGGTACACGCCTGTAGTCCCAGCTACCTGGGAGGCTGAGGTGGGAGAATCGCTTGAACCCGTGAGGTAGAGGTTGCAGTGAGCCGAGATGACACCATTGCACTCCAGCCTGGGCGACAAAGCAAGACTCTGTCAGAAAGGAAAGAGAGAGAGAGAGAAAGAAAGAAAAGGAGAAACCACCAGATCACCCACAAATGGACAGGAAGCAGAGAAGGGCTTTGGCCAGGCGGAGGTTGGTCTCTGCTCTGCCACTCTTTGCCTGGAAAACCCTGAAAAGGTATTTTTTCCCTCTGAGCCTGTTTCCCCGTCTGTAAACTGTTTCCCCATCTGTAAACAAAGAGAGGTGATGATATTCAAGAGGCTTAAAAACAGCACAGTGCGGCCGGGCATGGTGGCTCATGCCTGTAATCCCAGCACTTTGGGAGGCTGAGACAGGCAGATCAGCTGAGGTCAGGAGTTCAAGACCTGCCCAGCCAACACAATGAAACCCTGTCTCTACTAAAAACATGAAAAGTAGCCGGGTGTGGTGGCAGGCACCTGTAATCCTAGCTACTTAGGGGACCATGGCAAGGAGAATCAGTTGAACCCGGGAGACAGAGGTTGCAGTGAACTGAGATCGTGCCATTGCACTCCAGCCTGGGCAACAGAGCAAGATTCTGTTTCAAATAAATAAATTAATTCATTAAATAAAATAAACAACACAGCCCAACCAAGCAGAATGGGGTGGGGTGGGGGTCTTGAGCCATGAACAATCTGGGCCGAGCTGTCCCGCATTGGTGGATGATGACAAGGACTAAGTGAAATTCCTGGGTCCGGGGTGAGCCACTGTGATGATTCTCACCCAGGTCACTGTCCAGAGGCTGCATTCTTGGCCAATTCTCTTGGAGGTCCGCCAGCTCCTCGTGGCACCAGCTGGGAAGAGGAAGGAGGGAAGGAGATGGGCAGGAGAGGAGGTGGAAGAAGGGCGGGTTTCATTCTCAGGCTCTGAAGCCCAGGGCTGGTGAGGCAGGGGTCGGGCACTCACTCAGTAAGTCACAAAGCAGGTCTGGGAGCCTGCGAGGGTCCCTTCTCCCCAACATGTCATTGCCACAGTGCTGCAGATCCCAGGCGTCCTCTGCAGGACCAGGGAGTAAGGGAGGCACCAGCCCCGGGCCACACACCCTTACTGGCCGGGCTGTGCCTGTCCCTGCTACTTGGACTTAGTAGCCTTGACCCTGTCCTTGGGAAAGGCTTTGAGCCCTTCCATGATTACATCATCATCCCTGGAGGAACACTGCAAAGTCTTAGCTCCCCTCCTTCCAGTCATCCCTGCCAGGCTCTGGCTGCCCCGTGGTCACCCGGCCACACTCCCAGACTTCTCCAGGGCAGTAAAGAACTCAAGCTAAGTCTTGAAGAGGTAGAACCTAGAATGATAATTTTCAATTTTTAGATCATGACCAACGGATAAAAGTCACAACCAGCACAATTTTTAAAAAATGAAATTCAATAGAAAACATCAGAGTGCACTGCACACAGCAACGGGTAAACATTGCTGCAGAAATTCTACTTTCAGGTGTATTGATTGTTGTGTAAAATACATTTCTTTTTTTTTTTTTTTTAGATGGAATCTTACTCTCTCACCCAGGCTGGAGTGCAATGGCACAATCTCAGCTCACTGCAATCTCTGCCTCCCAGGTTCAAACAATTGTCCTGCCTCACCCTCCCGAGTAGCTAGGATTACAGTCGCCCGCCACCACACCTGTCTAATTTTTGTATTTTTGTAGAGACAGGGTCTCACCATGTTGGCCAGGCTGGTCTTGAACTCCTAACCTCAGGTGATCCACCCACCTCGGCCTCCCAAAGTGCTGGGAGTACAGGTGTGAGCCACCGCACCCGGCCAGAATGCATTTCTTACTCAGACTATGGTTACAAAATGTAGAGAAACATTGGCCTTGAAGTTCATAGCACATACCCAGAAAGATTTTGCAACCTTCTGAACCTATTCAGATTCCGCACGCCATCTTCAGGGAGCGGCACTCTTATTTCACCAGCTGCCAGACCCAAGAGCCTGGCCTTGTCCTGGACTCCTGTCTCTCCCCATTTCTCACACCAAATCCAGTCCAGCAGCAAATCCTTTTATCTTTCCTTCAAAGGACATTCAGAACACGCCTGACTTCTGCCATCATCCCTCAGACAGGATCATCCCGCAGCTGGGTTATCACTCCTCCACCTTCGAGACAGCAGAACCCTAAGAGAGCGCACTGCACATAACAGGTGTTAGGCTGGGCGTGGTGGCAAACACCTGTAATCCCAGCACTCTGGGAGGCTGAGGCAGGAGGATCACTTGAGCCCGGGAGTTCAAGACCAGCCTGGGCAACATAGTGAAACTCTGTCTCTATTAAAAAAATAAAAATAAAAAAATTAGCTGAGTGTGGTGGTGTGCACCTGTAATCCCAGTTACTTAGGAGGCTGAGGCAGTAGGAATGCTTGAGTGTAGGCGTTGGAGGCTGCAGTGAGCTATGATGGCACCACTGCACTCCAGCCTGGGCAACAGAGTGAGACCCTGTCTGAAAGAAAGGAAGAAAGAAAGAAAGAAAGAAAGAGAGAGAGAGACAGAGAGAGAAAGAAAGAAAGAGAGAGAAAGAGAGAGAGAAAAAAGAAAGGAAAGAAAGAAAGAAAGAAAGAAAGAAAGCAAGAAAGAAGGAAAGAAAGAAGGAGAAAGAGAGAGAGGGAGGGAGAGAGGGAGGGAGGGAGAGAGGGAGGGAGGGAGGGCTGCATGCAGTAGGCGCTCATCTGTGGATTGACTGGTGGCAGGGCTGGGCTTGGAGATTGCTTGGCCAGCCTCCTCCCTCTGTCCCCCTCCAGCCTGCCCAGAGCCTGTTATTTGATCTCCCCCAACATGGGCTCCTCGCCTCCCCTCCTCCAGGTCTCCAGACTCTGAGGTTTGTAAGCTGAGCCTGGCAGCCACACACGGTGCCGCCCCTGGGCTGGTAGATGACAGATGAGTTGCATCCCCCTTGCACTCTGTTGACATTATGAGAGCTGATCCCTCCCAGGAACAATCTACAGCCTCCCCAAGGGGCCCCCTGAGACCTGCCTGTTCATCTCTGGGTCACAACCCCAACATCAGCCTGGCCAGGAGGAAAGCTGGCCGAAGGGGTGACAGGCAATATCATCGGCCTGCCAGGCATCATGTAACTACTCTCAGGGGCCGTGGCCAGGCCAGACGGTGAGATGGAATGCAGAAAGAATGCAGAATAGAGCTGGGCGACAGAGAGACCGGCTGATGCCAGTCCAGCCGCGAGCCACCTGGGTAGCTACAGACTTCCCTCTAATGTCACTGGTTAGGAAAGTGAGCTGATGGTACACCATGAACCCAGACTGAAGGCCAGAGGACCAAACCTTTGTAGCCCATGAAGCCCATTTGTTATGGTAACAATTTTAGAAGGGCTCAGCAGCATTTTTGAAAAGGTTGTTTTGTTTTGTTTTGTTTTGAGACAGGGTCTCGCTCTGTTGCCCAGGTTATAGTGCTATGGTGCAAACACACCTCACTGCAGCCTTGACCTCCTGGGCTCAAGCGATTCTCCCACCTCAGCCTCCCACGTAGCTGGGACCATGGGTGCATGCCACCATGCCCATCTAATTTTTTAAATTTTTTGTAGAGACGGGGGTCTCCCTAGGTTGTCCAGGCTGGTCTCAAACTCCTGGGCTCCAGTGATCCTCCTGCCTCAGCCTCCCAAAGTGCTGGGCTTACAGGTGTGAGCCACCATGCCAGGCTAAGGTTTTTTTTCCGTAACTAGAAAGTCAGAACTCCCTTCCCAATAATAAATTATCTGGCCAAGAATTAATCTCACCTAGCTAGCAAAATTGTTATCTTTTCTCTTTCTTTCTTTTTTTTTTTTTTTTTTTTTTTTTTTTTAGGAATAGAGACAGGAGGCCAGCACTCCTGTGAGGTGAGACAGGAGGTGGCTCACACCTGTAATCCCAGCACTTTGGGAGGCCAAGGTGGGTGGACCACTTGAGGTCAGGAGTTCTAGACCAGCCTGGGCAACATGGCAAAACCCTGTCTCTACAAAAAATAGAAAAATTGACTGGATGTGGTGGCACGCACCTGTAGTCCCAGCTGTTCGGAAGGCGAAAGCAGGAAGATCACTTGAGCCCAGGAGGCTGAGGCTGCACTGAGCCATGATTGCACCACTGCACTTCAGCCTGGGCTGCAGAGTGAGACCCTGTCCCCACCACAAAAAACAATAATAAATAAGAGGCCGGGCGTGGTGGCTCACGCCTGTGATTCCAGCACTTTGGGAGGCCAAGGCAGATGGATCATTTGAGGTCAGGAGTTCAAGACCAGCCTGGCCCACATGGTGAAACCCCATCTCTACTAAAAATACACAAAAAAATTAGCTGGGCGTCATGGCAGGTGCCTGTAATCCCAGCTACTCCAGAGGCTGAGGCAGGAGAATCACTTGAACCCGGGAGGCAGAGGTTGCAGTGAGTTGAGATCACGCCACTGCACTGCACACTCCAGCCTGGGCAACACAGCAAGACTCCATCTCAAAAAATAAATAAATAAATAAAATAATAACAAATAAGAACAGAGATAGGGTCTTGCTTTGTTGCCCAGGCTGATTTCAAACTTCTGGCTTCCAGTGATTCTCCCACTTTGGCCTCCCAAAGTACTAGGATTACAGGCGTGAGCCACTGTGCCTGGCCAATAAAATTGTTTTCTTATGTGTCTTTTCATGTTCAGCCACGAAGCCTTAAAATTGAATACAGAGATGAAGGAAATCAAAGCCCCAGAATTAAGACTTTTATATTATATTTAAGAATCATCAGGCCAGGCACGTTGGCTCAAGCCTGTAATCCTAGCACTTTGGGAGGCTGAGGCGAGTGGATTGCCTGAGGTCAGGAGTTCAAGACCAGCCTGGCCAGCATGGAGAAACCCCATCTCTACTATAAATATAAAAACTAGCCAGGAGTGGTGGTGTGCACCTGTAATCCCAACTACTTGGGGGGCTGAGGCAGAAGAATCGTTTGAACCCAGGCGATGGAGGTTGCAGTGAGCCAAGATTGCACTACTGTACTCCAGCCTGGGCGACAGAGCAAGACTCCATCTCAAAAAAAAAAAAAAAAAAAAAGAATCATCTGGGCTATTTGGTGTTTTAAGTATTTGCAATGTATAAAAAAATTTGGGCCAGGCACAGTGGCTCATGCCTGTAATCTCAGCACTTTGGGAGGCCAAGATGGGCTGATCATGAGGTCAGGAGTTCAAGACCAGCCTGACCAACACGGTGAAACCCTGTCTCTACAAAAAACACAAAAAATTGGCCGGGCGCGGTGGCTCACGCCTGTAATCCCAGCACTTTGGGAGGCTGAGGCGGGTGGATCACAAGGTCAGGAGATCGAGACCATCCTGGCTAACACAGTGAAACCCCGTCTCTACTAAAAATACAAAAATTAGCCAGGCGTGGTGGTGGGTGCCTGTAGTCCCAGCTACTCGGGAGGCTGAGGCAGGAGAATGGCGGGAACCTGGAAGGCAGAGCTTGCAGTGAGCCAAGATCATGCCACTGTACTCCAGCCTGGGCAACAGAGTGAGACTCCATCTCAAAAAAAAAAAATTTAGCCGGGCGTGGTGATGAGCACCTGTAATCCCAGCTACTCGGGAGGCTGAGGCAGGAGAATTGCTTGAACCCGGGAGGCAGAGGTTGCAGTGAGCCAAGACCACACCACTGCACTCCAGCCTGGGCAACAGAGCGAGACTCCGTCTCAAAAAAAAAGGAAGGGAAGGAAGGGAAGGAAAGAAGGAAAGGAAGGAAGGAAAGGAAGGAAGGAAGAAAGAGAGGGAAAAGAAAAGAAAGATCATAATCATAATTGCACCATTACACTCCAGCCTGGGCAACAGAGCAAGACCCTATCTCAAAAAGAAAGAAATAAGAAAGTAGGAGAGAGAAAGAAGGAAAGAGAGAAAGAAGGAAAGAAAGAAAAGAAGGGAGGGAGGAAGGGAGGGAGGAAGGGAGGAAAGAAGGATGGAAGGAAGGAAAGAAGGAAGGAAGGAGGAAGGAAGGAAGGAAGGAAATTTACATTCTCTCCTAGGAATGTGTATTTCTAGTGGTAGGGCAACCCACCACTAATACACATGAAACTGGTCATGTAAACATGCTCTTCTCTTTCTCTCCCCCAGGGAAATATTGTCTGTGAAGCAAGATTCTCACATTTCTTTTCAAATCCTCTTCCCATGGGCTAGCCCCTCTGGGAATGCACAGGTCCCTGGTGACCCAGCTGGCCAGCTAGACCAAAGCCACTGGCTGCCTTTCTTTTTGAGCCTGGATCTTCAAAGGAGATCCACTTACAAACTGTCTTAGTCCCTTTGGACTGCTGTAGCAAAATACCATAAGCTGGGTATTTCAATAAACAACAGAAATGTATTTCTCACCGTTCTGGATGCTGGGAAGTCCAAGACCAAAGCACCAGTAGATTTGGTGTCTGGTGAGGGCACATTCTCTGGTTCATAGATGGTGGGTTTTTTTGGTTTGTTTTTGTTTTTGTTTTTTTGACACAGGGTCTTGCTCTGTCCCCCAGGCTGGGGTGCAGTGGCACGATCTCAGCTCACTGCAGCCTTAACTTCCCGGGCTCAAGCGATCCTCCCACTTCAGCCTCCTGAGTAGCTGGGACTACTGGCACCCACCATCACACCTGGCTAGTTTTTATATTTTTTGTAGAGATGGGGTTTCACACTGTTACCCAGGCTGGTCTTGAACTCCTGGGCTCAAACAATGCTCCCTCTTCAGCTTCCCAAAGTGCTGGGATTACAGGCATGAGCCTCAGTGCCCAGCCCATGGTGCCTTTGGACTCTGTCCTCAAGTGGCAGAAGGCGAGAACTCTGGTCTCTTCAATCCCTTACAAGGGCACTAATCCCATTAATGAGGGGCCCACCCTCAAGTGCTAATTACCTCCTGAAGATCCCACCTTTTAATACCATCACACTGTGGATTAGCTTTCAACACAGAAATTTGGGTAGACACAAACATTCAGGCCACAGCACAAATATTTGACATCTGGCAAACACTGACTTATAAAAAATCTATGCCCAGGCTCACACCTGGAATCCCAACACTTTGGGAGGCCAAGACAGAAGGATCAGTTGAGGCCAGGAGTTTAAGACCAGCCTGGGCAACCTAGTGAGAACTCGTCTCTACAAAAAATAAACAAAACATTATCCAGGCTCCGTGGTACATGCCTGTAGTCTCAGCTGCTCGGGAGGCTGAGAGGAGAGAATCACTTGAGCCAAAGAGGTTGAGGCTGCAGTGAGCTATGATTATGCCACTGAGCTCTAGTCTGGGCCACAGAGCAAGACTCTGTCTCAAAAAAAGAAAAAAAATGCTATGCCCAGTGTTCCCCCGGGAAGTATTATTTGCAAAGTCACGACCTGAGCCCATGGTTTTCAGAGATCCCCTGACACCAACAAGCAACTCCCCAGTCTCTACTGTCTGGATTCAGCAGGGTCGATGCCAGGGAGGACCAAAATCCCAGAATCATGGCAGGCGGAGAGCACAGAGGGCCAACACCTTTCAGTGAGGTGCAATTAACAAAACTTAATATATACAAAGTCTTAGGAAACCTCTGCCCAGAGAAGGGGGCATCTGAGTGTAACTGTGTTTCTTGTGCTTGTGAATGGGGTATCCTGGGGTGGTGATTAAGGGCTCCGGGGTCAGACCAGACTTCACCGAGGTTTTTTTTTTGTTTTGAGATGGAGTCTCACTCTGTCATCCAGGCTGGAGTGCAGCGGCACGATCTCGGCTCACTGCAACCTCTGCCTGCCCGGTTGAAGCGATTCTCCTGCCTCAGCCTCCCGAGTACCTGGGGTTACAGGCATGTGCCACCACGCCAGGCTAATTTTTGCATTTTTAGTAGAGACGGGTAAATTTTTGTATTTTGAGTGATCCACCCACCTCAGCCTCCCAAAGTGCTGGGATTCAACGCGTCAGCCACCGTGTCCGGCCATCGTTTTTGTTTAAAATATTTTTTAACACCACAGCTTCTTTCACATATTAATTTACTCATTCATTCCACAAATATATATATATATATATAATTTCTTTTTTTGAGACAGAGTCTTGCTCTGTCACCCAGGCCAGAGTGCAATGGTGCGATCTTGGTTCACCGCAACCTCCACCTCCCAGGTTCAAGTGATTCCCCTGCCTCAGCCTCCCAAGTAGCTGGGATTACAGACATGTACCACCATGCCTGGATAACTTTTTGTATTTTTATATTTCTTTATTTATTTTTTTTTCTGAGATGGAGTCTTGCTCTGTCACCCATGCTGGAGTGCAGTGGCACTCTCTCTGCTCACTGCAACCGTTACCTCGATTCTCCTATCTCAGTCCCCCAGGTAGCTGGGATTACAGGCACCCGCTACCACGCCTGGCTAATTTTTTGTATTTTTAATAGAAATGGAGTTTCATCATGTTGGCCAGGCTGGTCTCAAACTCCTGACCTCAGGTGATCTACCCACCTAGGCCTCCCAAAGTGTTGGGATTACAGGCGTGAGCCACTGCACCCGGCCTAGGCTTCTCTGTTTCTTAGCGCTATTGTCTCTACTTGTTTCTTCAGGGTAGCAAAGGTCCCTATTCCAGAGAGTTGCTGGAAGAATTAGATGTGATACTGTACCTAGATCTCTTAGCCCAGAACCTGGCACTTAAGATTTTATTTTATTTTTATTTTTTTTCTTTTTTATTTATTTATTTTGGCACTTAATATTTTAGAACTAATGATTATAAAATGTGATTAGATAACAACTACTAGAATGATGACCACTATTATTATAAAAGAACTATGGTCCGAGCCAGACATGGTGGTTCATGCCTGTAATCACAGCACCTTGGGAGGCCGAGGTGGGAGGATCACTTGAGGTCAGGAGTTCAAGACCAGCCTGGGCAACATAGCAAGACGACAGGCGTGGTTGCTGATGCCTGTATTCCCAGCACTTTGGGAGGCCGAGGATTACTTGAGGTCAGGAGACCAGCCTGGCCAACACCAGTGAAACCCCATCTCTACTAAAAATACAAAAAAATTAGCTGGGTGTGGTGGTACATGGCTGTAGTCCCAGCTACTAGGGAGGCTGAGGCAAGAAAATTGCTTGAACCTGGGAGATGGAGGTTGCAGTGAGCCAAGATCATGCCATTGCACTCCAGCCTGAGCAACAGATCAAGACTCCATCTCAAAAAAAAAAAAAAAAAAAAAAAAAAAAAAGAGCCCAGGCATGGTAGCTCACGCCTATAATCCCAGCATTTTGGGAGGCCAAGGCAGGTGGATCACATGAGGTCAGGAGTTTGAGACCAGCCTGGCCAACATAGTAAAACCCCATCTCTACTAAAAATACAAAAATTAGCCAGGCGTGGCAGAGTGCACCTATAATCCCAGCTACTTGGGAGGCTGAGGCAGGAGAATTGCTGGAACCCAGGAGGTGGAGATTGCAATGAGCCAAGATCGCACCACTGCACTCCACCCTGGGTAACAGAGTGAGACTGTGTCTCAAAAAAAATTTAAATAAATAACTATGGTGTATGGTAGACTGAATAATCCCCCCTTCTGCCAAAATTATCCAGGTCCTAACCTCTGGAATTTGTGAATGTTTCCTTATATGGCAAAAATAACTTTGCAGATATAATGACGTTAAGGTGGGTGGGGGGATCTTTGTTTTTTAGAGACGAGGTCTCCCTACGTTGCCCAGGCTGGTCTCGAATTCCTAAGCTAAAGTTATCCTCCTGCCCCAGCTTCCCAAACTGCTGAAATTACAGGTGTGAGCCACCACACCTGGCCGAAGTTATAGGTTTTGAGACAAGAAGATTATCCTGGAGTATCTAGGTGGGAGGCAACCCAGACCCCCACACGGCCTCCTGTGACACCCTTGCAGACAGTAGTCTCTCCAGGTGGCATGTGGCTTGAGAATTTTTTTGGAGCTTACTCTATGAGTCTGTGCCTGTCTAGGTATTGTGGCTCACGCCTGTAATCCCAGCACTTTGGGAAGCTGAGGCGGAAGGATTGCTTGAGCCCAGGAGACCAGCCCTGGGAACATGGTGATACCCTATCTTTACCCCAAAAAAAAAAAAAAAAGCCAGGTGTGGTGGTGCACACCTGTAGTCCCAGCTACTTGGGAGGTTGAGGTGGGAGGATCACTTGAACCCAGGAGGTCGAGGCTGTCATGAGCCATGATCATGCCACTGCACTCTAGCCTGGGCAACAGAGCAAGACCTTGTCTCAAAACAAAACAAAAAAAAGTGTGTGTGTGTGTGTGTGTGTGTGTGTGTGTGTGCCTTCAGTTCTGTGTGTGTGTGTACCTGTCTCTATCCCTACCAGGGGTTGTGTCTCTATGTCTCTATTTATATCTAAATGGATATTTTTTGTGCCCTACATTTTCCAAGAGGATTCCTTGCAAGTTTCCTTTTTTGTTCAGAAGATCTTCCTGGCCGGGCACGGTGGTTCACACCTGTAATCCCAACACTTTGGGAGGCTGAGGCAGGTGGATCACATGGTCAGGAGTTTGAGACCAGCCTGGCCAATATGGTGAAACTCCATCTCTACTAATAATACAAAAATTAGCCAGGCATGGTGGTGGGCGCCTGTAATCCCAGCTACTCAGAAGGCTGAGGCAGGAGAATTGCTTGAACTCGGGAGGCGGAAGTTGCAGTGAGCCGAGATGGCACCACTGCACACAGCCTGGGCGACAGAGAAAGACTCTGCCTGAAAAAAAAAAAAAAAAAGATTTTTCTCTATCTGGTAAGCTTTTAATTTTTAACTTTCTGCCCTCCAACTATGCACATCTTCACAGTGCAGATGTATCTCTAATTGATTAACTGGGTCCCTTGACAGCCATCACTAAGGCAAAGCTGGACTGCTTTGTTTTGGGCATTTCTTTTGTCTTCTAAAGGCTCATAATGTAGGAGTCTGCAGGGCCAGGCTCCCGGCTGAGTGCTTCGAGAGGATCATCCCAGGAGTTGCCACCGATGCAGGATTTTTCTCAGCCACATTGCTGCCCAGAGACCTCTGGCCAGCAATGCCACTGCCCTGGCCTTGCACTGTTCCCAGGTTTGTTGCAGGAGGCACCCTGCCCACTCAGCCCACCAGGGCACAGCTGGATTGCACTCTGGCATGGATCCCACAGCCACCGTGACTTTGCACTCAGCCCCTGGGTGGGAGGGGGTGTGTGAACTAGCAAGTGTGGGGTCCCACTGGCCCCTGCAAGCACTGACACAGGGGCAGGCTCCATGTAGGGTTTGTGGCTGGACCAGGTGTGTTGCAAGCGGCTCCCACTGTGTACTCTGGCGTTCAGACAAGGAGAACACGGCGGCACCCAAACAGGGAAGCCCATGACCCTGAAGTCCCAGAGGTGGTGTTATAGCATGCTAACAGCTCTGTTAGTCCCTCCACAGCCTGACGAAAGGAGGCATGTTAGTAGTTCTGTTATGTTGCCCCACTCTGGCCTGTAGCTCCAGGGCTGGCCTGGTCTTGCCACTGCTTTCTGTTGCATGGGGTGGCCGCTAGGCACCAATCGTGGGGAGCTATGGTGCTACTGCCTTCTTTGTACCTACATTCGGCAGGGTCCCAAGTTCTTGTCCCACGTCCAAGAAGAATGAGATCACACTTACAATCCAAGGGTGAGAAGGGTGGAGAAGATTTTTATTATTAAGTGACATAAAAGCTCTCAGCAGAGAGGGGATGTGAGGGTAGTCCCCCACCTGAAGTCAGGTGGTCTCTCCCTCAGTGTGGCTGGGTCTGGGGCTTTTATGGACTTAGAATGGGGGAGTGCATGCTGATTGGTTTGTGAGTATGCAAAAGAGGCTAAAACAAAGGCACCATTCAAAGATGGGCATGACAGTGTAAAAAACCAATTACGGGCTGGGTGTGGTGGCTCACACCTGTAATCCCAGCACTTTGGGAGGCCAGGGCAGGCAGATCACCTGAGGTCAGGAGTTTGAGACCAGGCTGGCCAACATGGTAAAACCCTGTCTCTATTAAAAATTCAAAAATGAGCCAGGCGTGGTAGCGGGCACCTGTAATCCCAGCTACTTGGGAGGCTGAGGCAGGAGAATTGCTTGAACCCAGGAGGCGGAGGTTGCAGTGAACCAAGATCATGCCACTGGACTCCAGCCTGGGCAACAGAGCGAGACTCCATCTCAAAAAAAGAAAGAAAAGAAAAAAAAATTAGGGAAGGGTAGGTACATGTAAAATAGATGAAGGGTGGGGAGGAATCAGAGGAAAGTGCACCAAACAGGAAGACAAGTTCTCAATCTGGTCCGTGGATTTATCTGAGACTTGCAGCTTGGCCTTCAGGCTTAAAACTGTCTTTGGCTTGAAGATGAGGTTTCACTGGGGAACCACCCCTATCTGCCAAGGGATTTGACTGCCTCCTGCCACTATCACCACCACAGATAACCACAAGCCAGGATATTAACGTTATGGATGATGGGCCCAGGCAATGCACTGCACAAGGTAAGGG
Organism: Homo sapiens; assembly: GCF_000001405.40. Lineage (NCBI taxonomy): Eukaryota > Metazoa > Chordata > Mammalia > Primates > Hominidae > Homo > Homo sapiens. The sequence continues at coordinate 38,979,886 of NC_000019.10, read as the reverse complement.
ACTGTGAGAACACGTGCCCTATAGCGTAGGCCATCTCTCCAGAGGCTGGAAAGTTAGATTTGTATGTGACATCCGTCCATTTTTCACTGTTTGCAATAATTGCACCATTTTTTTTTTGAGTCGGAGTCTCACTTTGTCGCCTAGGCTGGAGTGCAGTGGAGCAATCTCAGCTGACTGCAGCCTCTACCTCCTGGGTTCAAGTGATCTTCACACCTCAACATCCCAAGTAGCTGGGATTACAGGCATCTGCCACCACTCCAGGCTAATTTTTGTATTTATATTTGTATTTTTTTATATTTATTTATTTTTGAGACAAACTTTTGTTCTGTCACCCAGGCTGGAGTGCAGTGGCACGATCTCAGCTCACTGCAACCTCCGCCTCCTGGGTTCAAGTGATTCTCCTGCCTCAGCCTCCCAAGTAGCTGGAACCACAGGTGCCCTCCACCACACCTGGCTAATTTTTGTATTTTTAGTAGAGACAGGATTTCACTATATTGGCCAGGCTAGTCTCAAACTCCTGACCTTCTGATCCGCCCGACTTGGCCTCCTAAAGTGCTGGGATTACAGGAGTGAGCCACTGCACTGGCCCATTGCACCATTTTTAAAACACAACACCTGACCAGTAATTGCAGAAAAATGGGCAAAGGTGATTAATGACAAACTATGTAGAAAGAAATGCAAATAGCTCTTAAACACATGAAAAGATGACCAATGTCCTCATCTTAGGAGAAATGCGAAGGAAGATACCAGGGCAATACCTTTTTTTGTTTTCTTTTGACTTCTTAGATAGGCAAAGATGTAAACTTCGTTTGTTTGTTTGTTTGTTTTGAGACAGAGTCTTGCTGTGTTGCCCAGGCTAGAGTGCAGTGGCACAATCTCAGCTCAGTGCAACCTCCGCCTCCTGGGTTCAAGCAATCCTCCTGCCTCAGCCCTCCTAGTAGCTGGGACTGCAGACACATGCCACCACACCCAGCTAATTTTTGTATTTTTAGTAGAGACGGGGTTTTGCCATGTTGGCCAGGCTGGTCTCAAACTCCTGACCTCAGGTGATCCGCCTGCCTTGGCCTCCCAAAGTGTTGGGATTACAGGCGTGAGCCACCGCGCCCGGCCTGTTTATTTGTCTTGAGATAGAGTCTTGCTCTGTCACTCAGGCTGGAGTACAGTGGCACCATTACAGCTCACTGCAGCCTTAACCTCCCAGGCTCAGGCGGTCCTCCTGCCTCAGCCCCCCAAGTAGCTAGAACCACAGTCACACACCATCATAGCCAGGTAATTTTTAAATTTTTTGTAGAGATGGGGGTCTCACTATGTTGCACAGGCTGGTCTTGAACTCCTGGTCTCAAGTGATCCTGCTGCCTCCCAAAGCACTAGGATTACAGACATGAGCCACCGTGCCCGGCCAATGTAAACATTTGATAACACATCAGATTGGCAAATGTCAGGGCCTCCTAGTTCAGTTCTTCTTGGTTGATGGGAATGACAGTTGAGGTTTTATTGTGATAGAAGGCTTTAGATTTAATTGGGTAGAAACAGGCCTTGCTCAGCAGAAAGAGCTGCAAAGTAGGCACATCAGCCTGCACCATGTGAGGAGACACCAGGAACAAATGTGACTCCGAGGGAAAGCACGACCAAGACCATAAATAAAACCTCTCTTCCTGTTCAGATCCAAGCACATGGACAGGCTCTGAGTGACAACCGCATTCAGTGGGCTGCCCTGCTAGAGGTTCCCCAGGCCTCTCCACCGGTCCTGAATCATCAGCCTTCCTGAAACTGGCTCTGACCTAAAGCCGAAACCTCAGCAGGTCTGAGGCGGTTACCAGGGCTCCTTATATTGGGTGAGTCAAATCACACTCCCTGCAGGAAAGGAGTCTAAAAACTAGAATACCAATAATAAAGAAACAAGGCCAGATGCAGTGGCTTATGCCTGTAATCCCAGCATTTTGGGAGGCCAAGGCAGGCGGATTGTTGAGCTAATGAGTTCGAGACCAGCCTGGGCAGCATGGCGAAACCTCATCTCTACAAAAAATACAAAGATTAGCCGGGCATGGTGGCGTGCCCCTGTAGTCCCAGCTACTTGAGGGGCTGAGGTGGGAGGATCACTTGAGCCCAGGAGATCAAGGCTGCAGTGAGCTGTGATCATGCCACTGCACTCCAGCCTGGGTAACAGAGCCAGACGCTGACTCAAAAATAAATCAATAAATGAAAAATAAACAATTCCACTTTTTGTAATAATAACAATAAAGAAACAAGCTCAAGTCCATGGGTATCAGCACACTGGTGACACGTGTCAGCACAAGTATGCATTAGCTTTGTAATCATTATAATAACACACAATTGCTTTGTCTATTTGTTAAGGTATTTACAACAATCGCAAACATCTGACATTAGATTTGGGAAGGCTTTAAGCGATGGCTTTTGGAAGGAATGTTGAAATGATTAGGGAAATCTGGTTTCGAGGAAGACTTAGAGGAACAACTGTTTAATGTTTTATCAAAGAACAAAGATTAGTTAGTATTCTTGTCCCTACATATGCAAGCCCCTGGATGTCAGAGAATTGAGCAGCATGAAGAAATGGCTACTTACGGCCAGGCGTGGTAGCTCACGCTTGTAATCCCAGTACTTTGGGAGGCCAAGACAGGCAGATCACCTGAGGTCAAGAGTTCGAGACCAGCCTGGCCAACATGGCCAAACCCCCTCTCTACTAAAAATACAAAAATTAGCCAGGCGTGGTGGCGCGTTCCTGTAATCCCAGCTACTCGGGAGGCTGAGGCACAAGAATTGCTTGAGCCCGGGAGGTGGAGCTTGCAGTGAGCCAAGATCTAGCCACTGCACTCCAGCCTGGGCAACAGAGCGAGACTCCGTCTCAAAAAACTAAAATAAAATAAATAAACCCCCCAAAATCCGGAATGCAAAACAAACCTAGGCCTACGCCTTTCACATAAGGAACTGCGTGTGGATCTGTGCTAAAAACTCTACCAATAATACAGTAATTTTACAACCCACAGCAGAAAATGCTTTCAAAGGCGGTTGTTACAAATAATGTAATAGTAGTCAAATTAGCGTTGGCTCTGAGTCCAGCACTGTGCTCCGCGCTGCACACGCAGTCTCACGCCGTCCTCACGATGGCGCTGTGGGGCCTGGCTGAGGTTTCTAGGGGAAGGGGCTTTAGGGAATCCAGGCTCTCTGGCTGTGTGACCCCTCCAAGCTAGCGACTTGGACTACGTGCAACAGACCAGGTATCTCTGGACTTCAGTTTCTCGGGAGAGGCGTCCATGAGGAGGTCATGCATACAAAGCATTTAGCACAGTGGCAGATATGAGCCAGTGGGCCTGGAGAATGATTTACCAGCGTGGGGGAGGCCTGGCTTCCAGAAAACTAGCTCTGGGGTGTCTGAGATCAGTCACCTTGAGGTCCCTGGTGCAATCTAGGGCCATCAGAAGGGACTGCAAAGACCCAAGGGCAGAGGTAAAGGGAGAAAATGGGTCGCGGCCCCAGCCTGACCGAAACTGAACCTCCGGATTAATTCAGTTGTCTATAGCTGGGGGGATGGGGAGGACAGGGGAGTCCTAAGGTGGAAGGGTACAGGTTTGTCATTGCCACAGAGAGTGCGTGTGGTGAAGGGATTTAATTTAAGATCAGCCCCGGGCTTCTGAGAATCTGGCCCTGGGAAGCAACGTAAATACAAGAAAATCCCTGTGGCCAGGGACTTTGATCCAAGTGTTTCGAATCAGGCCCTGGGTCGGGCTCACAGCTAAGCGGTTTACCAACCGTGGACCTGTGCAGGATCCCATGGATGTGAGGGGTGGAGACGGCCGCAAGCAGGAGGCCAGGACCAGAAGGAAACGGAATTTGGGTGGGGGTGGGGAGCTAGGACCAGTCCCCCCGCGGGGGCGTCTTGGGGATGTGGAACTCGCACACCCAGAGGAGGTGGCTCTCCCAGGGGTGGGCCCCGGATCCTAGGGGCGCGGGGCTGGCCCCGCTCCCCGCTGGCCTCGCGGCAACTGGGCCTCCCCCTCGCTGCACGCAGCCCTCCAAGCTCCCCCGCCCGCCCGCCCTCGCTCCCGCTGGGCCCCGCAGCCGGAGGAGGGGCGGCCTCCCGCCCCCGCCCGCTGGATCTCAGAGTCGCCGCCCCCGGCGCCGGGCTGCAGCCGCCACGCCCCGGGAGAGGACCGACCGCCCAGACCGCCGGTCCCGGGGCCCCCTGGGCCACGCCGATCACGGGGAGCCCCTCGACTGCCTCCCAGAACAAAGTGGGAAAGGGAAGCTTAGCCCGCCGCTGCCGCCTCCGAGCAGCCCGCCAGGTGAGCGCCGGGACAGGTAGGGGACCCAGGTCGGGACCCAAGCGTCAGTCCCGTTCTCGCCCACAGCTGGGGCGCCCCGGGAAGGATTCCCGCGCCAGGCCCTGCCCGGAGGGGCGGGTCCCTGGGAGTCCCATAACCCGCAGCGTCGCTTTCCCGGGCCCTCCCTCGGCCTGAGGCTCCTTTAAACCCAAAGTTATACAAATGCACGTTAGAAAGCCCTAAATCTGGAAGGGCTTTGCTTTGAACGTGGGTGTTCGAACGCCCAGGCCTCTCCATCCCTGCGCTCGTCCGCGGAGGCCACCATCCAAAACCCCTGCCAAACGCTGCAAACCAACACGTGGGCGCAACAGCCCGGGGAAGGCCAGGCCGCTTTTTACCGTTGCTGGATTTTCTGTCTTCTGGCCGTCAGTCCCTTCGCAGAATCTGTGAATCAGAAGCCTTGGAGGGCGGTTTCTCGATTTAGCAACTTGGGCACATTATGTGTTTCGCTGCGGCCCCAACCCTCAATTTAAATTTTGTTCTGCCAAGTTACTTTTGCAATGTTCAGTGATATGTTCGAAAGCTCTGTATACTGCCTCTTCAACTTTAGACAGCGTCTATTTACTCCATATTTTGAAAGACAAATATTATGGGAGTCTAGTTGTAAAATAAATAATACTTCTTTAAAAATGTTCCAGTAATACACGACACTCAGACACGTAGGACAGGACAGAGCTTTGCATGGAAAACAACACGCCTTTAAACAACAACCTCTCCCTCACCACCGCCCCCAACCCCTGTCGGCCAAATACATTTTTTTGTTAACTACATTACTTTTCAAAAATGGCAAGAAGTAACTCGTGATCGCTGGTGCCTCGTTTTTAACTTTTTCCACTTTTTATTCCTCTGGTATCTATTTCCAAATCTTTACAGCATATTTTTGGATTGTTATTTCTTATTTCATCAACTTTTAGACAACGCGTCCATGGATCCCTTGCTAAAAATAGGAGACAACTTTGATCATCTCCGTGGTTTTCCTCCTCCCTATATAATCACCTCCCTGTATAGTCAGGACATTACTTTCGGCTTCTCTATTGGCTACTTTTCTAACATAAAATAATTTTTTTAACTTGTATTTATTGTTCCATTAAATATACCTAGTATCTGTTGACTCTCTTTTTGTAAGGCTTGGCTAAGGAGCTTCTTTTTAAAAAATATATTTTTAGGCCGGGCGTGCGCGGTGGCTCACGCTTGTAATCCCAGCACTCTGGGAGGCCGAGGCGGGCGGATCACCTGAGGTCAGGAATTCAAGACCAGCCTGGCCAACATGAACCCCGTCTCTACTAAAAGTACAAAAATTAGCCAGGCGTGGTGGTAGGCGCCTGTAATCCCAGCTACTCAGGAGGCTGAGGAAGGAGAATCGCTTGAACCCTGGAGGTGGAGGTTGCAGTGAGCCAAGATTGTGCCATTGCACTCCAGCCTGGGTGACAAGAGCAAGACTCTGTCTCAAAAAAAAAAAAACTATATATGTACATATATATATGTGTGTATATATATGTGTATATATATATATGTATATATATATATACACATATATATTTGAGACCCTGTCTCAAATCAAATCAAATCAAATCAAAACTGTGTTGCCCAGGCTGGAGTACAGTGTCGTAATCATGGCTCACTGCAGCCTCAACCTCCTGGGCTCAAGAGATCCTCCCACCTCAGCCTCCTGAGTAACTAGGGCTACAGGTGCACGCCCCCCCACCAAACCCCACTAATTTTTTTATTTTTTGTGGATACGGGGTTTTGCCGTGTTACCCAGGCTGGTCTCGAACTCCTGGGCTCAAGCCATCTGCTCGTCTTGGCCATCAAAAGTCCTGGGATTACAGGTGTGAGCCACCGGCGCCCAAACAAAAAGATATATTTTTAAAATAACATTTTTGTATTTATGTAAATATTAATTTCTTCAATTCTAATCAAATTCTACATATGGCTTAGAAATCAAATAGAAAAGTTTGCCTTAATTTTTTCTATAATAAAAGTATGTAATCTCTTTTAGAAGAATGGAAAACGAAGTGTTTTAGATTAAAAGAGATGAGTGAGACCTGCCACCCCCACTGGTGTTTGAGCCCCCACGGGGATCTTGTTAGGAGGAAACAGCCACAGAAGACCTGCTAGAGACAGCAGGGGAAATTGTTCACGGAGTGGGTATTGATGGCAGAATGAATTTTTGAGGCAGAATCTCTCTCTGTCGCCCAGGCTGGAGTGCAGTGGCACAATCTCGGCTCACTGCAACCTCCACCTCCTGGGTTCAAGCGATTCTCCTGCCTCAGCCTCCCTAGTAGCTGGGATTACAAGCATGTGCCACCACGCCTGGCTAATTTTTTTGTATTTTTAGTAGAGATGGGGTTTCACCGTGTTGGTCAGCCTGGTCTCGAACTCCTGACCTCGTGATCCACCCGCGTTGGCCTCCCAAAGTGCTGGAATTACAAGCGTGAGCCACCACGCCTGGCCAGGTTGCCCTTAATCTTAGGAGATTCATTAGGAAGTACTGAAGAGTAGTTCATCAAGGCCGCCAGGCCGGTGACTTATGCCTGTAATGCCAGCACTTTGGGAGGCTGAGGAGTTCGAGACCAGCCTGGCCAACATGTTGAAACCCTGTCTCGACAAAAATAAAAATTTAGCAGGGCATGATGGCGGGTACCTGTAATCCCAGCTACTTAGGAGGCTGAGGCGGGAGAATAGCTTGAACCCAGGAGGTGGAGCTTGCAGTGAGCCGAGATCGCGCCATTGCACCCCAGCCTGGGCGACAAGAGCAAAACTCTGTCCAAAAAGAAAAGAGAGAGTGCAAATATGGCAAAATATGGAGCAGATAGTGATGTTCATTTGATTACTCTTTCAACTTGTCTATAGAATGAAATTTCATAGTAAAAATTGGGAGAAAATAAAGTAAGATTATTTTGAAACAAAGAAAGAGACAGAAGACATGTATACAGTAGCACAAACTATGGAGTCCAATATACCAAGATTCAAATCCCAGCAGGTTTTTTTTTTTTTTCTTTGAGATGGGGTCTCACTCTGTCGCCCAGGCTGCAGTGCAGTGGCACAATCACAGCTCACTGCAACCTTGACCTCCTGGGTTCAAGCAATTCTCCTGCCTCAGCTTCCTGAGTAGCTGGGATTACAGGTGCGTGCCACCACACCCAGCTAATTTTTATATTTTTAGTAGAGATGGGGTTTCATCATGTTGGCCAGGCTGGTCTCGAACTCCTGACCTCAGGTGATCCACCTGCCTTGGCCTCCCAGAGTGCTGGGGATAACAGGTGTGAGTGAGCCACTGCTCCCGGCCTAGTTTTTTTGTTTGTTTTTTTCTATCATTCTTTTCCCTTGGTCCCAGCTTATAAAACCCACCATTCTCTTACTACCCAGTGGGGGTCTCAGTCTGTTTTGTAAAATGGAGGCTGCCCCATTCAAGAATCTTGAATAAAAGCCCATTAGATCTATAACTAAATTTGTTGTAATTTTGTCTTTTGACATGGCTCTGTTGCTTCTTTGTTGGGTGACCTTGGGCACGTTGCTGTCATCCTCCAAGCCTCAGTTTCCCCATGTGCCTACTTCATGGGGTGGTTTGAGGCTTCTGTGAGATTTTGTAAAGCAATTCCCACATGCCTAGAGCAAAGTAAGTGCTCAGTTAACAGTAGCTGTTAGTATTCTGTGAAGGCATCTCCTTAACTATTATAGCCTGTTCACCTATGACTAACACTGTCAACATAACTGCTGCAGCTGGGCCCTTTTTCTTTTCTTCTTTTTTTTTTTTTAATTGGCACAGGGTTTCACTCTCACCCAGGCTGGAGTGCAGTGGCACAGTCTTGGCTCACTGCAGCCTCAACTTCCTGGGCTCAAGTGATCCTCCCACTTCAGCCTCCCGAGTAGCTGGGACCACAAGTGCACACCACCATGCCTGGCTAATTGTTAAATTTTGTTTGTAGAGACAGGGGTCTCACTATGTTACCCAAGCTGGTCTTAAACTCTTGGGCTCAAGCCATCCTCCTGCCTTGGCCTCTCAAAGTGCTGGGATTACAAGCGTGAGCCACAGCACCCAGTCACCACCCATTTTTCTAGGGATAGATTTGGAACTTGGTATTTTCTTTTTCCTTTTGCAAATTCAACGAATGATCGTGCCAGAGGTTCAGTTTTTGTCCTGCTGTGTTTCGCCTTGTTTTTTCCTAAGCGTGTCTGTCCTTATCCCACATTCTTCTAGTCTCTGATGGCAGCATATGGAGGTGCCCACGTGGACTCCTCCAATCCCATAGCTGGGTGTTTGCTGCTAATCATAGTAACTCCTCACAGTGGCAGCAAACATTTGTCGAGGGCCAGACCCTGATCTCATGAAATTTCCCTACAACCGTGAGGGGCAGGGGTTATTAGAGGTCCATCATCTCTGATCCAAAGCTCTTGGGGCCAGATGCATTTGGGAGTCTAGACTTTGAATTTTTTTTTTTTTTTTTTGAGATGGACTCTCCTTTGTCACCCAGGCTGGAGTGCAGTGTTGTGATCTTGGCTGACTGCCACCTCCACCTCCCAGGTTCAAGCCATTCTCCTGCCTCAGCCTCCCAAGTAGCTGTGATTATAGGCATGCACCACCACACCCAGCTCATTTTTGTATTTTAGTAGAGATGGGTTTCACTATGTTGACCAGGCTGGTCTCGAACTCCTGACCTCAAGTGATCTGCCTGCCTTGACCTCCCAAAGTGCTGGGATTATAGGCGTGAGTCACCATGCCCAGCCTAGACTTTGAATATTAAGCAAGTCATACGGAGCCCATTTGGTATGTTACATAAGTCCCCTAGTAGGGCTGAGGAGCATTTGTGTAATCAAACACTAATAGGCCTTCAGTGAAATGCACGTTCATTCTCAGGGGAGTAACTAAAGACTATACAAAACCTCATGACAGCTCAAGTCAGCTCCTGCCACCAAATGGGTCTGGGAAAAACTGTTGGTTTTCTGAGCTTTTGAACATGTAGATTGTGGATGACAGATGTGGACCTGCATATTTCCCATCTTGCAGAGGGGACATCCTCACACACGAAGAGAGAAAGGGCCAGCCGTGGTGGCTCACGCCTATAATCCCAGCACTTTGGGAGGCTGAGGTGGGCAGATCATTTGAGGTCAGGAGTTCTAGACCAGCCTGGCCAACATGGTGAAACCCCATCTCTACTAAAAACACAAAAATTAGCCAGGCATGGTGGTGTGTGCCTGTGGTCCCAGGTCCAGAAGAGGCTGAGTCAGGAGGATCGATTTAGTCCAGAAATTGGAGGCTGCAGTGAGCTATGATCGTGGCCATGCACTCCAGCCTGGGCAACACAGTGAGACCCTGTCTCAAAAAAAAATTTTTTTTTTTTTTTGCTTTTGATAATCATTCATGTTCTGGGTACTTGTGGCTTATTCCTTATTTTGTATTTGTATTATTTATAATATTTGTATTTGCAATATTTGTATTATTGTGCTATATAGTAGTCCATCTTATCTTATTAATGACTTATTTGTATGTGCTACAGTGGACAGGCATCTGGGACTTTTCCAATCTGAAGCTGTTAGGAACACCACCACCATGAATATTCTTGTATGTGTTTTCTGGCTCTGGGGTGGAGTTGCTGGGTCATGGGGCAGGCACATTTTCATTTTTACTTCAGTAAAAAATGTCCAGTGGGCCAGGCACAATGGCTCATGCCTATAATCCCAGCACTTCGGGAAGCCAAGGCAGGAGGATCACTTGAGCTCAGGAGGTTGAGACCAGCCTGGCCAACGTGGTGAAACCCTGTCTCTACTAAAAATACAAAAATTAGCAGAGCATGGTGGCAGAGTAGCTGTAATCCCAGCTACCTGGGAGTCTGAGGCACAAGAATCACTTGAACCCAGAAGGTGGAGGTTGCAGTGAGTCGAGATCATGCCACTGCACTCCAGCCTGGGCGATAGAGTGAGATTCAGTCTCAAAAAAAAAAAAAAAAAAAAAAAAAAGCCCAGTGGTTTCCAAAGTGATTCCAAATGGATTCCACCAGGAATGTATGGGAGTTCTCTTTGATAGTATTTTTAGTGAATTGCAGTAACATTGCACTGTTTTGTGTTTGCTCATTTTCTTTTTTCTTTTCTTTCTTTTTTTTTTTTTTTGGAGATGGAGTCTCTGTCACCCAGGCTGGAGTGCAGTGGCGGGATCTTGGCTCACTGTAGCCTCAACTTCTGGGCTCAAGCGATCCTCCCACCTCAGCCTCTCTAATAACTGGGACTACACACACACGCCACCATGCCCTGCTAATTTTTTTGTAGAGACGGGGGTCTCACTATGTTGCCCAGGCTCGTCTTGAACTCGTGGGCTCAAGCGATCATCCCACCTTAGCCTCCCAAAGTGCTGGGATTACAGGTGTGAGCCATCGCACCCAGCTGTACATTTGCTTTTACATTGTCAAGGTGGAAACATCTACAGTCTGTTCTGTTTCCATATTTAAGCCCTACATGCTTTAATTGCAAAGTTTGCTGTGTTTTTTTAATCAGCTTTTTTGAGGTGTAATTTACATACCAAAAAATTCAGCCCTGTTAAAGTGGACAACTTTGTGGCTTTTAGTGACTTTACAGAGTTGTGCAACCATCACCACCGTAACAAAGCATGTTCATCACCCCCAAAATATCCCTTGTGCCTATTTGTAGTCACTCTGTTCCCAGCCTAGCCCAAGGCAACTACTAATCTACTTTCTGATCAAAAAGATTTGTCTTTTCTGGTCATTTCATAGAAGCACATCATATAATATGTGTCCTTTTGCATCTGGCCTCTTTCATGTAGCATATTGCTTTGGAGTTTATTCATACTATAGCATGTTTATTCCTTTTTACTGCTTAAAAATATTCTATTTTGTGGACATGGCACATTTTATATATCCATTCATCAGCTAATAGACATTTGGAGTGTTTCCAAATGTATAAAGCTGCTATGAACATTAGCATATGAGAGTTTGCATGGAGGTAGAAGGTGTATTTTCATTTCTCTTGGGTAGATAATCTAGTCGTAGAATTGCTAGGTTTCATATAAGTTTATGTTTAACTTTTTTTTTAATTTTTTTTTTTTTTTAGAGACAGGCTCTTATTCTGTCTCCCAAGCTGGAGGGTGGTGGCGCATTCATAGCTCACTGCAGCCTGGAACTCCTGGACTCAGGGGATCCTCCTACCTCGGCCTCCCAAAGTGCTGACATTACAGGCATGAGCCACTGCACCCAGCCATGTTCAACTTTTTTTTTTGGAGACAGAGTCTTGCTCTGTTGCCCAGGCTAGAGTGCAGTGGTACAGTCTTGGCTCACTGCAACCTCCACCTCCCAGGTTCAAGTGATTCTCCTGCCTTAGCCTCCCGAGTATCTGGGATTACAGGCGCCTACCACCATACCCGGCTAGTTTTTGTGTTTTTAGTAGAGACAGGGTTTCACCATGTTGGCCAGGCTGGTCTCGAACTCTTGACCTCAGGACTCCCAAAGTGCTGGGATTACAGGTATGAGCCACCGAGCCTGGCCTCAACTTTTAAAGAAACTGCCTAATGGTTTTCCAGGTTAGCTGTACATCTTACATCCCCACCAGCGATGCCTGAGGGTTCCAGTTTCTTTATATCCTCGACTACACCTGTCAGTATCGTCAGTTTGAGTAATAGCCAGGGTAGTGGGTATGAAGTGGTGTCTCATTGTGAATTTAATTGGCATTTCCCAGCTGGGCATGGTGGCTCATGCCCATAATCCCAGCACTTTGAGAGGTCAAGGAAGGAGGATCCCTTGATCCCAGGAGTTCAAGACCAGCCTGGGCAATATAGGAAGACCCATCTCTATAGAAAATTCAACAATTAGCTGAATGTGGTGGTGGGTGCATCTGTAGTCCCAGCTACTTGGGAGGCTGAAATGGGAGACTCACTTGAGCCCAGGAGGTTGAGGCTGCAGTGAGCCAAGATCGTGCCACTGCACTCCAGCCTGAGCAACAGAGAAGACCATATCTCAAAAAAAAAAAAAAATTGCATTTTCCTAATGACTAATGAAGTGGAGCATCATTTCATGTGCTCATTACTCATTTGTATATGTTCTTTGGTGAAATGTCTACTCAAATCTTTTGTCTTTCTTTCTTTTTTATTTTTATTTTTTTGAGATGGAGTTTCACTCTTGTTGCCCAGGCTGGAGTGCGATGGCGTGATCTCAGCTCACTGCAACCTCTGCCTCCCAGGTTCAAGCGATTCTCCGGCCTCAGCCTCTTGTGTAGCTAGGATTACAGGCTAATTTTTTGTATTTTTAGTAGAGACAGGGTTTCACCATGTTGGCCAGGCTGGTCTTGAACTCCTGACCTCAGGTGATCCACCTGCCTCAGCCTCCCAAAGTGCTGGGATTACAGGCGTGAGCCACTGTGCCCGGCCTTTTGTCCATTTTTTAACTGGTTTATCTCATTGAGTTTTATGAGTTATTTATATATTCTATACACAAGTGCTTTATCAGATATATAATGTGCAAGTACAAAAGTTTTAACTTATGATAATGTCTAATTTATCCAGTTTTTCTTTTATGAATCATAGTTTTTGGTGTTGGATCTAAAAAATCTCTGCTTAACACAAGATCATGAGATTTTCTCCTGTTTTCTTCTCAAAGTTTTATAGTTTTAACTCTTAAATTTAGATGTATGATTAATTTCATGTTGATTCTGGTATGAGGTAATAGTCTAAATTCATCTTTTTGCATATAGATTTCCAGTTGTCCCAGCACCATTTGTTGAAAAGAGTCTTTTTCCCAAGAAAACCCGTAAGTAAAGCCAATGTAAAGAGAATGCCCCTAGCCTCCAGGTCAAAAGGATTCCTTTTTTGTGAACTTTATCAAATAGCTGTAACACAGATACAGTTTTATGTTTTTCCTAGAATTTCTCATAGCTTTAATTTTTCCATTTTGAAAGAGGCGTTTTTCTGTTAGTAACTCATCCAATCCATTTCTTTGGATTTCTTTTTCTTCTTGTAGACATTCTTCCTTTTATAGTATCCTGTTCTTACTCTGTTTAGAACATCTTTGCAAATCTAAGTGTTCCCAGGACTAGCTACATAATTTGCATGGCCCATTGCAAAATGAAAATGCAAGGTCCCTTGTTCAGAAATAATTAAGAATGTTGAGGCCAGGCTCGGTGGCTGAGGCCTGTAATCCTAGCACTTTGGGAGGCTGAGACGGGAGAATCATTTGAGGCCAGGAGTTTGAGACCAACCTGGGCAACATAGTGAGACCCCATCTCCACACACACACACACACACACACACACAAAATTTTTAATTTAAGAGAATGTTGGCCGGGCATGGTGGCTCATGCCTGTAATCCCAGCACTTTGGGAAGCCGAGGTGGGTGGATCACCTGAGGTCAGGAGTTCGAGACCAGCCTGACTAACATGGTGAAACCCTGTCTCAACTAAAAATACAAAAATTAGCCGGGCGTGGTAGTGCGCACCTGTAGTCCCAGCTACTCGGAAGGCTGAGACAGGAGAATCGCTTGAACCCAGAAGTGGAGGTTGCAGTGAGCCAAGATCACGCCACTGCACTCCTGCCTGGGTGACAGAGTAAGACTCCATCTCAAAAAATAAATAAATAAATAAAAATAAATAAATAAAAAGAATGTTGAGGCTGGGAGCAACGGCTCATGCCTGTAATTCCAGCATTTTGAGAGGCTGAGGTGGGCAGATTGCCTGGGGTCAGGAGTTCAAGACCAGCCTGCCCAACATGGTGAAACCCCGTCTCTACTAAAAATATAAAAATTAGCTGGGAATGGTGGCTCATGCCTGTAATCCCAGCACTTTGGGAGGCTGAGGTGGGTGGATCACCTGAGGTCAGGAGTTCAAGACCAGCCTGGCCAACATGGCGAAACCTCGTCTCTACTAAAAATACAAAAATTAGCCTGGCTTGGTGGTTCGTGCCTGTAATCCCAGCTACTCAGGAGGCTGAGGCTGGAGAACCGCTTGAACCCAGGAGGTGGAGATTGCAGTGAGCTGAGATCATTCTGTTGCACTCCAGCCTGGGCAACAAGAGCAAAACTCCATCTCAAAAATAAATAAAAATAAAAATACTAAAATTAGCCAGATGTGGTGGTGGGCGCCTGTAGTCCCAGTTACTCAGGAGGCTGAGGCACGAGAATCACTTGAACCCAGGAGGCGGAGGTTGCAGTGAGCTGAGATTGTGTCATGCACTCCAGCCTGGGCGACAGAGAGAGACTCCATCTCAAAAAAAAAAAAGAAAAGAAAAAGAATGTTGAGATGGCCACAGTGGAGCATTGAAAAGAGGGTGGGCCACATGTGAACGCACAGGTTGCATGCCCATGAAGCCAGTCCTGAGTGTACCAGTTAGGGTTTTTTCTTTTCCTCCATGTTCTTTTGGTCCTGTGAATTGTCTGTTTCCTCTGGGGTCAGTTCACTTTCCTTCTGCTTGTTTACTTAAATGTTTCTCTTTCAGGCTGCTAGTTTTCTTAAACATCTGATGGTCCTTGCTATCCCGCCACTTTTTCAAACAAGAGGCTGGGTGACTGTGGTTTTTTGTTTGCTTGTTTTTAAGTCACTGGTATGACATTTGGGGCTGTTATAAATACAGTCCTTTCCCACTGGCCTCTTGGTCAAGTTGGATGGATGACTGTGAACTCTGTGTTCTGTGGACAGCACTTGTTCATGTTAGCAGGGACAAAAACAGTCTTTGTGCTGGGAGCTCACTCCCGGATGCCAGATGGGGAGGGCTTTACTCAGTAACACCAGCAGCATCCACACTTCCCAGGGGCTGCATGCAATTTTTTTTTCTTTTCTTTTTTTCTTTGAAATGGGGTCTCACTCTGTCACCCAGGCTGGAGCACAGTGGTGTGATCATAGTTCACTGCAGCCTCCACCTCCTGAGCTCAAGCACTCCTCCCACCTCAGCCTCCCGAGTAGCTGGGACTACAGGCGCTTGCAACCATGTCTGGTTAATTTTATATTTTGTAGAGATGGAGGTCTTGCTATGTTGCCCAGGCTGGTCTGGAACTCCTGGCCTCAAGCAATCCCCCTGCCTCATTCTCCCAAAATGTTGGGATTACAGGCATAAGCCACCATGCCTGGCTAAAATAGTTAAAAATTAATAAGGGATGGGAGGCTGAGGCAGGAGAATCGCTTGAACCTGGGAGGCAGAGGTTGCAGTGAGCCGAGATCACGCCACTGCACTCCAGCCTGGGTGACAGGGTGAGACTCCGTCTCAAACAAACAAACAAAAATTAATAAGGGAGAATCGGGTAGAGGAAAGTATCCTGAAGGTATGAAAAGGAAACCATTCTGTGTAAACTTTTTATAAGATTGACAATACCAATACCAGGTGCTGGCAACTGCAATGCATATAGAATTTTTGGGAATGCAGATGGCACAATCATGCTGGAAAACTGCTGGGCATTTTCTTGTAACGTTAAATATACACCTGCCATGTGACTCAAAAATTCTACTCCTAAGTATCTACTCAAGAGCAATGAAAATGGCTGGACACGATGGCTCACTCTTACAATCCCAGCACTTTGGGAAGCCGAGGCAGGCAGATCACTTGAGGTCAGGTGTTTGAGACCAGCCTGGCCAACATGGTGAAACCCTGTCTCTACTAAAAATACAAAAATTAACTAGGTGTGGTGGCGCACACCTGTAATCCCAGCTACTTGGGAGGCTGAGGCAGGAGAACTGCTTGAACCCGGGAGGTGGATGTTGCAGTGAGCCGAGATTGCACCACTGCACTCCAGCCTTGGTGATAGAACAAGACTCTGTCTCCAAAAAAAAAAAGCAAAGAAAACATATGTCCACACAAACACTTGTACATGAATATTCATAGCAGCCTTATTCATAATACCCCTAAGCTGGAAACAACCCAAATGTCCATCATACTGAGTGGATAAACAGGTTGTAGATTATGTGTTCAGTGGACTATTACCCAGCAATAAAAAGGAATAGACTACTGATTGATACACAACAAGTGGATGGGCCAAGCGCGGTGGCTCATGCCTGTAATCCCAGCAATTTGGGAGGCCAAGCTGGGAAGATCGCTGAGCCCAGGAGTTCAAGGCTAGCCTGGGCAACATAGCAAGACCCTGTCTCAAAAAAAATTTAAAAATTAGCCAGGCATGGTGGGGTGCACCTGTGGTCCCAGCTACTTGGGAGGCTGAGATGGGAGGATTGCTTGAGCCTGGGAGGTCATGGCAGCAGTGAGCTATGATGGCGCCACTGCCCTCCAGCCTGGGCAACAGAGTGAGACCCTGCCTCAAAAAAAAAAAAAAAGTATGAGTGAATCACACGGACATTATGCTGAAGGAGAGGACAAATAACCCTAAGCCATGCCTACAACTCAAGGAATATTACAGGCATGAGCCACTGTGCCTGGCCCAGATGACTTCTTCACAAGGAGACACATACTGTGTGTATCAGTCAGGATCCAACCAGGAGACAAACCACACAGTAATTTAAACAGCGATTGTTTAATATACAGAATTGTTAACTATGATAGGGGATTTGAGTAAGAGGAACTGGTTACTAAGAAATAAAGAGAATGCTAACGAATGTAGAAATAGACTGGGCACAATGGCTCACACCTGTAATCCCAGCACTTTGGGAGGCAAGGCAGGTGGATCACGAGGTCAAGAGATCGAGACCATCCTGGCCAACATGGTGAAACCCCGTCCCTACTACAAAAAGTAGCTGGGCGTGGTGGCGTGTGCCTGTAGTCCCAGCTACTCAAGGAGGCTGAGGCAGGAGAATAGTTTGAACCCAGGAGGCAGAGGTTGCGGTGAGCCGAGATCTTGCCACTGCACTCCAGCCTGGGTGACAGAGAGAGACTCCATCTCAAAAAAAAAAGGAAAGAAAAAGAAAAAAGAAAGAAAGAAATAGCAGATACAAGGAGCAGCCACTCCTCCTAAGTCTAAGATAGCCCGAGAAAGATGAGAGCCCCAGGCTGAGACCCCGACCTTGCTGGAGTAGTCTTGGCCATGGCTCACCGAAGGACAAAGGCATCCCTATGGTGCGGCACCAGTAGAATGCGGCAGAAGTCCATTCAGTAAGATGGTGGGGAGAGCAGCTGACAGGGAAGTGTCTCAGCTGAGGTGGGTGCTGCTGACTGCCATATTTCAGGAGCCATGTGCCAGAGAAACTTCCTGACACTAAAGAAACCGCACGCATGTAGGAGTCAGAGGCTGGAGAAGCATGCTCGCTGCAGGAGTAGCTGCCCTGCAGGAGCCAAGTCTGGAAACTGGAAGCCAAACCCTTTCCTCCTACAACGTCTCTCCAGCGCCCTCTACTGAAAAAAACTTAGCATCATGTCAGTCAGCAAAGGAAGAAGATTTAAAGGGCCAAACTCCAATTATTATTTATTTTTTTTTATTTTTTTTTTTTGAGACGAAGTTTCGCTCTTCTTGTCCAGGCAGGAGGCAGGCGTAAGCCACCGTTCCCGGAGCTTTTTTTTTTTTTTTTTTTTTTAACAGCGTCCCTGGGTGGGCTAGAACCAAACTCCAGTTTCGCAGCTTAGAACAATGAGGTCGTAGGTTGATAGCCGACACTCTATATGATTCCATTTACGTGAAATTATAGAAAAGAAAAATTGAATTTATAGTAACAGAAAGAAGCCGGGCACGGTGGCTCACGCCTGTAATCCCAGCACTTTGGGAGGCCGACGCAGGCGGATCACTTGAGCTCAGGAGTTCAAGACCAGCCTGGCCAACATGGTGAAACCCTGTCTCTACTAAAAATACAGAAATTAGCCGGGTGTGGTGGTGCGCACCTGTAATCCCAGCTACTCCGGAGGCTGAAGTAGAAAAAATCTCTTGAACCCGGAAGGCGGAGGTTGCAGTGAGCCGAAATCGCGCCCCTGCACTCCAGCCTGGAGGACAGAGCAATACTACGTCTCAAAAACAAAACAAAACAAAACAGAATAGTAGTTGACTTTGGGTGGGAGTAGGGAGGTTGGCTGGGAAGGGATAAACCTTTTGGGGCAATAGAAATGTTCCATATCGGCTGGGAGCGGTGGCTCACACCTGTAATCGCAGCACTTTGGGAGGCCGAGTTGGGTGGATCACCTGAGGTCAGGAGTTTGAGACCAGCCTAGCTAACATGTGAAATCCCATCACTACTGAAAATATAAAAATTAGCTGGGTGTGGTGGCGCACGCTTGTAATCTCAGCTACTTGGGAAGCTGAGGCGGAAGGATTGCTTGAACTTGGGAGGAAGAGATTGCAGTGAGCTGAGATCATGCTACTGCACTCCAGCCTGGGTGACAGAGTAAGACGCCATCTCAAAAAAAAAAAGATTTAAAATCAATTGAAATAAAATTGCTACATTTTAAACAGATACAATTAATAAAACTTAACTAATAAAGTAAAAATAATACTTTATAAAATGAACACAGTTAATTGAGGCTGCTGCTGTGTTAGTAAAACCCGTTCAATACAATGAACCTTGAAGATGAAAGTATATTATCTGGGCCATGCGCAGTGGCTCACGCCTGTAATCCCAACACTTTAGGAGGCCAAGGCGGGAGGATCACTTGAGGTCAGGAGTTCGAGACCAGACTGGCCAACACAGTGAAACCCCGTCTCTACTAAAAATACAAAAAATCAGCCTGGCGTGGTGGTGCGCACCTGTGATCCCAGTTACTCAGAAGGCTGAGGCAGGAGAATTGCTTGAACTTGGGAGGCGGAGGTTGCAGTGAGCGGAGATCATGCCGTTGCACTCCAGCCTGGGCGACAGAGCAAGACTCCATATCAAAAAAAAAAAAAAAGTGGCCGGGTGCAGGGGCTCATGCCTGTAGTCCCAGCACTTTGGGAGGCCGAGGCAGGTGGTTCACCTGAGGTCAGGAGTTCAAGACCAGCCTGGCCAACATGTGAAACCCTGTCTTCACTAAAAATACAAAAATTAGCCGGTGTGGGTGGCACGCACCTGTAATCCCAGCTACTCGAGAGGCTGAGGCAGGAGAATCCCTTGAATCTGGGAGGCGGAGGTTACAGTGAGCCGAGATCGTGCCACTGCACTCTAGCCTGGGGGACAGAGCGAGACTCTGTCTCAAAAAAAAGATATTATTTGGTTTGTTTCCGAAAGTAGCTGGACAGACCAGGTGAAAATAGAGAGAAATGTCTAAGGAGCGCCAGCTGTTCGGGTCTCCTCACTTCAGCTGCTAGACTAGGATGGAAGAAGCCTCAGATGACCCAGCCCCATCCACCATCTGACGGCAAAGGCACAAGTTCCCTAAGTGAGGACCGCATAGCTGATCCCAGTCCCCAGAGCCATAAAAAAAAAAAAGGAATAATGGCTTATTATAAATATACTCTGGCAAAATTATACTCTGGACAGACCAAAAACAAACTGGTATCATGATTCACAGAGGTATTTTTTGTGCAGAATTTTCCAGTCAGTATAAAAAGGTCTCTGGCCTCAAAAAAACTATACAATTTGAGAATCTGCTGAGGAGATACTTATAAGCTAACTCTTAATCATTTTCACAGATTCTTCTATTTTAAAATAGTAACATCTTTTGTTTGATGGCTTTGAGGAAAGTTTTTGGACATCTTTTTGTTCCTTTCCATGGACTGCCATATCTGTTTTTCTTGTTTTCATCATTTTTAGCAAACGTTGAGGGTTTTGGGTATGTGTTCTGTTTTGGTAGTGGTGGTGGTGTTTTTTATTTGTTTGTTTTTGGAGACAGAGTCTCACTCTGTCACCCAGGCTGGAATGCAGTAGTGCAATCATAGCTCACTGTACCCTTGAACTCCTGGCCACAAGCAATCCTCTCACCTCAGCCTCCCGAGTATGTGGTACTACAAGTGTACACCACCAGGTCCAGCTAATTTTTTAATGTTTACTTTTTTAGAGATGGGGTTTCACTGTGTTGCCCAGGCTGGTCTCGAACCCCCGGGTTCAAGCGATCCTCCCACCTCAGCCTCCCAAAGTGCTGGGATGACATGCATAAGCCATGGTACCCAGCTCATTTTTAGCAAACCTTTTATAGAAAGTGCACAAATTGCACAGCCTAATGAATCCCAGCACTTTGGGAGGCCAAGGTGGGCTGATCACAAGGTCAAGAGTTCGAGACCAGCCTGGCCAACATGGTGAAATCCCGTCTCTACTAAAAAAAAAAAAATACAAAAATTAGCTAGGCATGGTGGCGTGTGCCTGTAATCCCAGCTACTCTGGAGGCTGAGGCAGGACAATTGCTTGAATCCAGGAGGTGGAGATTGCAGTGGGCCGAGATTGGGCCATTGCACTCCAGCCTGGGCAACAGAGGAAGACTCTGTCTCAAAAAAAAAAAAAGAAAGAAAGAAAGAAAGAAAGACAGGCAGAGGCTGCATACTCTTTTATGATCCAGCCTCAGAAATCCCTTAGCAGGCCGGGCACAGTGGCTCCTACCTATAATCCCAGCACTTTGGGAGGCCAAGGCGACAGGATCACTTGAGCCCAGGAAGAGACCAGCCTGGGCAACATAGGGAGACCCCTCACTTCTAGAAAAAAAAAATATAAAACAAACGAAGCTGGGCATGGTGGCATGTGTCTGCAGTCCCATCTACTCAGGAGGCTGAGTTGGGAGGATCGCTTGAGCCCAGGAGTTCGAGGCTTCAGTGAGCCATAATCACGCCACTACACTCCAACCAGGCGACAGAGTGAGACTTTGTCTCTTAAAAAGAGAGAGAAAGAGAGAGAGAATGAAATCCCTTAGCAATGTCCCTTCTGCAGTGCTCTGAAAGTTGAGGCAGTTGCAAAAGCCTGCACGTGCCCAGGGGAGGAATGTGGACCCCACAGCTTCACGAGCAGTGGTGAACTGAAAAAGCGTGTCAGATAGGAAATGTTCTCATAGCCACTTTTGAAAAATACAGTCTGCTGTAGTAGCATCCTGGGTCCCTTTGGGTAGCTGAGTACCAATAGCATTCCCCGGTCACTCTGACAGCCAGTAACCTTCCTCCAAACACACACTCTCCCAAAAACCCTGGAAGCAGGCAATACTAGGCCCTACTTGTCCTATTGTGACCCAGCTAGTAGTTGGCATTCAATCTTGCAGTGGGTACTTTTCAACCTTTCCCAAAATTGGCCAGAAGCCCCTCTCAGGCTTATTCTCCAAAATAAGCCTGTCTTTGACTGTTGAGCCACTTTTCGTGTTTCTTTCCTCTTTCCTTTTTTTTTTTTTTTTTTTTTTGAGACAGTTTCACTCTTGTTGCCCAGGCTAGAGTGCAGTGGCACAATCTCAGCTTACCACAATCTCCACCTCCTGGGTTCAAGGGATTCTCCCACTAGTCTCCCAAGTAGCTGGGACTACAGGAGCATGCCACCACACCTGGCTAATTTTGTATTTTTAGTAGAGACGGGTTTCACCATGTTGGCTAGGCTGCTCTCAAACCCCTAACCTCAGGTGATCCACCCACCTTGGTCTCCCAAAGTGCTGAGATTACAGGCATGAGCCACTGTGACTGGCCACAAACTTTTTTTTTTTTTTTTTTGAGGCAGGATCTCACTCTATTGCCTGGGCTGGAATACAGTGGCCCCTTCACGATTCACCACAGCCTCAACCTCCCTGGCTCAGGTGATCCTTCTCCCCTCAGCTCCCAAGTAGCTGGGACTACAGGTGCATGACACTATGCCTGACTAATTTTTTTGTATTTCTTTTGTAGAGAGAGGGTTTCGTCATGTTGCCTAGGCTGGTCTTGGACTCCTGGGCTCAAGCAATCCTCCCGCCTCCACCTCCCAAAGTGCTGGAATTACAGGCGTAAGCCACCACACTGGGGCCCCATACAAGCATTTAATATGGTTTGTGTGGATAGCTGAGGGCTCATTCAGTACATTTCTTGAACATCTCTGCTCCTTGGTGAAGTCTGGCTGCCCTTGTTGGGCGAGGGGCCTACCCCTAGCCCCAGAGATCCTCCTTTTGCCAGTGGGAACACACTCCTAAGAAGAACAGGAACTGCCGGGCGCAGTGGCTCAAGTCTGTAATCCCAGCACTTTGGGAGGCCTAGGCGGGCGGATCACAAGGTCAGGCATTCAAGACCAGCCTGGCCAACATGGTGAAACCCTGTCTCTACTAAAAATACAAAAGTTAGCCAGGCGTGGTGGCAGGTGCCTGTAATCCCAGCTACCCGGGAGGCTGAGGCAGAGAATCGCTTGAACCCGGGAGGCGGAGGTTGCAGTGAGCCGAGATCATGCAACTGCACTCCAGCCTGGGCGACAGAGTGAGACTCCGTCTCAAAAAAACAAAAAAGAAGAAGAGTGGGAACTAAGAACTCCTCCTAAGAAGAACTCCAGGAAACTAAACTCTGGTGCACATCACACCCATGCCAGGCAGACTGGTAGACTTGTTTATAAACCTAGGGAATTTATTTATTTATTTTTGAGACAGAGTCGCTCTGTCACCCAGGCTGAAGTGCAGTGAGTGATGTGATCTCTGCTCGCTGCAACCTCCACCTCGCGGGTTCAAGCGCCGGGCCTCAGTGAACTATTAATGCAACTCAGAACCACCTGGAGAAAAGCACAGCTTGGTCTTTGTAAAGTCTGTCTCCACAGCTTCATTCTTTCTGCGGTAGGAATAAAGATGATGTCAGAGGCTGGGCATGGTGGCTCACACCTGTGAAAATTAATATTAATATTTTAAAAATTAATGTGAAACACTAAATTATGTTAGTTGCCATTATTATGACACATCATTTTTAAAAAGTGACAGCAACTATTTTATTTATTTATTTATTTTGAGGCAGAGTCTCGCTGTGTGCAGTGGCATGATCTTGGCTCACTGCAACCTCCACCTCCCAGGTTCAAGCGATTCTGCTGCCTCAGCCTCCTGAGTAGCTGGGATTACAGGCTCCCACCACCATGCCTGGCTAATTTTTGTATTTTTAGTAGAGACAGGTTTCACCATGTTGGCCAGGCTGGTCTTGAACTCCTGACCTCAAGTGATCCACCCACCTCCGCCTCCCAAAATGCTGGGATTACAGGCATGAGCCACTGTGCCTGGCTGACAGCAACTATTTTAGCTGTGACATTTTCATTTAGTGGCATTTATTGGCCCTTATTAAGCCACGGTGCTGAGCATTTAAGCTGGATCAGCTCATGAATTCTATCATCTTGTTTAATGGGCAAAACTCTCCTTTGAGGATGCCCTTGGTTAAGAGGCTTTAATGATCTAATGCTTGTTATCTTCATGTGCCCAATAAGTGCTCAATTCATGTCAGCTATTGTCATTTTTAAACAAATTAAGGTTTTACTTAAAAAAAAGAAATAAGCCTGTGTCAGGCAAGTAGTCCATGAATGTAGCAAAAATTCCTGACATCATCTTTTTTTTTTTTTTTTGAGACAGAGTCTCAGTCTATCGCCCAGGCTGGAGTGCAGAGGCACGATCTCAGCTCACTGCAACCTCCACCTCCCGGGTTCAAGTGATTCTCCTGCCTCAGCCTCCTGAGTAGCTGGGATTACAGGTGCCCACCACCACGCTCCGCTACTTTTTGTATTTTTTGTAGAGATGGGGTTTCGCCATGTTGCCCAGGCTGGTCTTGAACTCCCGACCTCAGGTGATCCGCTCACCTAAGCCTCCCAAAGTGCTGGGATTACAGGTGTGAGCCACCATGCCTGGACTAATATTAAATTAATATCACTCTTATTTAGGAGCCTACAGGGGCTTTTCCTAAGTGCTTTAAAATACTCATTTCATCCTCACAACAGCCCTATGATGGAGGCACCGTTAGCAGCCCCATTTTCAGAAAGGGAAACTGAGGTATAAAGAGATTAAGTGACTTGCCATTGGTCATATAATTTATAGCAAGAAGTGGAGCTGGAGCCGAGCACAGTGGCTCACACCTATAATCCCAGCACTTTGGGAGGCCAAGGCAGCAGGATCCTTTGAGCCCAAGAGTTTAAGACCAGCCTGGGCAACATGGTGAAACCCTGTCTCTACTAACGATACAAAAATAAGCAGGGCCTGGTGGCACGCACCTGTAGTCCCAGCTAATCAGGAGGCTGAGGCACGAGAATCACTTGAACCTGGGAGCCAGAGGTTGCAGTGAGCTGAGATTGTGCCACTGCACTCCAGTCTGGGTGACAGAGGGAGACTCTGTCTCAAAAAAAAAAAAAAAAAGAAAGAAAGAAAATGTTTTAGAAAGAATGGAAGCAGAAAATACTGGGTAGACAGCTCTTTTGAGAAGTTTTACCACAAAGAGAAACAAAGACGCTGCATGCGGTGACTCATGCCTCTAATCCCAGCAGTTTGGGAGGCTGAGGTGGGAGGATCACTTGAGCCTGGGAGGTTGAGGCTGCAGTGAGCCATGATCACACCACTGCACTCCCACCCGAGTGAAGAAGCAAGACCCTGTCTCAAAAATAAAAATAAAAGGCCAGTTGCAGTGGCTCACGCCTGTGATCCCAGCACTTTGGGAGGCCAAGGCGGGCGGATCATGAGGTCAGGAGATCGAGACCATCCTGGCTAACATGGTGAAACCCCGTCTCTACTAAAAATACAAAAAAATTAGCTGGGCATGGTGGTGGGCGCCTGTAGTCTCAGTTACCCGGGAGGCTGAGGCAGGAGAATGGCGTGAACCCAGGAGGCGGAGCTTGCAGTGAGCCGACATCGCACCACTGCATTCCAGGCTGGGCAACAGAGCAAGACTCCGTCTCAAAAATAATAATAATAATAATAATAATAATAATAATAATAATAATAATAATAAAATAACACATTGTCAGGGCAGGCGCAGTGGCTCACGCCTGTTAATCCCAACACCTTGGGAGGCTGAGGTGGGCGGATCACCTGAGGTCAGGAGTTTGAGAACAGCCTGGCCAACATGGTGAAACCCTGTCTCTACTAAAAATATAAAAATTAGCCAGGTGTGGTGGCGGGCGCCTATAATCCCAGCTACTCAGGAGGCTGAGGCAGGAGAATTGCTTAAACCTGGGAGGTGAAGGCTGCAGTGAGCTGAGATCGCGCCACTGCACTCCAGCCTGGGCAACAAGAGTGAAACTCTGTCTCAAAAAAAAAAAAAAAAAACACATTCTCGGCCCGGCGCAGTGGCTCACACCTGTAATCCTAGCACTTTGGGAGGCTGAGGCAGGTGGATTACCTGAGTTCGGGAGTTCGAGACCAGCCTGGCCAACATGGTGAAACCCTGTCTCTACTAAAAATATAAAAATTAGCCAGGCGTGGTGGCAGAGGCCTGTAATCCCAGCTACTTGGGAGGCTGAGGTAGGAGAATCGCTTGAACCCAGGAGGTGGAGGTTGCAGTGAGCTGAAATCGCGCCACTGCACTCCAGCCTAGGCCACAGATCGAGACTCCATCTCAAAAAAGTAAATAAATAAAAAATAACACATTCTCTGCACACACCCTTGCCCACTTTGGCTTCCTCCTGCATGAGACCCTGGTTAAATCCAGCCTTCCTCTCTGCCGTGCCTGCACCCACACAGCTTGAGTGAGCTAAAAAACAACACAGCCCCCTGGCCAGGCTAATTTCAAGTCTGTGAACTTGACCCTCAGGCGGACCCCAATGCTGCCTGGCAGCCATATGACATTTCTCTGATCCCCTCCTTCCTCCTGTCTTCTAGACAACTAATTCACACCTTTTCCCTTCTCCTCTAATCCTTTCCAACACCTCCTCCCCCCCTTTCACTCTCCCTTGGCTTCTTATTTTGCAGAGAAAATGCAAGAGATGAGAAGTGAACTTCCACAGCCACCCCCGCCTCTACCACCTACCTGCACCCTTGCCCACACCCGTTCTCCTGCTGTGACTGTCCCATCACCTGCTCCCACCTTCCCGCCCACTTCCAGCCACCGTCCCTGGTTCTCACCTCTCTCTGCTGCTCATTCAGTTTCCCCCATGCACTGGATCTCCTGTTAGCCCACACAGCATCCTGTCTCCCATCTCAAAACAAACCCTCTCTCTTTTTTTGTTTTTGTTTTTGTTTTGTTTTGAGACAGGGTCTCACTTTGCCGCCCAGGCTGGAGTGCAGTGGTGCGATCTCAGCTCATTGCAACCTCTGCCTCCTGGGTTCAAGCAATTCTCCTGCCTTGGCCTCCCGAGTAGCTGGGATTACAGGTGCGCCACCACACCCAGCTAATTTTTGTATTTTTAGTAGAGATGGGGTTTCACTATGTTAGCCAGGCTGGTCTCAAACTACTGACCTCAAGTGATCTGCCCACCTCAGCCTCCCAAAGTGCTGGGATTACAGGTGTGAGCTACCGTGCCCAGCCCAAACCCTCTCTTGACTTCACCTCCCCTTCTAGCTACAGCCCCACTTTTTTTGCTATTCTTTTTATTTTATTTAGAGACAGGGTCTCGCTTTGTTGCCCAGGCTGGAGTACAGTGGCATAATCATAGCTCACTGCAGCCTCCAACTCCCGGGCTCCAGCGATCATCCCACCTTAACCTCTGGAGTAGGTGGGACTACAGGTGTGCACCACCACACCCGGCTAATTTTTTCATTTTATTTTTTGTACAGGTGGAGTATCGCTGTGTTGCCCAGGCTGATCTCAAACTCCTGGCCTCAAGCAGTCCTCCCACCTTGCCCTCCCAAAGTGCTGGAATTACAGGCATGAGCCAGCGTGCCAGGTCAAGAATGTTTTTAATGATTAACCATGGAATTTAAGCTGGCTAAGGAAGAAATGAGGGCATGGGAGGGTGAGGGGGAGTAAAATATGAAAGGGACAACGGATGGGAGATCACAGTGGGTTGGAAGGATCATGCGAGTGGGGCACTGGAGGGAATGAGGTGGAAAGAAAAAGTGATGGGTGGAGAGTGAGTGTGAGATTGAGGTTCTGAAGAGGCTGCTGTTATTCAAACAAGGTCTGGGTTTGACCACGAGAGGGAGATGTTGGGGAAGGAAAAAGTCACTAGAGAGAGGTCAGGGAACAGAGAGGTTGGGGCTGCGGAAGAACTATCTGGTTATAGAAATCACTGAGAATGATGCTAAGAGCAGCGGGAGCGGCCGTGAGCCCAGAGCTAAAATTAGGGAGAAGAGAGGAGTCATGATCTGGGTCAGCAGATGACGCATGAAGCAAGGTAGTGATGAGATTCATCGCTGGGGGTTTTGGGGAGGGTGGAGGGAGAATGGTCAGGAAGTAGCTCCCAGGAGCACGGAGACCTCCCCACTTGGAAGGCCCACAGGAGAGCTGGGTTCCAGTTAGAGCAAGAAGGTGGTAGGAATGTTCAGAGAAGTAACTGAGGCAAGAAGAGATTTTGTTGAAGATGGGTCATGGGTTCCAAAGGTCACAGTAGCTGGCACACATTGGGGTATGGGGTAGAAATGGTTTCTTCCGCAGTGGGTTTCCTTGTGGGTCTGTAACCCGACTGAGGTTTGGCCGCTCAACACTCAAAAGCCAAACTCAGGCCAGGCGTGGTGGCTCACGCCTGAAATCCCAGCATTTTGGGAAGCTGAGACAGGTGGATCACTTGAGGTCAGGAGTTTGAGACCAGCCGGCTAACATGGTGAAACCCCATCTCTACTACAGAAATTACTGGCTCGGTGTGGTGGCACACATCTGTAATTCCAGCTACTTGGGAGGCTGAGGCAGGAGAATCGCTTGAACCCGGGAGGCGGAGGTCGCAGTGAGCCAAGATTGTGCCACTGCACTCCAGCCTGGGCAACAGAGTAAGACTCGGTTTCAGAAAAGAAAGCCAAACTCGGGCCGAGCGTGGTGGCTCAAGCCTATAATCCCAGCACTTCGGGAGGCCGAGGTGGGTGGATCACCTGAGGTCTGGAGTTCGAGACTAGCATGGCCAACATGGTGAAACTGTCTCTCCTTAAAGATACAAAAATTAGCCAGGTGTGGTGGTGCATTCCTGTAGTCCCAGCTACTCGGGAGGCTGAGGCAGGAGAATCACTTGAACCTGGGAGACAGAGGTTGCAGTGAGCCGAGACGGGCCACTGCATTCCAGCCTGGGTGACAGAGTGAGGCTGCCTCAAAAAAAAAAAAAAAAATAGAAAGCCAAACTCAAGAGAGATGACAGTTGGTGGGAGGAAAAGCAAGTTTATTTGGAGAGCCAGCAAACCGAGAACACAGTGGACTATCATCCTAAAGTACCATCTTAAATCAGTACAATTTTTTTTTTTTTTAGGGGCAGAGGGAAGAGAAGGGCATTGTGATCAAGAGGTGACCAACAGGCCAGGCGCAGTGACTCATACCAATTCCAGCACTTTGGGAGGCTGAGGCAGGAGGATCACTTGAACCCAGGAATTCAAGACCAGCCAGGGCAATGTAGTGAGACCCCATCTCTACAAAACAATAAATAAAATAAAAAACTAGCTGGGCATAGTGGCATGCACCTATAGTCCCAGCTACTTGGGAGGCTGAGGCAGGAGGATCACTCGAGCCCAGGAGGTAGAGGCTATAGTCCTGGTTTCTAGCTCCATAAAAAAGTAATAATAATAAAAATAAGGAGGTGACCACTGCAGACATCTGAGTGCCAGCTAGGGTCCGAGGAGGTTGATGACTTCTTTGTCCTTGGTTGGGTCACAATGCCCCTATAAATCTTTGAAAAAACAGGCTGGGCGTGGTGGCTCACACCTGTAATCCCAGCACTTTGAGAGGCCGAAGTGGGTGGATCACGAAGTCAGGAGTTCGAGACCAGCCTGGCCAAGATGGTGAAACCCCGTCTCTACTAAAAATACAAAAATTAGCCGGGCGTGGTGGCGGGCGCCTGTAGTTCCAGCTACTCGGGAGGCTGAGGCAGGAGAATCGCTTGAACCCAGGAAGCGGAGGTTGCAATGTGCCAAGATCGTGCCACTGCACACTCTAGCCTGGGCAACAGAGCAAGACTGTGTCTCAAAAAAAAAAAATCTTTGACAAAACATAGTTGTTTACATACTTCTTTAATCCCAGAGTTAGTTTTAAAAACTACATGATTGCTGTTTTTGCATATTATCTCAGCGGTCTAAAATTAACCTAGCCATGTGCAGGAATGGGTAAAGTCCCCTTAAACAAAAATGGGGTTAGTTATGTTAGTTCTTTTGCCATTTCACTGGTCATATACCTGAAGCGCTTAGCCTGACACAATTGAACGCCAGACGGAAGCCGTGATCAGCGGTCCTGACGGGGGTCAGAGTCAGACCAGGGGTCTTTTACCCAAGTGGGGAAGATTGGGAAAGGCCTAGGATCAGAGAGGGAAATGGGTCCCTGGTTGCCCATGGACCTAATGGGGTCTCTCGAGCAGCAGGGGCCTTGCGCCCTGGGGGACAAGGTAGGGAGGGGGTGGCCTGGCTGCGCTGACCCGCCTACCGACCCCTCTCGACCTGCAGGACTCTGGCTACTGGAGATGGGCGCCCGGCTATCGCGGCGACGGCTGCCGGCGGACCCATCCCTGGCCCTGGACGCGCTGCCCCCGGAGCTGCTGGTGCAGGTGCTGAGCCACGTGCCGCCACGCTCCTTGGTCACGCGATGCCGCCCAGTGTGCCGCGCCTGGCGCGACATAGTGGACGGGCCCACTGTGTGGCTGCTGCAGCTGGCCCGCGACCGCAGCGCCGAGGGCCGCGCACTCTACGCAGTGGCTCAACGCTGCCTGCCCAGCAACGAAGACAAGGAGGAGTTCCCGCTGTGCGCCCTGGCGCGCTACTGTCTGCGCGCGCCCTTCGGCCGCAATCTCATCTTCAACTCCTGCGGAGAGCGTGGGTGACGGGGGCGGGGCCCAGGAGGCTGAGGGGGGCCGCGCGAGCGAGGCGGGGGCGGGGCCGGGACAGAGTCTGAGAGATGTAGCCAATGGGCGAGACCGCTGGAGGAGCCAGGGGGCGGGGCTGAGGGACGCAGTGCCTGGGCGGTAGGCCCGGTGGGCGGGGCTGGAGAAGGTGAAGCCGGGAATCCGAACGAGTGGGCGGGGCAAGGCAGGAAGACCCTGGCTGGGCCGGGGGAGAAAGCAAGTAGTTTGGTATGCAGAGGGGATGCAGAACAGGACAGGGGCCAGGCGCGGTGGGAATGGCAACGCTTTGGGAGGCCAAGGCAGGAGGATCGCTTAAGCCCAAGGAGTTCAAGGCTGCAGTGAGCTATGATCGTGCCATTGCACTACAGCCTGCGTGACAGAGACCTTGTCTCAAAAAAAAAAAAAAATGGTGGGGTGCAGTAGCTCACGCCTGTAATCCCAGCATTTTGGGAGTCTATGGTGGGAGGATCGCTTGAGGCCAGGAGTTTGAGACCAGCCTGAACAACAAAGTGAGACTCTGTCTCTAAAAAATTTAAAAATTAGTCCAGGCGCAGTGGCTCACGCCTGTAATCCCAGCACTTTGGGAGGCCCGAGGGGGCAGATCACTTGAGGTCAGGAGTTCAAGACCAGCCTGACCAACATGGTGAAACCCCATCTCTACTAAAATACAAAATTAGCCAGGTGTGGTGGTGCACGCCTGTAATCCCAGCTACTTGGGAGGCTGAGGCAGGAAAATTGCTTGAACCTGGGAGGCGGAGGTTACAGTGGGCTGAGATCATGCCATTGCACTCCAGCCTGGGCAGCAAGATTGAAACTCCATCTCAAAAAAAAATTAAAAAATTAAATTAGCCAGGCGTGGTGGCATGCACCTGTGGTCCTAGCTACTCTGGAGGCTGATGTGGGAGGATCGCTTGAGCCCAGGAGTTTGAGGCTGCAGTGAGCTATGATGGAGCCACTGCACTCCAGCCTGGGCGACAGAGTGAGACCCTGTCTCTCACACACACAATGAAGAGCAGGACTGAAGGAGAAAGAGCAAGTAAGGGTGGCTGAAGAGAAGCTGAGTGGATGGGCACCGCTGAGAGTCACAGTTGTGGGGTAGGACCAGGAATACAGAATAATGGGAGGAGGAGTCGGTAGGAGAAACCAGGGAGGATTGGAGCACAAGAGGGAGAGGCTGGTGGACAGCACAAGCTGGCTGGTTGCGGGGTCTCTTCTGGGCAGGCTGGCAGGTGAACCATATGTTCAACTCTTGTTTTCCCACAGAGGGCTTCAGAGGCTGGGAGGTGGAGCATGGCGGGAACGGCTGGGCCATAGAAAAGAACCTAACACCGGTGCCTGGGGCTCCTTCGCAGACCTGCTTCGTGACCTCTTTCGAGTGAGTGGCCCAAGTGAGAGGCCCCGATCCCTGGGGCAAAGGCCCCAAAGAAAGGGACCCTACCCCCCACACTGTCCTCATCGTCACCTTCACCCTCTCCTTCCCCCATTTATTTATTCATTGATTCATTCCATCAATCAACAAATACTTGTTGAGGGTACTGTTTCATATGCCAGGGATACAAGGAAAGATCAGGAAGGTTAGCAACCACAGGCAGCAATGCTCTGTGCATCATCGCCTGCAGTTTGTGAGACAACAGCAAGACAGCTTTGATCTAAAGACAGGGTTTTGGGCCGGGCACGGTGGCTCTCGCCTGTAATCCCAGCACTTTGAGAGCCCGAGGTGGGCAGATCACTTTAGGTCAGGAGTGCGAGACCAGCCTGGCCAACAGGGGGAAACCCCGTCTCTACTAAAAAGACAAAAATTAGCTGGACGTGGAGGCTGAGGCAGGAGAATCGCTTGAACCCAGGAGGCAAATGTTGCAGTGAGCCGAGATTGCACCACTGCACTCCAGCCTGGGCGACAGAATGAGACTCTGTCTCAAAAAAAAAAAAAAAGGGAACATGGCAGATTAGCACCCAAGATGGAGTCGCTTTTGCCTCCACAAGGAGTTACTCTATACTAGACACTTTACATATAATTCTGGCAACAACCCTGTGACATAGATACTATTATTGCCCCCACTTTATAACAGGAAACTGAAGGCCGGGCACGGTGGCTCATAGCTGTAATCCCAGCACTTTGGGAGGCCGAAGTGGGAGGATCTCTTGAGCCCAGGAGTTTGAGGTTGCAGTGAGCCTAGGATCATGCCACTGCACTCCAGCCTGGCAACAGAATAAGACCTTGACTCAAAAGAAAAGAAAAAATGAGAATCTGTTCTCCATGGAATGATGGTGCCACCTCTACAGTTTATGAAGTTTCTGTGTATACCTACGTCTGTCCCTGGCACTCTGTTTTTTTTGTTTTTGTTTTTGTTTTTTGAGATAGAGTCTCATTTTGTTGCCCAGTCTAGAGTGCAGTGGCGCAATCTTGGCTCACTGCAGCCTCTGCCTCCCTGGGTTCCAATGATTCTCCTGCCTCAGCCTCCCGAATAGCTGTGACTACAGAGGTGCGCCACCATGCCTGGCTAATTTTTGTATTTTTTGTAGAGAAGAGGTTTCACCATATTGACCAGGCTCGTCTCTAACTCCCGACCTCCGGTGATCCGCCTGCCTCGGGCTCTCAAAGTGCTGGGATTACAGGTCTAAGCCACCGCGCTCAGCCGGTTCCTGGCACTTTGTTCTATTCCATTGCTCAACTTACCCATCCTTCCACCAATACTGCACAATTTATGTTATTATGGCACATTCTAGTTTGAGGAGAAGGACTGTTTACAAAGTTGTAGGCAGGAGCCCCTGAGCTAGTAACAGTTAGGAAAGGAACGTTACCACCCCTAGACTGCTAGAGGTGAGGGGAGGAAACAGTTACTGGAAAATGAGGAGAGAGTGCCATGGAGATTTGCTTTTTCCTTGGGGGACAAGGCAGTCCCTTGAGAAGGACCTAAGAGGATAAATACCCTGATTTTAGTCACCTCTTTCACTTCCATCCCCTGCCGGAGCATCCCATTGGCTGATCCAACAGGAAGCAATGGGTGACAGAGACAAGGCTGTCCAGCTTTAGACCCGGGGCCCTCACACTTTAGGAGGCCACAGAGCTCCCCGCTCACATGTCTAGTATGTGGCCTTCATTTGTAGTCATGTCCTGTCCCACAAAGATGAGGGTCAGGCTTTCATAGAGGTCAGCTGCCTGGAGCCCGCAGCAGGGTGGAGAATGGCAAAGGGACTCCAAGAGGCCAAGGAGAGATGTATAGCCCATCATGCATCTTCAGGTCTGCTAGAGCAAACCCTGAGGGCTGCTTTAGAGAGGGTTATCAAGGGAGACTTCTTGGAGGAGGTGGCTTCTGACTGTGACTTGAATGCCAGGACTGTTTGCCCTGCCCCCTGCCATCTCTCCTTCCCAGATGGTGCTCCAAGAGGCAGCTTGTGGACCTGGTGATGGAAGGGGTGTGGCAGGAGCTGCTGGACAGCGCCCAGATTGAGATCTGTGTGGCTGACTGGTGAGTGAGGAGCGGCACCCTGCCCCAGAGCAGCAGCAGGCTTGGCAGCGGCTCTGCAACAGGGGCTCATTTCCCGCCCCATCAACCCCACGGGTAGCGGCTGTCACTGTGCACCCTTTGTGATGAGGCTGAGAGGGGAAGTGATGCAGAGCCGGGGAAGGTAGAGCTTTGGAGAAGCCAGAGCCCCCACTCTGCACTCCTGCCCACCCTCATCCCAGCAGGCTGGGGTGGTCCACAGGGGGCCACTGACTGGCTTGATACCCCTCTGAAACGAGACACCTCCCCTGACCACCTTGTGGATGCCCAGGGTCTCTGAAGGGGTGGGAGCATGGTGCCCTGTGAGCTGAGGCTCAGGGAGCATAGTTGGGACAGGACTGGCTTCAGAGCCTACAGGCTTAGGATGAATGCCTTCTTCCCAAAACACCCAGGTTCTGCCCCAAAGCATTCCAGCTCCTCCTTCAGGCTGTGGCTCTTCCATAGAAAATCTGGTCTCTTCCCTGGGGCTCTGGCTCTTCCCTGAAGTCATCAGGCACCTGCCCTGCATTGTGGTTCTTCCCCAGAGCATCCTTTCCCGTCCCCCAACTACCTACCCAAAAGCCTCCAGAATCAACCGCAGGACCACCCAGGCTCCTCCCCCAGGACCACCCAGGCTCCTCCCCTGCTCTGGCTCCACCCCAGGACCACCCAGACTCCTCCCCCAGGCTCTGGCTCCACCCCAGGGTCACCCAGGCTTCTCCTCCAGGTTCTGGTTCCACCCCAGGACCACCCAGGCTCCTCCCCCAGGACCACCCAGGCCCCTCCCCCAGGCTCTGGTTCCACCCCAGGACCACCCAGGCTCCTCCCCCAGGACCACCCAGGCTCCTCCCCTGCTCTGGCTCCACCCCAGGACCACCCAGACTCCTCCCCCAGGACCACCCAGGCCCCTCCCCGAGGCTCTGGCTCCACCCCAGGACCACCCAGATTCCTCCCCCAGGACCACCCAGGCCCCTCCCCCAGGCTCTGGCTCCACTCCAGGACCACCCAGACTCCTCCCCCAGGACCACCCAGGACCCTCCCCCAGGCTCTGGCTCCACCCCAGGGTCACCCAGGCTCCTCCCCCAGGCTCTGGCTCCACCCCAGGACCACCCAGGCTCCTCCCCCAGGCTCTGGCTCCTCCCCAGGACCACCCAGGCTCCTCCGCCAGGCTCTGGTTCCACCCCAGAACCACCAAGGCTCCTCCCCTAGAGGTTCCCAGGCCAGGACGTCTCCAAATGTGGTCCAGATGTGCAGGACCTTCATCAAGATGGAGCCAGCCCTCAGCCTCCCGCCCCGAAACCCAGAGAGCTGGCTGGGTGACGGGGGCATAGAGGCTGACTGCTGCCTGGCAGGTGGGGCGCTCGAGAGAACTGCGGCTGCGTCTACCAGCTCCGGGTCCGCCTTCTGGATGTGTATGAAAAGGAAGTGGTCAAGTTCTCAGCCTCACCTGACCCGGTCCTTCAGTGGACTGAGAGGGGCTGCCGACAGGTGGGTCCAGACTAGCTTCCAGCTCCCCCCGACCCGCTAAAGGCACACACGCCCAGCCTCTCGTCTGCTCGGTTTCCCTTCTGTCACTCCTGGATATCTATAATCATAACAGCTAAGAAGTATCGAGCCCTTCTTACATCCCAAGCCCTGTGTCAAGACGCTTACATATCGATTCATTTCATTAGCAAAACCCCTTAATGTTCAACAAACACTGATTGAGCACCTACTGTGTGCTGGGCACCACTCTATGTGCTGGAAATGCAGCAGTGAAGCAAAATCCTATCTCCATTCTAGAGTTGAGGAAACAGAGGCACAGACAGGGAGGTTATGTGACTGGTCCAGTGCAGAGCTGGACTCAAGCCCAATCTGGCACCAAGACTATGCTGTCTTGATCCTCACACCTCAGTTACCAAAGTAAATGTTTCGGCTGGGCACAGTGGCTCATACCTGTAATCCCACCACTTTAGGAGGCCAAGATGGGAGGACAGCTTGAGGGCAGGAGTTTGAGGCCAGCCTGGGCAATATAGCGAGACCTCCATCTCTACAAAGAAATTAAAAATTAGACGGGCATGGTGACTTGCACCTGCAGTCTCAGCTACTCAGGAGGCTGAGGTGGGAGGATGGTTGGAGCCCAGTTGGTCCCACTGCACTCCAGCCAGGGCAACAGACTGAGACGCTAACTAAAAATAATAATAATAATAATAATAATAATGAGTCAGATCAGAAGTCTCACTGCTTGTAATGCTCCTGTGGCTACATCTCACAGTAAAAGCCAAAGTTATGCAGCCACGGAAAAGAAATGAAGCATGAATTCACACTGCAACGTGGATAAACTGAAAACATGATGCTGAAAGAGGCCAGACATGAAATGACAAATACTGTATGATTCCACATATATGAAATGTACACTAAGAAGATTGGCGACTGCCAGGGGCTGGGGGAGGGAGGTCTTGGAAATGACAGCTCATGGATGCAGAGTTTTTTCCTGGGGTGATGGGAATTAGGTAGTGGTGATGGCTGCATAATATCGTGAATCAACTAAAAACCACTGAATTGTACACTTTAAAAAATGAATTTTGGGCCGGGTGTGGTGGCTCATGCCTGTAATCTCAGCACTTTGGGAGGTCAAGGCGGACAGATCACTTGAGGGCAGGAGTTCAACACCAGCCTGCCAACACAGTGAAACCCTGTCTCTACTAAAAATACACAAATTAGCCAGGCACGGTGATGGGCGTCTGTAATCCCAGCTTCTGGGGAGACTGAGGCGGGAGAATTTATTGAACCGGGGGAGGTGGAGGTTGCAGTGAGCTGAGATCATGCCACTGCACTCCAGCCTGGGCGATGGAGCGAGTCTTGGCCTCAAAATAAATAAATAAAATAAAATGGTAAATTTTGGCTGGGCGCAGTGGCTCACACCTGTAATCCCAGCACTTTGGAAGACCATGGCGGGTGGATCACCTGAGGTCAGGAGTTCAAGACCAGCCTGACCAACATGGCAAAACCCCCGTCTCTACTAAAAATACAAAAATTAGCCGGGCATGGTGGTGCGCGCCTGTAATCCCAGCTACTCGGGAGGCTGAGACAGGAGAATCGCTTGAACCTGCGAGGTGGAGGTTGCATTGAGCCAAAATCATGCCACTGTACTCCAGCCTGGGCGACAGAGTGAGACTCCATCTCAAAAATAAATAAATAAATAAAAAGTTTGTTTTACGAAAATTTTATCTCAACTTTTTTAAATTGGAAAAAAAAAAAAAGCCAAAGTCCTCCTGTGGCCCACAAGGCCATGATCTGCCCATGACCTCCCTGACCCCTCTCTTACCTCTCCCCTCACTCAGCTCCAGGCATTCTCCCACCTCAGGGCCTTTGCGCGGGCC
Source organism: Homo sapiens (assembly GCF_000001405.40). Lineage (NCBI taxonomy): Eukaryota > Metazoa > Chordata > Mammalia > Primates > Hominidae > Homo > Homo sapiens. The sequence continues at coordinate 38,943,094 of NC_000019.10, read as the reverse complement.
GTTCCTGCTGCCTGGGACACCCTCCAGAGCCCCTCCCGGCTCCCTCTCCTCCTTCAGGTGTCACCTCTGTGGGGCCTTTGCTAACTCACTCTACTCACATTCCTGCCACCTTCCTGGCAGAATGCCCCTGGCCCCTCACCCCCACCTATCTCCAGTGTCTGGGCCCCCTGCTAGAATGGCACTGACACCAGGGCGGGGTCCTTTTCCGGTTTTATTCACTGCTCCGTCCCCAGCAAACTAGCGCAGGACTGGCACCTCCTCAGTCCTTTGGGCCTATCTGTTGAAGTGGAGGAAGAGAAGGGGCCCGCAGGCCCTCACCCTCTCACTCCCCTTCCCCCTGCAGGTCTCCCACGTCTTCACCAACTTTGGCAAGGGCATCCGCTACGTATCTTTTGAGCAGTACGGGAGAGACGTGAGTTCCTGGGTGGGGCACTATGGCGCCCTTGTGACCCACTCCAGTGTGAGGGTCAGGATCCGTCTGTCCTAGCGACTGGACTACTGCCTGACGTTGTCAGTCAAGACCAGCCTTGCAGCCAGGTGCAGTGGCTCACACCTGTGGAATCCCAGCACTTCAGGAGGCCGAGGTGGGAGGATCACTGGAGCTCGGGAGTTCAAGACCAGCCTGGGCAACATAGTGAAACCGTCTCCACAAATAATTTTTAAAAAATTAGCCAGGCATGGTGGTGCCGCCTGTAGTCCCAGCTACTCAGGAGGCTTGGGTGGGAGGATTGCCTGAGACCAGGAGGTTGAGGCTGCAGTGAGCCGTGATTTCACCACCACTCCAGCCTGGGTGAGAAAGCAAGACCCTATATCAATGAAAAAAAAAAAAAAAAAGACCAGCTTTGCAGCCAGAAGCCAGAGGATACCCAGGGACAGTAGGGCTCCCAGGTGGCTGGTTCTCAGCACACCTTCCATGAATCTGCTTGCTGCTGCTTCAGTGTGGTGGCCATCATGCTGTGTGACAAACCAGGCTGTTCACAGCTTCCTCAGCCCCCCAGAAGGGGAGTGTCAGGAAGAGACATTTAGTTCATTTGCCTGCAAATTTTCTTCTCCTGCAAGGATCTCGGTGGACTCAGTCACAAAACAAAGGCTAAACCAGGATTTATAAGAGAGGGCTTATAAATCCCTCTGCCGACGCAGGGAGCAGAGACTTGCCGGCATGTTTTGGGGGTAATGATCGTGGGCAGGGAGCAGAGGTCCGCTGAGGCAGTCTGTCCTTGAGACTAACAAAGTCATCTGCTGTTTGGGGAAATCTCTGGTGTTGGGAACAGGCCCCCAAATCTGGCCATAAACTGGCCCCAAAACTGGCCATAAACAAAATATCTGCAGCACTGTGACATGTTTGTGATGGCCATGACCCCCACCCTGAAGGTTGTGGGTTTACTGGAACGAGGGCGAGGAACACCTGGCCCACCCAGGGCGGAAAACCGCTTAAAGGGGTTCCTGAACCACAAACCATAGCATAAGTGATCTGTGCCTTAACGACATGTTCCTGCTGCAGATAACTAGCCAGACCCATCCCTTTATTTCAGCCCATCCCTTTATTTCCTGTAAGAAATGTTTTTAGTTAATCTATAATCTATAGAAATAATGCTTATCACTGGCTTGCTGTCAATAAATATGTGGGTAAATCTCTGTTCAAGGCTCTCAGCTCTGAAGGCCGTGAGACCCCTGATTTCCCACTCCACACCCTATATTTCTGTGTATGTGTCTTTAATTCCTCTAGCACCGCTGGGTTAGGGTCTCCACAACCGAGCTGGTCTCGGCAAGTGGCACCCATACGTGGGGGCTCGAACCCAGGTCGAAGAGTCACTGGAGCGACGGTTGGAGAACGTGGAACTAAGCTGGAGGACACCCGAGTACTCTTAAGCAATCCCCATGGTGAGTAAGAAGGGGAGCTCGGAAGCATCAGGGTAGCAATGGGACAGGTGTGGGTTCTGGTTCATTCCACCTTGGAACCTTTTCACACTGATGAGGAGCAGGGAGAGTGTAATGAAGTAATGGAAGAGGTAACAGAGCAGGTTTGTTTGCCAGCTAAAGCTAAAGTGGCAAAGGAGGAAGAGGTTCATCCCTACCCTTCTGCATCCCCTCCTTAGTGTGAAGAAAAAGAGTGACCTGACCCTCCAGATCTTTCTTTTCCAGAGGACACTGGGTGAAAAGTAGTTGCCCCAGTGACTGTTTGGGCAGTGCCTCAAGCGACTGCTCTCAGTTCCATTCAGGCAGGAATTCAGCAAGCTAGAAGAGAGGGTGATTTAGAGGCTTGGCAGTTCCCTGTTAGAATACATCCCCCAGATCAACAGGGAAATATTACAGCTACATTTGAGCCTTTTCCTTTTAAATTACTCAAAGAATTTAAACAAGCTATTAATCAATATGGACCAGGTTCTCCTTTTGTAACGGGACTGTTAAAGAATGTTGCTGTTTCCAGTCGGATGATTCCTCCTGACTGGGACGCTCTTACTTGAGCTTGTCTAACTCCTGCTCAGTTCTTACAATTTAAAACTTGGTGGGCAGATGAAGCTTCCATTCAGGCTCCTCGCAACACCCAGGCCCAACCTCAAATTGATATAACTGCACACCAACTTTTGGGGGTCGGCGGCTGGGCTGGTTTAGATGCACAGGTGGTCATGCAGGATGATGCCATAGAGCAGCTTAGAGGAGTGTGCATCAGAGCTTGGGAAAAAATCACTTCAGGTGGAGAACAGTACCCTTCCTTTGGTGCTGTAAAACAGGGACCAAAAGAACCGTACACAGATTTTATAGCTCGGTTACAGGAGTATCTTAAAAAGGTGATTGCAGATTCGGCTGCTCAGGATATAGTGTTGCGGTTATTAGCTTTTGACAATGCTAATCTCAATTGCCAGGCTGCTCTGTGACCTATTAGAGGGAAAGCACATTTAGTTGATTATATCAAGGCCTGAGATGGTATCAGAGGTAATCTGCATAAAGCTACTTTGTTGGCACAGGCAATGGCAGGACTGAAAGTGGATAAAGGAAATACTCCATTTCCTGGAGCTTGTTTCAACTGTGGGAAGCATGGGCACACTAAAAAAGAATGCAGAAAAAAATCAGCAAGTCAGGCCGGCAGACAGGGGAAAAAAGAAAACTGCTGAGCCTGATATATGTCCAAAATGTAAAAAAAGGAAAACATTGGGCTAATCAGTGTCACTCTAAGTTTGATAAAGATGGGAACCCGATTTCGGGAAATGCCATGAGGGGCCCATCCCGGGCCCTGTTCGAAACCAGGGGCATTTCCGCCTCAGGCCACTCCTTCACCCCTGTACAATGTCTGTCCCCTGCCACAGCCAGTAATGCCACAGTAGATTTATGCTGCACAAAAGCTGTGAGCCTTCTGCCTGAGGAACCCCCGCAAAAAGTTCCAACAGGGGTCTGTGGACCCTTGCCAGTGGGGACAATAGGATTACTTCTAGGGAGGTGTAGTTTAAATTTAAAGGGGGTACAAGTACAAACAGGAGTCACTGATTCAGATTACAATGGAGAAATTCAAATTGTTTTTTCTACTTCTGTTCCCTGGAAAGCAGAGCCAGGAGAGCGCATAGCACAGCTCCTGAATGTGCCATATGTGGGAATGGGAAAAAGTGAAATTAAACGAACAGGAGGATTTGGAAGCACAAATAAACAAGGCAAAACAGCTTATTGGGTGAATCAAATTACTGATAAACGTCCTACCTGTGAAATAACTATTCAGGGAAAGAAATATAAAGGTTTGGTAGATACAGGAGCGGACATTTCATTTCTCTATAGCAATGGCCGTCCACATGGCCAATTCAACCTGCTCAGTTTAACATAGTTGGAGTTGGTAAAGCCCCTGAAGTATATCAAAGTAGTTATATTTTGCATTGTGAAGGGCCTGATGGACAACCTGGGACTATTCAACCAAAACTTCTGTACCTATAAATTTATGGGGAAGATATTTATTACAACAATGCGGAGCACAAGTTCTAATTCCAGAACAATTATATAGCCCTCAAAGTCAACATATGATGCATGAAATGGGGTATGTCCCTAGTATGGGACTAGGAAAAAATTTACAAGGTTTGAAGGAACCGCTTCAAGCAGAAATACAAGTTTCCGCCAAGGTTTAGGATATTATTTTTGATGGCGGCCATTGTTAAGCCTCCAGAACCTATACCTTTAAAATGGTTAACAGATAAGCCAATTTGGATAGAACAATGGCCGCTAAGTAAAGAGAAACTGAAGGCTTTAGAGGAATTAGTTACTGAATAATTAGAAAACGGACACATAGCTCCAACATTTTCCCCTTGGAATTCTCCAGTTTTCGTAATTAAGAAAAGAATCAGATAAACGGAGAATGTTAACTGACTTAAGAGCCATTAATTCAGTTATACAACCCATGGGTACATTACAGCCAGGATTGCCTTCTCCTGCTATGATTCCAAAAAATTGGCCTTTAATAGTCATAGATTTAAAAGACTGTTTCTTTACTATCCCCTTAGCTGAGCAAGACTGTGAACAGTTTGCATTTACAATTCCTGCAGTAAACAACCTGCAGCCTGCTAAGCGTTTTCACTGGAAAGTATTGCCACAAGGCATGTTAAACAGCCCAACAATTTGCCAGACTTATGTAGGGCAAGCAATTGAACCTACTCGTTAAAAGTTTTCACAGTGTTACATTATTCATTATATGGATGATATACTTTGTGCTGCCCCCACTCGAGAAGTATTACTCCAATGTTATGATCACTTACAAAATTCGATTTCTTGCGCTGGTTTAATTATAGCTCCTGACAAAATTCAGACTACTACTCCTTACTCCTACTTGGGGACCTTAGTAAATGACACTACCATTGTGCCACAGAAAGCAACCATACATAGGAATCAATTGAAAACATTAAAGGACTTTCAAAAATTACTAGGGGACATTAATTGGATACGACCTGCTCTAGGCATTCCTACCTATGCCATGAGTAATCTATTTTCTATCCTTAGAGGAGATCCTGGTCTCACAAGCCCTCGGTAATTAACAAGAGAAGCTGAGGCAGAGCTGCGGCTAATCGAAAAGCAAGTCCATAAAGCTCAAATAAATAGATTAGATCCAGAGAAGACTCTAGATTTGCTAATTTTTCCAACTCAGCATTCACCTACTGGTGTTATTGTTCAAGAGTGAGATCTTGTAGAGTGGCTTTTTCTTCCACATACTAATTCACGGACTCTAACTCCTTATTTGGATCAAATTGCTACTATGATAGGAAATGGGAGAACTCGGATTGTTAAATTACATGGATATGATCCTGGAAAAATTATTATCCCTCTCACAAAGGCACAAATACAGCAAGCTTTTATAAATAGTCTTACTTGGCAAACCAATTAAGCTGACTTTGTGGGTATTCTCGATAACCATTTTCCTAAACAAAACTGTTTTAATTTTTGAAATTAACTAATTGGATTCTCCCTAAAATAACTAAATTTAAACCAATTGAAGGTGCTGAAAATGTTTTTACAGATGGGTCTAGTAATGGTAAAGCTTCTTATTCTGGCTCAAAAAGTAAAGTTTTTCAGATGCCCTATACTTCAGCTCAAAAAGTGGAGCCTGTAGCTGTAATTGAGGTAGTGACTGCTTTTCATATGCCTATTAATGTGATTTCTGACTCTTCATACGTGATTCATTCCACACAATTAACTGAAAATGCTCAGTTACAATTTCCTGCAGATGAACAACTGATGATTTTATTTACCCAACTGCAAACAGCAGTTAGGAGTAGAATGCACCCTTTTTACATCACTCACATTAGGGCTCATACACCTCTTCCAGGCGTCACCTTTTGCAGTGTTTTGCAGTGATGGGCATTCCAGCTTCTATTAAAACAGATAAAGCCCCAGGCTACACTAGCCGAGCTCTAGCTACATTTTTCTCTATACGGAATATTAAACACATTACTGGTATCCCATATAATTCTCAAGGACAAGCCATAGTGGAAAGAATGAATCTCTCCCTGAAACAGCAGTTGCAAAAGCAAAAAAAAGGGGGGAAAACAAGGACTACGGGACACCCCATATGCAACTGAATCTAGCATTGTTAACTTTAAATTTTTTGAGCCTGCCTAAAGGCCAGATCCTATCAGTAGCTGAACAGCATCTACAGAAACCAGCTGCAAAGACAGAAGCAGAACAACTAGTTTGGTGGAGAGATCCAATAACAAAAAGTTAGGAAATAGGTAAAATAATAACTTGGGGTAGAGGTTATGCTTGTGTTTCTCCAGGACTGACTCAACAGCCGATTTGGATACCATCAAGACACCTGAAACCTTATCATGAGCCAGATGCTGAGGAAGAGATTCCGGGAGGAAACTGAGGACCCCCCCCACCCCCGGTTGCAGCCATGTCGAGACTGACGCTGAGGAAGACCCCAACTGTCACGAGCAACACCTGTCAAACACAGCCACCCACCTGGAGACAGATCAAGAAGCTGTCACAGATGGTGGAAGAAAACCTGAGGAAAGTGGGACAACCAGTCGCAATGAGTAATTTAATGGTAGCTATGATAGCGATGATCACCACTGCCATGAGTATTCCTTCAATAAGGGCTGACACAGAGGACAATTATACTTATTGGGCATATTTATCAATCTTGGCTGGCAATAATGCCTGGATGTAATCACTCTATGACACAGTTATACAAGCTTTCTGATCTCATAATAAATCTGCTCCTATAATTGAGGCATACTGCCCTCAAAAACATATTTGTAAACAGGATTGGACCCAGTTAGCAAAAATGAACGTACTTGTTTAGGAAGATTGCTTTGCAGAACAGGCAGAGGTGCTGCACAACAATTCCTATGGAATCATTATTAATTGGTCACCTATGGGGATGTTTAGCTTGAACTGCACCTCTCAGTCTGCATGCCATGGCCACACTGTGATCAGCTCATCTGAACAAAATGGTCAGATGATAGAAATGGTAAGAAATACAGCAAGAGTTCCTATTATCTGGAACCATGGCAGTATAGTGGCACCTCAGCCTCAAATGATATGGCCTGCTCTAGGAGCTAAACATAAGCATTTGTGGAAACTGTTAATAGCTCTTAATAAAATCAAAATTTGGGAAAGAATAAAAAAGCATCTAGAAGGCCACTCTACAAACTTGTATTTGGATATTGCAAAATTGAAAGAACAAATATTTAAAGTATCCCAGGCACACGTGAACTTAATGCCAGGAACTGGAGTGCTTGAAGGAGCTGCAGACAGATTAGCAGCTAGTAACCCATTCAAATGGATAAAAACACTTGGAGGCTCTGTGATTTCAATGATGATTGTGCTTTTACTCTGTGTTGTTTGTCTTTGTATAGTGTGCAGATGCGGATCCTGACTCCTGTGAGAAGTAGCTCACCGTGACAAAGCTGCCTTTGCTTTTATCACTTTGCAAAACAAAAAAGGGGACATGTTGGGAACAGGCCCCTGAATCTGGCCATAAACTGGCCCCAAAACTGGCCATAAACAAAATCTCTGCAGCACTGTGACATGTTCATGATGGCCATGACCCCCACCCTGAAGGTCGTGGGTTTACTGGAATGAGGGCAAGGAACACCTGGCTCACCCAGGATGGAAAACGGCTTAAAGGGGTTCCTGTACCACAAACAATAGCATGAGCGATCTGTGCCTTAAGGACATGTTCCTGCTGCAGATAACTAGCCAGAGCCCATCCGTTTATTTTGGCACATCCCTTTATTTCCCATAAGAAATGCTTTTAGTTAATCTATAATCTATAGAAATAATGCTTATCACTGGCTTGCTGTCAATAAATATGTGTGTAAATCTCTGTTCGAGGCTCTCAGCTCTGAAGGCTGTGAGACCCCTGATTTCCCACTCCACACCCTGTATTTCTGGGTGTGTGTCTTTAATTCCTCTAGCGCCACTGGGTTAGGGTCTCCACGACCCAGCTGGTCTCGGCACTCTGGGATCCTGCCACGGGGCTGTGTAACCAGCCATCTCTGTGCAACATGCCCAGCACTGCCTGTCAGCATCTCCTGTTCAGGTCAGGCTAGCACCTCTCTCATCAGAATTCCAGAATTCCATCAGAGGCCAAGTCCCCCACCCCCACCTCCTGCCCTTGCTTTGGGGGCAACTTCCTGCAAGGTAACACTTCCTTTTCTCCACACTCCTGTATACAGACTCCTGGAGCAGAGTGTGCCATGAGGAAAAGCTCTCCCATCCCCCCATCTCCCTCCACTTCTCTATTTCTCAGCTAGGCATGGCCAACAAACTAGCTCAATAAAACTGGTGCCAAATATGAGGGGATGGGCAATTTTTATCTGTAATCAGTGCACTTATCTGCCACCAGCTCTGATCCTAAAAGACCTTGTGGCCTCATGTTTACAATCAGGAGACCCTCAGGAGGCTGTGTGTTGAGCGTCAAGAGGAACTCGGAGACAGCTATGATGCTCCAAACAGCTCTCAAGCATGCACCCTTATCAGCGCCATTTGGTCCAGGCTCAGAGTGTAAACAACCTGCCCAAGGTCACCCAGCCAGTAAGTAGGGGAGGCAGGGCTTGGAGCAGTGCTGGGCTCCAGAGCCCAATGATATAAACACAGTTCCAACATTGTTTTTTCTTTTTTCTTTTTTTGAGACAGAGTCTCACTCTGTCACCCAGGCTGCAGTGCAGTGGTGCTGATCTCAGCTCACTGCAACCTCCACCTCCCAGGTTCAAGCAAGTCTCCTGCCTCAGCCTCCTGAGTAGCTGAGATTATAGGCACATGCCACCATGCCCGGGTAATTTTTGTATTTTTAGTAGAGACAGGGTTTCACCATGTTGGCCAGGCTGGTCTCAAACTCCTGACCTCAAGTGGTCGGCCCACCTCGGCCTCCCAAAGTGTTGAGATTACAGGCATGAGCCACTGCACCTGGCCCCACTTCTTAAATCTTACATGGCCAAAAACATGATCAGGTGCAGTCAGCATTATCATCAGTGCCATTTTCCAAGGGAGGAAACCGAGGCCCATAGGGGGAACCAACATAGCCAGGTCTCATAGCAATTATGACGGGGAGCAGAATTTGAGCTCAGGTGAACCCAGTAATAATTTTATATTATTATATAATATAATAGTGGCTCACACCTATAATCCAGCATTTTAGGAGGCCAAGGTGGAAGGATCTCTTGAGGCCAAGAGTTCGAGACCAGCCTGGACAACAAAGCCAGATTCCCACTCTAAAAAAATGGAAAAGTTAGCCAGGTGTGGTGGCACACACCTGTGGTCCTGACTACTCAGGAGGCTGAGGCGGGAGGATCTATTGAGCTCAGGAGGTCAAGGCTGAAGTAAGCTTTGATCATAGAACCGCACTCCAGCCTGGACAACACAGTGAGACTCTGTCTCTCTCTCTACACAAACACACACAAACACACACACACACACACACACACACACACACGTATAAAATAAAAGAACAGCTCCCGGGTGTGGAGCAGCACACCCCATTGAATCCTTTCCACACCCCTTCCACATCAACATTACAATTACTGCCATTTTCCAGCTGTCCATGCTTGAGGGCAGAGTTTATGTGCCCAGAACCCATGGCCTGCAGGAAGAAGACCTGGGCCTCTGTGCCACCTACCTGACTCCTAAGCTTAAAATACAGTAGCCCTCTGCCAGGCGTGGTGGCTCACGCCTGTAATCCCAGCACTTTGGGAGGCCAAGGTGGGCAGATCACCCGAGCTCAGGAGTTTGAGACCAGCCTGGCCAACATGGTGAAACGCTGTCTCTACTAAAAATACAAAAATTAGCCAGGCCTGGTGGTGTGTGCCTACAATCCCAGCTACTCGGGAGGCTGAGGCAGGAGAATCATATGAACCCGGGGGGCAGAGGTTGCAGTGAGCTGAGATCAGGCCACTGCACTCCAGCCTGGGCAACAGAGTGAGACTTTGTCTAAAAAAAAAAAAAAGAGCCCTCCGTGCGTGTTATGCACATAGAGCATCGAATTTAATCTTCACCAAACCAAACAAAGGAGATACCACCAATGGAGCTATTTTCTGGAGGAAACTGAAGCTCAGAGATGTCCACTGCCACAGCCACACAGAGGGCAAATACTCCACAAGGGGATTTACATCACAAGCGCCAGGGTCTGTTTATTAAAACCCCTTCCCAGCAGAGGGCAGTACAGTGTCTTGTCCCAGCAGAAAAGGTCCTTCAGGCCACCCCTCTAAACACAGGAGCCAAGGGTGTTGACAGAGGGGCACCCTTTGCACCCCCAGGACTCCTATGGCTTAATAGTGGTCCTGATGGAAGAGGCGGAGCCAGGACTTGAATCCATGAGTGGCTGCCTCTAGAGGCGCAAAGGCCAGCATCGGAGGACCCTGTGGCAGCCAGGAGCGGAAGGTTCATGTTCTGCAGGGGCGCCCAGCCCACTGTGCCCCCAGCCGTCACTTCTTCTGCACGTGGCCACAGTCGTACTTGCCACGCACAACGGTGAGCTTGACGCCTGGCAGGTCCTGGGTGCGGCCGCCCTCCACAAGGACAATCTGGTGCTCCTGCAGGGTGTGGCCCTCCCCAGGGATGAAGCAGACGGCCTCGCGGCCAGTGCTGAGCCGCACTCGACAGCACTTGCGATTGGCTGAGTTGGGCTTCTTCGGCTTGCGGGTAAACGTGCACAGGACCACACCCTTCAGCTGCGGCCGGCCTTCCGTGGGGCCCAGCTTCCGAGGCGGCCGCTTGGGGGGCCCCAGGCGGTGCATCTGGTTCAGGGTAGCCATGGAGCAGGTAGCCCAGAGCCGGGGAACCAGAGCTGGGCCTGGAGAGGGCCGAAAGGGGTTATTATCCCAGAGAACAGATCTTAGAGTAGTAGCAACTCAATTTTGGTGTTTTAGGCATTGTTTAAAGCACTTTACAAAGATGCATTTGTTCACATCTAATGTTATCTACAGACAAAAGTAACTCTTTATTCTTCAAGGAAGCATTACCTTTTTTTTTTTTTTCTTTTTTTTTTTTGAGACAAAGTCTCACTCTGTCGCCCAGGCTGGAGTGCAGTACCTCAATCTTGGCCCACTGCAACCTCTGCCTCCTGGGTTCAAGCAATTCTCCTGTCTCAGCCTCCTGAGCAGCTGGGACTACAGGCACCCACCACCACGCTCGGCTAATCTTCGTATTTTTAAGTAGAGACGGGGTTTCACCATGTTGGTCAGGCTGGTCTCGAACTCCTGACCTCGGCCTCTCAAAGTGCTGGGATTACAGGCGTGAGCCACCACGGCTGGCCAGGAAGCATTATTTTTAATGCTGTTTAAAATAATAGTAGGCTCAGTGGCTCATGCATGTAATCCTAGCACTTTTGGAGGCTGTGGAGGGTCACTTGAGCTCAGGAGTTAAGGCCAGACTGGGCGACACAGGGAGACCTCCCTCTCTACAAAGAATCAAAAAGTTAGCTGGTTGTGGTTCTGCAGGCCTGTGGTCCCAGCTACTTGGGAGGCTGAGGCGGGAGGATCACTTGAGCCCAGGAGGTCGAGACTGCAGTGAGCTGTGATCACACCGCTGCACTTCAGCCTGGGCGACAGAGGGAGATCTTAAATAAATAAATAATAAAACTGACCCAAACGCCGCTTGACACGCAGTAGCCCTCCATGCAGCTGCTTCCCACCTCTTGCTCTAGCAGCCCTAGCTCTGCCAAAACCCCACCGTGTTTTTCCACCCCCGTTTCCCTCGGGGCTCCGACGGAGGCACACAAGTCCAAGAGCGAATAACCCTCCCCCTCTAGCCTCGTCCCTGAAGCCCAAGTCCCCCACTTACCACAAGTTAGGGACGTGTTGAGGCCATGGAGAAGGCCAGACCAGGACATCCTGCCACCTGGGCCGTCCCTGTGGTAGGGGATAAGAGACTCAGAAAGGAGGAAAAAGTGACCGATCCGCAAATGCTCCCCGATCCGCTCTCAGGACTTTCTGGCTTAAATCAAAGGAAATACCTCTATAGGTCTAACCACAGGCCCTCATGCTGCTAACAGAAAGTCCCTCCGTAAATTTAGCCTCGCTCTGAGTGGGTTCCCGAGGGCCCAACCACTCTCGCCCGCACGCAGGAAGAACTGGGAAACTGGGGAGATGGCCTGGTAGATTTGGAGGACCCCAGGATTCCACCGACCTCACAGGACCTAAAGGTGAGGTCGCGGACACGCTGAATCCAGCTTCTAGCCTCTTCCGGGCGCTATCCGTGCAGGGATTGGCTGGTTCTGCCTCGCGTCACTGAAGAGGCGGGACACAGACGACGATTGGGCGACGAAGGACTCTATCGCGGTCAACTTTCCTCAGGATCTGATTGGCTCGTCACGGTCAGGTTCGCTGCCTTGCAATTGGTCTAAACGCGGAGTGGGCGGGACGAAGTGCCGCCTTGTTCCCGGTCCAAGATGGCTGCGTCCATGGCGCGGCGCTTGTGGCCTTTGCTGACTCGTCGGGGGTTCCGGCCCCGGGGAGGCTGCATCTCCAACGATAGTCCAAGGAGAAGTTTCACTACAGAGAAACGAAACCGGAACCTCCTGTACGAGTATGCGCGCGAGGGCTACAGCGCACTCCCTCAGCTGGACATAGAGCGGTTCTGCGCATGCCCAGAAGAGGCCGCACACGCCCTGGAGCTCCGCAAGGGGGAGCTGCGCTCGGCGGACCTGCCCGCGATCGTGAGTGCGCCTGCGCCGGCCGGGGGGCGCAGACGTTTGCTTTACGGAAGAATTGGGTTTGCAAGATGCCCTCCGGCAGGGGGCGAACCTGTAGTAGGAATTTTAGTTATTTCCCAAGTTAGCCAACGTCTTGTGCATGGCACCCACTTATGTGCCAGTTGTCCAGTGAGTGCTGAGGCCCTACTATGTGCCAAGAATGCCTACTGTGTCCTGGACACCCATTATGCGCTTGTTTCATACTGCTCGCTGGGTACCTCCTGTCCTTTAGGAACTTGCTATGTGACATTGCCCTCCGTGCTGCAACCTCATGCCAGCCTTTCCCTAAGACCACAAAGGAAAATGGGGAGCCAAGTGTGAATCGGACGGGGTCAGGGCTGGGGTGTGGTGGAGCTCTTGCGTTTAGAGAGAGAGGTAGGGAGAGTTGTGCACCTCCGCCACACATAGCAGGCAGTTAAATAGAGTTAATGAATGAATGAATGAATCCATTAATGAATGGTTCTATTAAACTGATACTTAAGGTGCAACTGCTATATTCCGGTGTTCTAGATGTTGCAAATATGCGGTGAATAATAATAAAATTGCTAGCACTTATAAAAGGGAATTAGGACCGGGTTCACAATATCTCTGTGTTGAGGTGCTAACGATAGTGGGGTCCCCACGTCTTCCCATTCCTCTCTTGGACTCCCCTCCCAGCCTGTTTGAAGTGCTTTATTCACTTTAACCTCGTTTAATTTTCACAGCAACTCTATGAAGTAGGTGCCATTATTTCTCCCATTTTATCAGAGGGGAAACTAAGGCTTCGAGAAGCTAATTCACTTGCGCTAGGTCATGCAACTGGGAAGTGGCAGAGTGGGAATTTTAACCTGTGCTTTCTGGCCTAGAATCCACTTTTTTTTTTTTTTTTTTTGAGATAGGGTGTTGTTCTGTCGCCCAGGATGGCAGGATGGAGTACAGTGGTACAATTATAGCTCACTGGAACCTTGAATTCCTGAGCTCAAATAATCCTCCCACTCAGCCTCCCGTGTAGCTGGGACTACAGGCAGACACCACCACGCCCGGCTAAACTTTTGTATTTTTTGTTGAGACAGGGACATACTATGTTGCCCAGGCTGGTCTTGAACTCCTGCGCCCAAGTGATCCTCCCACCCTGGCCTCCCAAAATGCTGAGATTACAGGCATGAGCCACCACACCCAGACTCCACAATCTTAAGTACCCTGCTGTGCCCTCTCATGATCTGAGTTCACAGTCTAGTAAAAGACATTTTTTTTTTGAGATGGAGTTTTGCTCTTGTCTCCCAGGCTGGAGTGCGCTGCGACTTCTGCCTCCCAGGTTGAAGTGATTCTCCCACCTCAGCCTCCCGAGTAGCTGGGATTACAGGCACATGCCACCACATCTGCATAATTTTTGTATTTTTAGTAGAGACGGGGTTTCACCATGTTGGCCAGGCTGGTCTCGAACTCTTGACCTCAAGTGATCCACCCACCTTGGCCTCCCAAAGTGCTAGGAGTACAGATGTGAGCCACCATGCCCCACTAAAAGACATTTAACATATACAACTATACATATATACTAATTACAATTTCTGGTAAATTTGACTACCTAGAGTAATCAAATTCATAGAGACAGATATACTCATTATAATCTGTGGTAAATGCTGTGAAGGCAAAGTGGAGGACAGCCTGGGAGGACTTCTCAGAGGAGGTGGCATTAAACAAAGATCTGTGGATTGAGAAATCACCAGGGAAGAGGGAAGAAGAGTATCCCAAGTAGGGGACCAGAATATACAAAAGCCTGGAGGTAGGATGGAAAATTCCATTTGATGGCCATGTAGATAATTTAGAGCGTCACATCCTTTAGCAGGCTTTTTCAAACTTTGTGGCCAAGAGTAAGAAATACATTTCACATCCTGACCCAGTACACACACCCAAAATTGAAACCGGTTTCATTAACAATTATTGCTCTTACCACGTGTGATGCATTCTTGTTCTTTAATTATATTCTCTTTCATTTGTAAAGTGCTAGTTGTTGTTTTTTTTTTTTGCGGGGGGGGGGGCCAGGGGTGTGTTTTTGTTGTTTGTTCGTTTGTTTTTTAAGACTGAGTCTTCCTCTGTCGCCCAGGCCTGAGTGCAGTCGCACAATCTCCGGTCACTGCAACCTCCGCCTCCTTGATTCAAGTGATCGTCGTGCCTCAGTCTCCCAAGTAGCTAGGGTTATAGTTGTGCACCACCACACCCAACTAATTTTTGTATTTTTAGTAGAGATGGATTTTGCCATGTTGGCCAGGCTGGTCTCGAACTCCTAACTTCAAATGATCCACTGGCCACGGCCTCCCAAAGTGCTGGGATTACAGGCATGAGCCACTGCGCCTGGCTATTCTCTTCATTTTCAAAGTAGTAGTTTAGACGTGCATTTGAGCAGCTGTTTGTTTGTTTGTTTGAGATGGAGTCTTGCTGTGTCGCCCAGGCTAGAGTGCAGTGGTGCAGTCTTGGCTCACTGCAATCTCTACCTCCCGGGTTCAAGCAATTCTCCTGCCTTGGCCTCCTGAGTAGCTGGGATTACAGGCGCACGCCTCCACCCCCAATTAATTTTTGTATTTTTAGTAGAGACAGGGTTTCACCATCTTGGCCAGGCTGGTCTCGAACTCCTAACTTTGTGATCCACCTGCCTCGGCCTCCCAAAGTGCTGGGATTACAGGTGTGAGCCACCACACCCAGCCTCAAGTAGCTATTATTAAAAACAAAACAGAAAAGGACAAGTGTTGGCAAGAATTGTGTTGTGGAAACGTCGGAATCGTTGTGCATTGCTGTTGGGAATGTGTATAAAGTGGTACGGCTGCCATGGAAAACCGTATGGCAGTTCCTCAAAAAAATAATAAATTTTTTTTTTTTTTGGAGACAAGGTCTCACTCTGTCACCCACGCTGGAGTGCAGTGGCATGATCTTGGCTCATGGCAGCCTCTCAGGCTCCGTGAGACTTCCAGGCTCAAGCACAAGCAATCCTCCAACCTCAGCCTCCCAAGTAGCTGGGATTACAAGCATGTGCCACCATGCCCAGCTAATTTTTGTAGAGACAGGGTTTCTCCATGTTGCCCAGGCTGGTCTCGAACTCCTGGGCTCAAATGATCCACCTGCCTCAGCCTCCCATATTATGTACATTGTAACAATTTTTTTTGTTTTTGAGACAAGGTGTCAATCTGTCACCCAGCTAATTTTTTTAAAGTTTTTTTGTAGAGACCGGGTGCTGTGGCTCACACCTGCAATCCCAGCACTTTGGGAGGCCAAGGCAGGCAGATTGCGTGAGGCCGGGAATTCCAGACCAGCCTGGCCAACATGGTGAAACCCTGCCTCTATTAAAAAATACAAAACTTAGCCAGGTGCAGTGGCACGTACCTGTGGTCCCAGCTACTCAGGAAGCTAAGGCAGGAGAATCACCTGAACCTGGGAGGCAGAGGTTGTAATGAGCCAAGATCATGCCACTACACTCCAGCCTGGGTGACAGAGTGAGACTCTGTCTCAGAAAAAAAAAAAAAAAAAAAATTTCTTAGAGGCAGGTCTTCCTGTGTTGCCCAGGCTGGTCTGGAACTCCTGGGCTCACTCAAGCAGTCCTCCCACCTAGGCCTCCCAAAGTGCCACACCCAGCCATGATTTTTTAAAGTGCTAGTTTAGAGACTTTTTTTGTTTGAGACAGAGTTTCACTCTTGTTGCCCAGGCTGGAGTGTGCAGTGGCACGATCTCAGCTCAGTGCAACCTCCGCTTCCTGGTTTCAAGCGATTCTCGTGCCTCAGCCTCCTGGGTAGCTGGGATTACAGGTGCCTGCCATCACACCTGGGTGATTTTTGTATTTTTAGTAGAGATGGGGTTTCACCATGTTGACCAGGCTGGTCTTGAACTCCTGATCTCAAGTGATCCACCCACCTTGGCCTCCCAAAGTGCTGGGATTATAGTTATGAGCCACTATGCTCGGCCAGTGTGTCTGAATTCTGGGCATCTGTGTGGCCAGCTGAACCTCAGGGCATTCCAGTACTGAAGGGAGGAGGGGAGGATGGCCACTGAGGGCTAGGTAGGGATCTCTGCCTCACTGCGCCGCAGGTCCAGGTGGCCAGTGGGCTCCAGAGAGAAGGGTAGGGGTGATGGCTGCTTCATCTCCTTTTCTCTTATATCCACCCCAGATCTCGACATGGCAGGAGCTGAGGCAGCTGCAGGAGCAGATCCGGAGCCTGGAGGAAGAGAAGGCAGCTGTGACTGAGGCAGTGCGGGCCCTGCTGGTGAGCATGGTGCCCTGAGTAGGTGGGGAGTGGCCACGAGGGTGTCTCTAGACACAGGTAACAGGAAACCGAATTTAAAGAACTTGAACAGGCTGGCACGGTGGCTCACGCCTATAATCCCAGCTACTCGGGAGGCCTAGGTTGGTGGATCAGCTGAGGTCAGGAGTTTGAGACCAGCCTGGGCAACATGGTGAAACCCCATCTCTACTAAAAATACAAAAGTTAGGCGGCATGGCGGTGGACACCTGTAATCCCAGGTACTTGGGAGGCTGAGGCAGGAGAATCGCTTGAACCTAGGAGGCGGAAGTTGCAGTGAGCTGAGATGGCGCCACTGCACTCCAGCCTGGGCGACAGAGCGAGACTCCCTAAATAAATAAATAAGCAAGCGTGAACAATGTGGACATGCATTACCTCACATAGCGAGCTGTTGCAGGACCCTGGCATCCCTAGGGCTGATTAATTAGCGGTTCTTCCAGCATCCCCAGCCCAGGTCCTTTCCTTCTCTCTGTACCGGCAACTTCACTGCACTGATCTTTCCTCAGTTTCCCATCAGGGTTTCCAGATGGCTGCTGTAGTCCAGCATCTCCTCACATGACTGTGCCAGGGGAAGGAGACAGAGACTTCTCTGGCTTGAGTTCCTTTTTCAGGAGCAAGTACACCTTTCCTGAAGCATCCAGCAAAGTCCCCTCGTGTCCCCTGGGCCCAGACCCCCACCACACTCCAGTTGTCAGCCGGAGGAATGGAGTTCCGGCAGCCGGCATAGGCTGATCAGAGGCCATCCTCCACCTGGGCCCACTTCCCCTGAACTACAGGCTACCAGGGAAGGGTGAACTGCGTCAGAGTTCTGTGGGGAAGGAGGAAGAAGGGATCTTTATTTTGTTTTTATTTTTTTGAGACCGAGTCTCACTCTGTTACCCAGGCTGGAGTGCAGTGGCATGATCTGGGCTCACTGCACCCTCTGCCCCCTGGGTTCAAGTGATTCTTCTGCCTCAGCCTCCCCAGTAGCTGGGATTACAGACATGCGCCACCACGCCCGGCTAATTTTGTATTTTTAGTAGAGATAGGGTTTCACCATGTTGGCCAGGCTGGTCTCAAACTCATCACCTCAGGTGATCCACCCGCCTTGGCCTCCCAAAGTGCTGGGCTTACAGGTGTGAGCCACTGCGCCTGGCCTGGAAGGAGGGATCTTGGGTTATACAACCAACAGTGTCTGCCACAGACGGCTTAAAAACAATCATAAAAACAACAGCAGACCTTTATGTAGAAGTCGCTACACACCATACCAGGTGTTTTCCATACTCTTAATCCTCACAGCCATTTGTCACACAGGAACAATACAAACCCAATTTTACAGCTGGGAAAAAGTGAGGCCCTAAGAGATTAAAACGGGCCTAAATGGCCGGGTATGGGGGTACGCACTTGTAGTCCCAGCTACTCTGGGGCTGAGGCAGGAAGATCGCTTGAGTCCAAGAGTTTGAGGCTGCAGTTAGCTATGATCGCACCATCACACTGCAGCCTGGGCGACAGAGTGAGACCCTGTCTCCGAGAAAAAACAACCAGAAAAAGTACGTAAGTCTCACAGCCAGGAAGTGGGAGAGGCAAGGTTCGCACCTAGGCAGTTGGTTTTTACCACTCTGTTTGGAGGCCTCTGCCACCAAGAATCACATCTCCCAGCACCTACTGAGTGGCCAGCCTCGGGCTGTCTACATCATGGACAACCAATGAAAGCAACACAATGGATCATTTAATGTTCTTTGAGTGCTAACTCATCTCAGGGAAGCTGCACAACAGCCCTGCCCAGGGAGGTCCTGTTATCATCCCACTTCACAGATGGGGATACTGAGGCTCAGAGGGGGCAGAGATTTTCCCAAGGGCTCACAGCATGTAGGTGCCCAACATTCAGACCCAGGCTGTTCGATTCCCTCAGCTGCTTAGGATCATGGAAGGTTCAGAATGTCAAGGGGCCTTGGTTGCAGGCCCTCAAATGCACACTGATAGACTTTACCTCTCTGAGCTTCCATTTTCGAATCTACAGACAGGGTATATTAGTCCATTTTCTTCTTTTTTTTTTTTGAGACAGAGTCTCACTGTGTCACCCAGACCAGAGTACAGTGGCACGATCTCGGCTCACTGCAACCTCCACCTCCCAGGTTCAAGGGATTCTCGTGCCTCAGCCTCCTGAGTCGCTGGGATTACAGGCACGTGCCACTGCACCCAGCTAATTTTTTTTTGAGACTGAGTCTCGCTCTTCCACCTAGGCCAGACTGCAGTGGCACTATCTCGGCTCACTGTAAGCTTTGCCTCCCGGGTTCACGCCATTCTCCTGCCTCAGCCTCCCGAGTAGCTGGGACTACAGGCGCCCGCCACCGCGCCCAGCTAATTTTTTTTCTGTATTTTTAGTAGAGACCATGTTAGCCAGGATGGTCTCGATCTCCTGACCTCGTGATCCGCCCGCCTCAGCCTTCCAAAGTGCTGGGATTACAGGCGTAAGCCACCAAGCCCGGCCTGATTTTTGTATTTTTAGTACAAGGTTTTAGAGATGAGGTTTCTCCATGTTGGCCAGGCTGCTCTCCAACTGCTGGCCTCAGGTGATCTGCCCACCTCAGCCTCCCAAAGTGCTGAGATTACATTTGTGAACCACCACGCCTGGCCCCATTTTCACACTGCTATAAAGAAAACCTGAGGCCGGGCGCGGTGGCTCACGCCTGTAATCCCAGCACTTTGGGAGGCCGAGGTGGGCGGATCACGAGGTCAGGAGATCGAGACCATCCCGGCTAAAACGGTGAAACCCCGTCTCTACTAAAAATACAAAAAAATTAGCCGGGCGTAGTGGCGGGCGCCTGTAGTCCCAGCTACTAGGGAGGCTGAGGCAGGAGAATGGCGTGAACCCGGGAGGCGGAGCTTGCAGTGAGCCGAGATCCCCCCACTGCACTCCAGCCTGGGCGACAGAGCGAGACTCCGTCTCAAAAAAAAAAAAAAAAAAAAGAAAACCTGAGATCAGGCTGGGCGCGGTGGCTCACGCCTGTAATCCCAGCACTTTGGGAGACCAAGGCAGGTGGATCACAAAGTCAGGAGATCGAGACCATCCTGGCTAACATGGTGAAACCTTGTCTCTACGAAAAATACAAAAAAAATTAGCCGATCGTGGTGGCGGGCACCTGTAGTCCCAGCTACTCAGGAGGCTGAGGCAGGAGAATGGCGTGAACCCAGGAGGTGGAGCTTGCAGTGAGCCAAGATCGCGCCATTGCACTCCAGCCTGGGCGACAGAGCAAGACTCCGTCTCAAAAAAAAAAAAAAGAATACCTGAGACTGGGTAATTTATAAAGAAAAGAGGTTTAATTGACTCACAGTTCCATATGGCTGGGAGGCCTCAGGAAACTTAAAATCATGGCGGAAGGGGAAGCAAGGCACTTTCCCTTCCACATGGTGGCTGGAGACAGCCACAGGGGGTAACTGCCAAATGCTTTTAAACCATCAGATCTCGTGAGAACTCACTATCAGGATAACAGCATGGGGGAAACCGCCCCCAGGACCCGATCACCTCCCACCAGGTCCCTTCCTCAACAGGTGGAATTACAATTTGAGATATTATTTGGGTGGAGACACAGCCAAACCATATCACAGGGTTTACACGAATGCCTACCTCCTAAAGTGGATTTTGAAGAAATCATGGCATGGGAGAGCCCTGTACATAGAGCCTGGCATGGAGGCATCACTTCCTATACGGATCTGCGGCTGTGATTACTGTTAATTATCTTGCCTCCTTGTAGCGTTAGCAATAGAGAAACAGAAACACAGAGTTGCAGAGGGACCCAGCTAGGCACTGACAGAGCAGGAGACTAAGATCCTCTGGCCTTGTTTGACCTTTCACCATTTTTTCTCTTCCCCACCCTCGACTTTGTCAACCTAATCACCCACCCTGTCTCTTTTCTACCAGGCAAACCAGGACAGTGGTGAAGTGCAGCAGGTACTGTGAAGAGTTGATGTCCTATCCAGGGTTGGGGGTGGGCAGGGAGGATACCCTGCCAGTCACGATTCTACTATTGTAACAGAAAACAACTCAAACAGGTTTAAGGGGAAAAAAAAAATAGGCTCTATTGATGCATGAAACTAAAACTGGCTTCAGGTGCGGCTGGATCCAGGTGCTGGCTCCATATTTGGTCCTACGTTCCTCCCATTCCCAGGCCAGCTTTCTCTCCTTGTGTAAGTAGGAGGCAAAGTCAAGCACGCTTTCCTGATAGTTCCAGTTAAAGTCCTGGGGCTGATTCTCATGAGTTCAGCTGACATCAGGTGCCTGTCTCTGAGCCAGTCATTGTGGCCAAGGCAATAGAACGTTCTAGTTGGCCAGGCCTGATTCTTTTCCCCACAAACCTGCCATGTGGTGGTAAGGGAAGTTCTGCGAAGACGTTCAGGATCCTGGGCCTGGAGAAGAGGCATGAATGTCCACCACAGGGGCTCTGCCGGTCAGGATCAAGGTCACACTGGATGAGGGAGTCCTGACCCTCTCCCGGGCTGAGCCCACCTGTGCTGCCCCCAGGACCCCAAGTACCAGGGTCTGCGGGCACGTGGCCGGGAGATCCGGAAGGAGCTTGTTCACCTGTACCCCAGGGAGGCCCAGCTTGAGGAGCAGTTCTACCTGCAGGCGCTGAAGCTGCCCAACCAGACCCACCCAGACGTGGTGAGCACCGTGCTGGGTGGCAGGGAGGCCAGGGGCCCACCTAGTGCCACCTTTCCGTGACTCCTGCTGTCTCCCTGCAGCCCGTCGGGGATGAGAGCCAGGCTCGAGTGCTCCACATGGTCGGAGACAAGCCAGGTGGGCCACACCCCAGGCCTGGGAGCTGACAAGCCCTGCGGTGTGGGGGTTCTGGGGTCTCGGGGTGGGGGCCCCTGGGGTCTGGGAACATGTCTGGAGCCTGGAGAACTCCTGGCGGTACAGGAGGTGGCTCCAGCTTCCTGCCTTGGCCGAGCTCGAGCTGTCTCTGAGAGGCGGTCCTTGGGTTTTCATTCTCTCCCCCTTCACCATTGGGCAGTCTCACCCTGTGTTGTGTGATTGTATCGTATGTGTGTGAGTGTGTGTCGTGTATGTATGTGTTGTGTGACTGTGTGTCATGTGTGTCTGTATCTGTGTGTCTGTATCTGTATGTGTGTGTCTGTATCTGTGTATCTGTGTGTGTCTGTATCTGTGTATCTGTGTGTGTCTGTATCTGTGTGTGTGTGTCTGTGTTTGTGTGTGTCTGTATCTGTGTCTGTGTCTGTGTGTGTGTGTCTATGTGTGTGTCTATCTCTGTGTGTGTATATCTGTGTTTGTGTGTGTGTGTGTCTGTGTGTGTCTATGTATCTGTGTGTATGTATCTGTGTGTCTTTCTCTGTGTCTGTGTGTATGTGTCTGTCTCTGTGTGTCTGTGTGTGTATCTGCATATCTCCGTGTATCTCTGTGTGTATGTCTGTATCTGTGTCTGTGTATCTGTGTCTTTGTGTGTATCTGTGTGTGCGTGTCTGTCTTTGTGTGTCTGTATCCGTGTATCTGTGTGTCTGTCTCTGCGTGTCTGTGTATGTGTCTGTCTCTGTGTGTCTGTATATGTGTGTGTGTCTTCGTACCTCTGTGTGTATCTCTGTGTGTGTATGTATGTGTGTGAGTGTGTGTGTGTCTCTGTCTCTCTCTCTGACCCCCCTGCTTTGGTCCCTGTCTCCGGGGCTTTTTCTCCCCAA
The DNA here is from genome assembly GCF_000001405.40 of Homo sapiens. Taxonomy (NCBI): domain Eukaryota; kingdom Metazoa; phylum Chordata; class Mammalia; order Primates; family Hominidae; genus Homo; species Homo sapiens. The sequence goes on along the minus strand of NC_000019.10, from coordinate 38,920,495 downwards.
CTCTGTGCCTCCTCTCTGATTCTCCTCCTCCCTTCCTCGTGGTGTTTCCTTCTCCTCTGGCCTCTCTCCTCTGTTTCTAACTCTGCCTTCCCCACCCCGCGCCCTCTTATTTCCCTCTCTGCCTCCTCTCATTTCCTCTCCCTGTCTCTGTTTTTATCTCCCTCCCTTCCTGTCTGTCTTTTCTTCCCTTTCCCTCCCTTTCCGTGTCTTCTTCTCCCTTCTCTCCTCCTGCCCCTCCTTTATTTTCTCTCACCGTCCCTCCTCTCTGCTGTCTCTGGAAGCTTCTATCTGGGCCCCATCCCTCTCTCCCCGCTGCCTTACACCGGTGCTTTTCACCCACATCCAGTTTTCTCCTTCCAACCTCGGGGCCACCTGGAAATTGGCGAGAAACTCGACATCATCCGTCAGAAGTGAGCCCCTCCCCTGGCTCCCCACGCCCCTCTCCCAGCTGCCTGCACCCCGACAGCTGGCTCCTGCCTCATTGGCCTCAGCGTGAGATGTGGAAATGCCATGAATCTTTGATGCCCCAGCCCCACCCAGCAGCCGGGCCTCTTCCCCCGGGTGTTTTCATCCCCACATTCCCTGCCAGCCTGGCCCATGTGCACCCGCCTGTCTGTCTGTCTCCCAGGCGCCTGTCCCACGTGTCTGGCCACCGGTCCTATTACCTGCGCGGGGCTGGAGCCCTCCTGCAGCACGGCCTGGTCAACTTCACATTCAACAAGCTTCTCCGCCGGGTATGGGCCAAGATAGGAGGGCTGCCTGGAGGGGGTGGCATCGAAGCTGAGCTCAGAGGGCCCAACGGGGATGGGAGTGATCTCTGCTCTGCCCTAGTCACTGCTCTCAGAGCTTCATGTGTATCATTGACACATTTAGTCCTTACGACAACTTTATGAAGTGGGTGCTGTCATCATCCCCACTTTACAGAGAGGGCTTGAGGCCCAGAGAGGGGAGGTACCTATAGCCCAAGGTCTCACAGCCAGTCTGGAGCTGGGCCTAGAGCCTGTGCTTGTAATCATTGCACCTCACTGCCTGCTTGCGGTATAAAGGGAGCATTTGGGAATCATAGCATCCATTGAAACATGGCAGGGACTGGTTGCATGGAGCATTGGTCACGGTGAGGAACTCAGACATTTTCAGAGGGTACTAGGGAGCCATGGGAGGCTTTTAAGCAGGGGAGGGTGTGGCCAAATCTGTACTTTTTTGTTTTTTGAGACGGAGTCTCGCTCTGTCACCCAGGCTGGAGTACAGTGGTGCAATCTTGGCTCACTGCAACCTCCACCTCCCGGGTTTAAGTAATTCTCCTGCCTCAGCCTCCTGAGTAGCTGGGATTACAGGCACATGCCACCATGCTGGCTAATTTTTTTTTTTTTCTTTTTGACAGAGTTCGCTCTGTCACCCAGACTGGAGTGCAGTAGCACGATCTCCATGCCGGCTAATTTTTGCCTTTTTAGTGGAGAGGGGGTTTTGCCATGTTGGCCAGGCTGGTCTCAAACTCCTGGCCTCAAGTGATCCGCCCACCTCAGCCTCCCAAAGTGCTGGGATTACATGGGTGAGCCACTGCGCCAGCCCCTGCCTCAGTTTCGTCTGAGGAGGAAGGGGCTCTGCAGCACCCCTTCTTCAGGGCTGAGCTTGGGGTCTGGTAGGGGTCCCAGCTCTGCTCACTCATCCTCTCCCCTGAACAGGGCTTCACCCCCATGACGGTGCCAGACCTTCTCCGCGGAGCAGTGTTTGTGAGTGAGGCCTCTCCGCTTCCCTCGCCCACCTGGGTGTCAGGCCCTGCCGTGGGTGCCCGAGGCAGGGAAACCTGAGGAGACCGCCCTGGGGCTGGGTTGAGGGGGCCAGGCCATACCAGGGAGGCCAGGGCAGCTCCAGATGTTTTCAGGGGAGGAGCTGGGGTTGGGACTGTAAAACGAGAGGCCAGGGTTACCTGTCCCCTGATCCCTGTGGCCTGGCCTCCTCCCCCAGGAAGGCTGTGGGATGACACCAAATGCCAACCCATCCCAAATTTACAACATCGACCCTGCCCGCTTCAAAGATCTCAACCTGGCTGGAACAGCGGAGGTGGGGCTTGCAGGTGAGGACCTGTGTGGGTGGTGGGGAGGAGCAGGAGTGATGTGGAAGGACAACTGGGAGCGTCCAGGGAGCACTGGGGGGGATCACCTGCCCCGAGCAGCTCAGCAGCCCCAGGGCCAACATGTACGGCTGTGTAGGTTGTTTACTGTACAGCAGTACAGTGATAATCCAGCCCCGGGCCTTGACCTGGGGTTGCATCCACCAGAGGGAGTGCCTCTTAATCTTCCAAAGGCTTCCTCTGGGCACTGGCAGCCCTGGCTCACCCTGTGGTCTCTCCTCCCAGGCTACTTCATGGACCACACCGTGGCCTTCAGGGACCTGCCAGTCAGGTGACACCTGGTTTCCTTAGACCTTGACCCCACCTGTGACAATCAGTCTTCCCTCCTTGACCCGACTTTCCCTGCTCTCTGCCAGGATGGTTTGCTCCAGCACCTGCTACCGGGCAGAGACAAACACGGGACAGGAACCCCGGGGGCTGTATCGAGTACACCACTTCACCAAGGCTGGTGTCGCTGGGACTAAACGGGGCTGGGGTGGGGGGCCACCCCAAGAGCTCAGAGCCTCCTGACTCCTGTGCCCTCTGTCCCAGGTGGAGATGTTTGGGGTGACAGGCCCTGGGCTGGAGCAGAGCTCACAGCTGCTGGAGGAGTTCCTGTCCCTTCAGATGGAGATCTTGACAGAGCTGGGCTTGCACTTCCGGTGTGGAGAGGGGCCAGGGATCCAGGGATGGCAGGGGTGGGGTAGGGGAGGGACAAGGGGCTGGCCAGCTGCTCTTCGCTCTGGAACCACCTCTCCAGCCCCCTCGTTGCCCCCATTTTCCTGTACAAGGATTACAGGAGCATATACAGGATCCCAATCTGTCTGCCGTGTGCCGGTCGTCCCTCACAGGACTGTAACAGAAGCACGAACAGTGCACGGTGTGCCAGAGTGGAGACCCGGGCCCCTTTCCTCCTGCTGCTCCCCCTCTCTCTGGGCCACTGCCTCATCTGTGCAACCCAAGATACTTTTTCACCTCCCAGTGGAGAGTGGGGGTGGGAAAAGGGGGAGCCAGAGGTTGGGAACCCCACTTCCTCTCACCCTGTCAGTCACACGCAGCTTTCAAGAGAGGCTGAGAAATGTGGACTTCTTTTCTGGGTGACCCATTGTAAAAAACTGGGAGCGTAAGCCGGGTGTGGTGGCTCACGCCTGTAATTCCAGCACTTTGGGAGGCCATGGCAGGAGGATTGCTTGAGGCCAGGAGTTCAAGACCAGCCTGGGCAACACAGCGAGAGCTCGTCTTTACGTTTTTTAAAATTAGCCGGGTATGGTGGCACACACCTGTGGTCCCAGCTACTTGGGAGACTGAGGCAGGAGAATTGCTTGAACCCAGGAGGTGGAGGCTACAATGAGCTGTGATCATGCCACTGCACTCTAGCCTGGGGCAACAGAGTGAGACCCTGTCTCTAAAAAAAAAAAATAAAGGCCAGGCACGGTGGCTCACACCTACAATCCCAGCACTTTGGGAGGCCGGGACAGGCGGATCACCTGAGGTCAGGAGTTCAAGACCAGCCTGGCCAACATGGTGAAACCCCATCTATACTAAAAATATAAAAATCAGCCGGGCATGGTGGCACACACCTGTAATCCCATCTACTCAGGAGGCTGAGACAGGAGAATCACTTGAACCCTGAAGGTGGAGGTTGCAGTGAGCCGAGATCGCGCCACTGCTCTCCAGCCTGGGCAACAGAGCCAGACTCCGTCTCAAAAAAAAAAAAAAAACCGAGGGTGCCTAGAAGGTGCAAATGTGTGAATGGCCACTGTGAAGAGCCGGTGGACCCTGCCACGTGCCTTTTTCCCCTCCCATCAACCTCTTTTGTGCTTCCCCCTCCATGTACCACCTTCTCCATAACCACCCCTGGCCTCACAACTCTCTCCTTTGGCACTATCGTCTCCTTTTTTTTGTTTGTTTTTTTGGAGTAGATGAGGTCTCCTTATGTTGCCCAGGCTGGTCTCAAACTCCTGGGCTTTTTCCTGCTTTTTGGCTGCCTTCTCTTCCATCGTTTCCATTTGTTCCTCTTGCTCCTCCTCTCACCCGCTGACCTTCCCCACACCTTCGTCCTTGACCGCAGGGTCCTGGATATGCCCACCCAAGAACTGGGCCTCCCCGCCTACCGCAAGTTTGACATTGAGGCCTGGATGCCAGGCCGAGGCCGCTTTGGAGAGGTGAGCCCTGTGCCGCTGGGGACGGGGTGGGCAGGAGGACAGGCCTGCCCCCCATCCCTGATCCGCTCAGCCTGCCGCTCCTCCACCCCAGGTCACCAGTGCTTCCAACTGCACAGACTTCCAGAGCCGCCGCCTCCACATCATGTTCCAGACCGAGGCTGGGGAGCTGCAGTTTGCCCACACGGTGAGGCCCGCACAGCCTCCTGCCCGCGTGCCCTCGCCCGCAGCCTCTGCCGCCCTAGACCCACCCACCTTGGCTCCTCCCCGGGCTCAGCTTGGGGTGGGCGCCAGTTCCGAGCATGGCTGTCTCACAGGTGAACGCCACCGCCTGTGCTGTCCCCCGCCTTCTCATCGCGCTCCTGGAGAGTAACCAGCAGAAGGTGAGGGGCTGAGGGGCCCACCCAGAGAGGCAGCTCAGCGCCGGGGAGGGCTGGGGCATCTGCAGTGTCCTGAGGTCTGCTCTGTCCCCAGGACGGCTCAGTGCTCGTGCCCCCTGCCCTCCAGTCCTACCTCGGCACTGATCGGATCACAGCCCCTACCCACGTGCCTCTCCAGTACATCGGCCCCAACCAGCCCCGGAAGCCTGGGCTGCCTGGCCAGCCTGCTGTAAGCTAAGAACCCACCCACAGCAGCCCTCGGGGGTGTCACTGCTTCCTGGAGTTCAGGAGACCCCGGACACCTGGGACCTGTGTTGCTGAGCCCGTCCTGACATCTGTGTTCTTCCTGTCAGCTCCACGCCCGGGCCCCTGGACCACGGGGTCCACCTCTCCTCTGTCCTTGCTGCCTCAGAGTCAGTCACTGACCCTGTTATCATTGAGGGTCCCAGTGGGAAGCAGGACGTCTGGGCTTTACGGTTCTAGGGACAGGAGAAGCAGAGGAAGAGGCTTCCATCCCTCCTTCCTTCTTTCCTCCTACAGTGCTGAGCAAAAAGTCCCCAATAAATGGTCAGGACAAAGGCCTCTGTGGATCTGTGAACAAGGGAGATGCCTGGCTCTCTAGGAGCTGCTGAGCAGCCGCTTGGAGGCACTATCCTCAAAGGGTCTGTGGCTGCAAAGACCATGGCTGGAAGTGCCTAGCCACCCCCCAGTGCACATGGAGGCTGGCCTGGGGCCACCAGGGTTGCTGAGAGGATGCTGAATTCTCTCCCCTTCCTCTGGGACAAGCCAGAACAGAGTCACCCTCTGAGGGTTCCTTCGAGCTGACCCCAGCCCCAGCCTCACCCCTCAGTCCCCAGCTCCCCATGCAGCTGTCCCTTCTGCAGCTCCAGGTAGGGGCCCAGTGGGCATCCCAAACTCAGGGAAGCTACCTGGTCCTCTGATCACTTGGCCTGCACCTGCTCCTCCTCAGGCATGCCCATCCCAGCACATTCTCCCGGCTGCCCAGGCCACAGCCCTTCGGGTTAGCCTCGACTTTTATCTCATATCCACTCCACTTCATTAGCAACCCTGGCAACACCGCCTTCAGAATATTTCCAGAATCTGGCCAGGTACAGTGGCTCACGCCTGTAATCCCAGCACTTTGGGAGGCTAAGGCAGGCGGATCACCTGAGGTCAGTTCAAGACCAGCCTGGCCAACATGGTGAAACCCCATCTCTACTAAAAATACAAAAATTAGCTGGGCGTGGTGGCGCACGCTTGTAATCCCAGCTACTCGGGAGGCTGAGGCAGGAGAATCACTTGAACCTGGGAGGCGGAGGTTGTGGTGAGTGGAGATCGCGCCACTGCACTCCAGCATGGGCTACAGTGCGAGACTCCATCTAAAAAAAAAAAGAGCTGGGTGTGGTGGCGGGCACCTGTAATCCCAGCTGCTTGGGAGGCTGAGGCAGAATTCTTGAACCCGGGAGGCAGAGGTTGCAGTGAGCTGGGATCACACTACTACACTCCAGCCTGGGTGACAGAGCGAGACTCTGTCTCAAAAAAGATTTCCAGACTCTGCCTACTGTTCTCTCCTCCCTGACCCCACCTGGGCCCTGCTCCCCGATCCCTCCCCTTTGGTTAACCCTGGAAGCCTCTTCACTGGCTCCCTGTTCTCCATCCTCGCCACACAGCCAGAGGGACCTGTGAGCACCTCAGCTGGGTGTCCCACCCCTGCTCAGAGGTCTCCTGTGGCTTCGTCTCAGAGTAAAAGGGTAAAGTGGTCATCGAGGCCCCTAAGACCCCACCTGAGCTGCTCCACCTTCCTCTTCAGCCCATCTTTCTGTCTTGTTTGGTCCACCCGACCCGCCTTGACATTGAAACTCTCCAAACTCCTTCCTGACTCGTGCACTTACATTGGTGAGTCTCCCTCTCTGGCTGTCTCTCCCCTAGATGGTGTGTGCTGGCCTCCATCTTGTCACTCAGGCCTTAGCTCAAATGTCACCTCTTCCAAGAAGTCTTCCGTGACCACAGTAAAACCCCCCCAGCACTCAGTACCTACATCTGAGATACTTTTTTTTTTTTTTTTTTTTTTTTTTGAGATGGAGTCTCACTGTCCCAGGCTGGAGTGCAGTGGTGTGATCTCGGCTCACTGCAACCTCTGAGAGATTCTTTTGCCTCAGCCTCCCGCATAGCTGGGATTACAGGGAGGTGCCACCATGTCCGGCTAATTTTTTGTATTTTTAGTAGAGGCAGGGTTTCGCCATGTTGACCAGGCTGGTCTTGAACTCCTGACCTCAGGTAATGCACCTGCCTTGGCCTCCCAAAGTGCTGGGATTACAGGCATGAGCCACCACGCCCAGCCTGAGATACTATATTTTTGATGCATTTCTGCCTTCTTTCCTTAATATGTATTGATGTGTGTCAAATACCAGCTCCAGGAGGGCAGAGGTATCCACCCATTGGCTCAGGGCTGTAGCCTCAGGTCTAAAAGAGGACCTGGCATGTAGTAGATGCTCAACAAAAATTACTGCACTGAAGATGCTTGGACGTGTGCCGTTCCCAGTACCAGGCACTTCCCTAAACACTGTACACACAACTATTTAATCCTCACTGTCCAACTGTAGAGTAGGTTGTCACCAACCCTATTTACAGTGAGGAAACAGGTCTTAGAGAAGTTAAGCGGTTATCCTGGGCTGCACAGCTGGCACGTGGTGGAGCTGGGGCTTAGGCCAGAAGCCAACTGCAGCCTCTGAGGAAGCGGGTTTATGAGACCCACTCTCAGCCAAGCATAGTGGCTCACCCACGCCTGTAGTCCCAGCACTTCAGGAGGCCCAAGTGGGCGGATCATTTGAGGTCAGGAGTTTCAGACCAGTCTAGGCAACATAGCAAGAACCCCTCTCTACAAAAAATGAAAAAAATTACTGTGGCATGATAATGCAAGCCTGCAGTCCCAACTGATCTGGAGGCTGAGGCAGGAGGATCCCTTGTGTGAGAGTTTGAGGCACTGCACTCCAGCCTGTAACAAGACCCTGTGAGAAAACAGGCCCAGGAAGGGAAGGAGTTGCCTGGGGACCATCTGTGAGTGGCTGCTTCTGGGTTCCCACCCCGGTCCACCTGCCAGCGTGGAGGGCGAGTGTACCAGACCCTGCTGCTCTGGGAAGAGATCCCCCCAGGCCAGGTGTGGCACCTCAGGCCTGTAATCCCAGCACTTTGGGAGGCCCAGACGAGAGGATCACTTGAGCCCAGGAGTCTGAGACCAACCTGGCCAACAAAGTGAGACCCTGCCTCTACAAAAAATAAACATTATTAGCCAGATATGGTGGTACACGCCTGTGGTCCCAGCTACTCGGGAGGCTGAGGTGGGAGGATCAAGTGTGTTCAGGAGCCTGCAGTGAGCTGTGATGGCGCCACTGCACTCCAGCCTGGGTGACAGAGCCAGACCGTGTCTCAAAAAAACGAAAAAAGGGAGGCCTCCACCATCTGCGCTGAGCTCCTGGCCTGAAGCCTCGAGGGGAGCGCGTGCAGGGCGGAGGCCTCATGAATAATTGAGGGTCTCAGGCAGGCAGCCGCCCCGCAGATGTCGCCCCGCCGCGGGCGGGGAGGGGGCGGGGGTGACATCATTTCCTCCCCTGCAGGGTCCCCGCGTGGGTTATAAGGCGCTGCAACCCTGGCCCGCACAGCGCCTTGGACCCGTTGGACGCCCACCATGCCGCCCCGAGGGCCAGCCTCTGAGCTGCTGCTGCTGCGGCTGCTCCTGCTGGGGGCGGGTGAGTGCGGGACCTGCCGAGTGCGGGACCTGCCAGGGGCCGGGGAGCGGGGACTCCAGTGGGAGGGGGCAGGCAGTGCACCCAGTGGAGAGGCTTCAGGGGCCGAGCCTCCAGCGGGGGACAGTACACCCGCCGGGTGGGATGGGGAGGGGATGTGTGGGGACCGGGACGCCCATGGAGCTGGGGTCGGTACCGGGGACAGCAGCCAGGGCGGCAAAGCCCAGTGCCATCTCCTTTCTCCACAGCCACCGCTGCTCCCTTGGCACCGAGACCCTCCAAGGAGGAGGTGAGGAGTGTGGAGGCCTTGCCCTGCCTCACCTAGCTGGGGCCCTGCCCTCCCTGCACAGCCTGCCCCATGATCCTCATTGCCCTCAAACCAGCTGCTCTCCTCCCCATCTCCCCTGCCCTCAACCTCCCCTCTGACCCGGCACCCCTGCCCCCCAGCTGACCCGCTGTCTGGCAGAGGTGGTCACAGAGGTGCTGACCGTGGGCCAGGTCCAGAGAGGACCCTGCACTGCTCTTCTCCACAAGGGTAAGGAGGCCCCGGGCCCCACTTGCCCTCCACAACCCCATGGGACCCTACCCTACCCCACCCAGGGTCCTGCCCAGGTGCCCACATGCTCTCCCACCCAGGCTACCTGGAGGAAGAGGTCCTCATTCCCAGAGCCCTGTTGCCTGGACCAGCGGGGCACTGCCCAGCATTCACACCTGACAGAGCCTGGCCACCAGCAACACCCTTGTGGTTCCCTGCAGAGGGGCCAGATGGGGCAGGGAACATCCCCTCCCAGGTGGGATGAAATAGGACCCTCCCCCTGTAGTCTGGGCAGCCCCCCTGTGAGACCTTCGGCAGGGCCCAGAACTCCTCAAGGCCTCAGTTTCCCAATTCAAACTCCTGACCTCAGGTGATCGGCCGCCACGGCCTCCCAAAGTGCTGAGATTACAGGCGTGAGCCTCCATACTCGGCCTCAGTTTCCCAATTGGATGCTTAGAGAGTGTCCTTTCCCTTTCTGCCAGAGTTGTGCGGGACAGAGCCCCACGGCTGTGCGTCCACCGAGGAGAAAGGCCTGCTGCTTGGGGATTTCAAGAAGCAGGAGGCTGGGAAGATGAGGTCCAGCCAGGAGGTGAGGGATGAGGAAGAGGAGGAGGTAGCAGAGAGGACCCACAAGTCTGAGGTCCAGGAACAAGCCATCCGCATGCAAGGGCATCGCCAGCTCCACCAGGAGGAGGACGAGGAGGAGGAGAAGGAGGAGAGGAAGAGGGGGCCCATGGAGACCTTTGAGGACCTGTGGCAGCGGCATCTAGAGAATGGAGGGGACCTCCAGAAGCGGGTGGCAGAGAAGGCCAGTGACAAAGAGACGGCCCAGTTCCAGGCAGAGGAGAAGGGGGTGCGGGTGCTGGGCGGGGACCGCAGCCTGTGGCAGGGGGCCGAGAGAGGCGGAGGAGAGAGGCGCGAGGACTTGCCCCACCACCACCACCACCACCACCAGCCAGAGGCTGAGCCCAGGCAGGAGAAGGAGGAGGCTTCGGAGAGGGAGGTGAGTAGGGGGATGAAGGAGGAACACCAACACAGTTTGGAGGCAGGGTTGATGATGGTCAGTGGAGTCACAACTCACAGCCACCGGTGTTGGCCCTGCACCACCAGATCCATCACTAGTGGATCACAGTGGCCAAGACTGACACCACGACTGGCTAACAACTTCCGTGCAAGGCCTTTACCTTATACTTCCACACTACTGTATGGACTACAGCAACCAAGATGGCACCATTGCACAGAAGCAAGCCACCATCACTAGCAAGTTGGCCACTGTGAAAAGTGGCTGCTGTGCCTACTTCACTAGGTGACAGACAGACACCATTGCTGGGTCATGGAAAACAAGATGTCACCATGATTGGTGGCACCAAAAGTGCCGTAACAGGGTGGGCATGGTGGCTCACACCTGTAATCCTAGGGAGGGTTAATCCTTTCAGAGGCCAAGGTGGGAGAATCCCTTGAGGCCAGGAGTTTGAGACCAGCGTGGGCAACATAGTGAAACCGTGACTCTACAAATAATTTAAAAAATTAGCCAGCAATGGTGGCGCACGCCTGTGGTCCCAGCTCTCAGGAGGCTGAGGTGGTGGGATTGCTTGAACCCGGGAGTTTGAGGCTGCATTGAGTCATGATTGTGCCACAGCAGTCCCGCCTGGGCCACAGAGCAAAACCATCTTAAAAAAAAAAAAAAAAAATGGCTGGGCATGGTGGTTCGTGCCTGTAATCCCAGCACTTTGGGAGGCTGAGGCGGGAGGATTACCTGAGGTCAGGAGTTCGAGACCAGCCTGGCCAACATGGTGAAACCCTGTCTCTACTAAAAATACAAAAAATCAGCCAGGCATGGTGTTGCATGCCTGTAATCCCAGCTACTCGGGAGGCTGAAGCAGGAGAATCACTTGAACTCGGGAGGTGGAGGTTACAGTGAGCCGAGATCGTGCCACTGTACCCCAGCCTGGGTGACAGAGCGAGACTCCATCTTAAAAATAAAAATAAAGCGCCATCACGAGGTGCTCATCCCAGGCACCTTTGCCAGTGCCAAGCTACTGCTGTTGGCTGTGGTCGCGTTAGCCAGCACCACTCTTCCGGGGTTATGGCAATCAGCATGGTCACCATCGCGGTCCACGACGATCAGAACGACCGCTGCTGGATGCCACTATGAGAACCGACATGGCCCACAATCACAGTGACCGAGGTGGCCTGCCTTTGAAGGTGGGTGCTGACTACCCCGTTTCTGACCCCACCAGGAAAAGGAGGTGGAGCAGCTGGAGCACTTGAGAGACGAACTGAAGAAGGTGACAGAGACGCTGGGGGAGCAGCTCAGGAGGGAGGGCTGACCCCTACCTCAGTCCCTCCTTCCTCCTGACACACCCTGTGGCTTAGGACTGTTGACCCCGAAGCCTCCACCTCACCTAGCACCCCACGCCACCCCTACCCAAACAGGGGAGGAGGCGGACGTGCCTTGGAACCACACCCAAGGAGGTGAGTCTGAGCTGGGCCGGGGGCTGGGCTCAGCCCTGACACAGGAAGCACCCCCACACCTATGCACTCCCACTCCAACCCTTCTGAGTGAATAAAGCACAAAGAAACGCACCCTGCCTCCGTGAGCAGCACTTGATGTGACAGGGATGGGCCCCAGAAGGACCCGGAGGACTGGGAAGACAAGATCAGTCTGGTCTCTGGTTGTCAGAACTAGGGTTTTGTTTATTAAACTGGAAATTATATTAACAATGAAACAAATCACACGGGGCGGGGGTCGTCAGGAAGAGGTTTTGAGGCTGGGGTGGGAGGCAGCCGGGTTTGGCTGCGGCTGCTGTGAACCACAATGTCGTCGTATTCATCCTGGGGGCAAAGGGGACCAGGCAGAGGGGCTCAGGCGGCTGTCACTTTGCCCACCACCCATGTCCTCATAGAGCACCCTAAGAATTAGGTCTCGCCTCAAAGCCCAAGTTCCCCTGCTCCTGGCTCAACCTCCCAGTTTCCTAGCTCTCAGAACTCCATTTTCTTTTCTTTCTTTTTTTTTTTTTTTTTTTTAAGATGGAGTCTCGCTCTGTTGCCCAGGCTGGAATGCAGTGGCGTGATCTAGGTTCACTGCAACCTCCACCTCCCAGGTTCAAGCAATTCTCCTACCTCAGCCTCCCAAGTAGCTGGGATTATAGGCATGCGCCACCACGCCCAGCTAATTTTTGTATTTTTAGTAGAGACAGGGTCTTGCCATGTTGGCCAGGCTGGTCTCGAACTCCTGACCTCGTGATCTGCCTGCCTCGGCCTCCCAAAGTGCTGGGATTACAGGCGTGAGCCACCGCACCTGGCCAGAACTCCATTTTCAAGGTCATTTCTACAGACCAATTTCTAGCCAGCCGCCACTCCAGAGTTTCGGCAACTGAGCTGGCCCTCCTCCACCCCTTCCCTCTGCCTTTACCCAAATTCCTCCGCACCCATCATCCAGCACCGCGCCTTGCCCAAGGACGGATCTGTATTGCTGGGTTCTCTGACTATATCTCTCCCCACCGCTGGCTCGGGTCCTGCCCCAGCACTGCCGGTGTTCAAATCACTGCCACCCAAGGTTTTCTTTTCGCAGTGTGAGTTCTCCAATTCTTGCTGCCTAAAATCACCCCCAGCGCTACCACCCACCCCCGCTGTGTTCACCAATCACTGCGACCAACGCCTTTTCTCCACCCCTGCCTGAGTTCTACCTTTGCCACTGCCTTAGTTTTTCAGCCACTTCTGCCCAAGCTCTTCCCACCACCCCTGTCCAGGTCTCTCCTGACTAGTGCCCCGTGTCACTGGCGCTGCTGCCTGAGTTCTCTAACAGCAGCCCAAGGTCGGTGCCTAATTATCTTCTTGGGCTTCTTGCCTGCCGGTCTATCCTGACCCCCCAGCTGGGCTGCCCTGTCTCTCCTCCTGACTCACGCCCTCGTCTCCGCTGTCGCTGTCGCTACTGCTGCTGCAGGGGCCGGATTTCTCGTCCTCGCCCTCGGGCTCAGGGGCTCCGTGTGCACGGAGGAGGCGGGCGAGGATGGGGTTGGGCCGGAGCATGGCACTGCCGAGTGGGGTGCGGCCACCGTACATGCGGGCAGCAGGGTTCGCGCCTGCCCTCAGGAGAAGCTCCAGCACATCGGCTGCCTGGGCCTCCACTGCCAAATGAAGGGGGCTCCGGCCGCACGTGGGCTCCTGTGGGGGTGCAACAGAAAGGTCAGAGGGCCCGAAGAGGGGACAAGCCCCCTCCCGCCGACGGCATCTTCCCCGAGGTTGGGGCTCACCGGTTTGTCAAGGTCAGCTCCAGCATCTCGGAGCAGCCGGACCATCTCCACATCTTTGTGGATAACGGCCACGTGGAGTGGGGTGTGGCCTGGGGACAGAGTGATTGGCGTCAGATGATGAGGTGAGGGCCCCCCCCACCCCACCGTGCTTTGATCCTGGGGGAGGGTCATGTGGCGTGAGGGTGATTAGGTTTGGGGGCTGGTTCCTGAATTCTTGGGTATGGCAAAGAGGTACCTGGGTACCAAATGCCTATCTCAGATGGCCTGAGCTTGCTGGCAAGTGCTAGTGCCTGAGTTGTTTGAAGCCTGGGGCCCGCGGGTAAACAGCCTGGGGTCTGTGGACAGGGAGCCTGGATTTTGGGGCCAGGAGGAGACCCAAGTCTCTGCTCTTATCACTCAAAGGACCTGAGCTGGCACGCTATTTCACACCTGTAATCCCAGCACTTTGGGAGGCCAAAGCAAGAGGATCACTTGAGCTCAGGAGTTCAAGAAGCTGCCTGGGCAACATGGCAAGACGTCTCTACTAAAAATAAAAAATAAAGGCCAGGCACAGTGGCTCACGCCTGTAATCCCAGCACTTTGGGAGGCTGAGGCGGGTGGATCACGAGGTCAGGAGATCGAGACCATCCTGGCTAACATGGTGAAACCCCATCTCTACTAAAAATACAAAAAATTAGCTGGGCATGGTGGCGGGCGCCTGTAGTCCCAGCTACTCGGGAGGCTGAGGCAGGAGAATGGTGTGAACCCAGGAGGCGGAGCTTGCAGTGAGCTGAGATGGCGCCACTGCACTCCAGCCTGGGCAACAGAGTGAGACTCCATGTCAAAAAAAAAAAAAAAAAAAAACCTTAAATTAAGGTTCCTGCCCAGGCACGGTGGCTCACACCTGTAATCCCAGCACTTTGGGAGGCCATGGCGGGCAGATCACCTAAGGCCAGGCCAGGAGTTCAAGACCAGCCTGGTCAACATGGTAAAACCCCGTCTCTACTAAAAATACAAAAATAAGCTGGGCATGGTAGCATGTGCCTGTAATCCCTGTAATCCCAGCTACTCGGGAGGCTGAGGCAGGAGAATCACCTGAACCTGGGAGGTGGAGGTTGCAGTGAGCCAAGATCACGCCACTGAACTCCAACCTGGCAACAGAGTGAGACTGTCTCAAAAAAAAAAAAAAAAAAAAAAAAGGTACCAAGTAGCTGAAAAGCCTGTGACCTGGGGGCGAGAGGCAGGCCCTGAACACTGGGTCCTGAATGACGTCAGTCCATCTGAGGAGGGGTCTGGTCTCAGGTGGCTGGGCTTATAGGCAGGGGAGCAGAAACTTGGATGTCAGGGCTGTGGGCAGATGAGCCCTTCTTCCCATGAGGCTGAGGAGGGCTGTCTCTGAACCCTGCTGCCCATTGCTGGGAGCCTGGGGTGCCAGAGTTTCACAGAGGGCCTGAGCTCTGCATTCCCCGGTCCTGGGTAGGGTAGGGGTCTGCAATACACTCTGCAGGTGGGGAGCCCGGGGGCCCGACAACTGGATCCTGGCAGCTCTGGGTCTGTGGGTGACAGGTCTGCATCCCAAGTGACCTGGGGCCTCCAGGTGGGGGTCCTGGGTCCTACATATCCAATTCTCAATCATCTGGGCCCTGAGTGGAGGTCCCTGGTCCCGATGTGTGGGCTCCTGAAGCCTAGGCATGATTTCCCAAGGAGCTCAGTCTCAAATCAGGGAAGCTGAGCCCAGGGCCAGGTGCTCTCGCCTAGCCCAGGAGCTGAGTCCTTCCCTGGTGACGACCCTCACCCTCGTAGTTTTCAGCCTCCAGCTGCAGCTTCCAGTCCTCCTCACTCTCCTCTTCTTCCTTCTCCAAGTCGGAATCGGGGTACAAGGCGACAGGGGTATGGTTGGTGTCGGGAGTACGGTCAGGGCCCTGAGCGAGGTAGGTGTCGGGGGCTTCCCTGGGGCGCCGGGGGCGGGGCTGAAGCAGGGCACGGGCACAGGCGTGTGCCCCCACACGGCAGGCCAGGTGCAGCGCCGTGTGGCCCCTACGCTCCGCCACACACAGCCCGGCGCCTGCTGCGTACAGCTTCTCCACCGTGGATGTCTCCCCCAGGATGGCTGCCAGGTGCAGGGCTGTCTGCAGAAGCAGAGGACAGGCGGTAGGGAGTCACACTGGGAACCCTGGACCCCAAGCCCTACACCATCCCTCGTGGCTCACCTGGCCTAGGTCATTCTGCAGGTCCATGTACTCAGTGCCGGCCGAGAAGCCTAGAAGAAAATCCAGGAAGGGTTCATGCTGATGAATCACAGCCAAGTGCAGTGCCCTGGGGACAAAGACCGGGGTGAGAGGGCAAAGTTCAAGTCCTCTTGCATTCCTTCATTGAACAAACATGGGGCGCCTACTGTATGCTAGGCCTTGTGACCACAGTTCTGGAACCCCCTGTCAGCTATCTGGGAGGTCAGAGGTCAGAGTTTCATCAGCAAATTCGTGGAATCAATGTTTATTCAGTGGGATTTCCACTTCTGCCCAAAATGAAGTAACATGGACCAGAATTCACTCCCACGTGAAACAAACAAACAAACAAACAAGAGTCAGACGAAATACGGTATATGAAGCAACAGTGTTGAAGACACTGGACATCGTGCAATGAATCACAGTGACCCCTGAAAGACAGGAAACACGAGGTGGGCCCCACACTTGACTGCCACAGCTTATTGTCTTGAGAGAGTTTCAAAGCCACGGTGCAGAGAGGGGAATCCAAGCAGAGCGCATCAGGTTGTCTGAGGTCAGGAGATGGATATGGAGGAAGAGTCTGTGGAGGCCAGCGTGGCTAGAGTCACAGGACAGAGTACAAAACAGAGTTGCCAAAGGAGAGATTGCTGGGGAACTGCAGGAGGTTCTCTTGTGTATTCCGGAGAATACGGATCAGCCATGCCTGTGAGTCTGTGGGGATGGGAAAACCATCCAAAAGGATTTCAGAAAAGTGCTCGTTACTCACACAGGGCCAGGAATAGTGAGTGTTCCCACCAGCCAGGCTGGAAAAACATCATCACAGGCTATCGGGTGGGATACTCAGGAAGGTCTTGCCTCAATAGTGGGGAATAATTAACTGTAGATGGGGCACTGCTCAACACCCACCTAACAAATCATAAAAGCAAAACTGGAAAGACTCAAACTACTTCCGAGTAATTTAACTCCATCCCAGAATAATATTCAAGAATATTTATTTATTTATTTATTTATTTATTTATTTTAATTTTTATTTTTTGAGAGAGAGTCTTGCCCTGTCGCCCAGGCTGGAGCGCAGTGACACGATCGTGGCTCACTGCAACCTCCACCTCCTGGGTTCAAGCGATTCTTCTGCCTCAGCCTCCCGAGTAGCCGGAACCACAGGTGCGTGCCACCACACCTGGCTAATTTTTGCAGTTTTTAGTACAGACAGGGTTTCACCATGTTGGCCAGGCTGATCTTGAACTCCTGACCTCGTGATCCACCCGCCTTGGCCTCCCAAAGTGCTGGGATTACAGGTGTGAGCCACGGCGCCCGGCCTCAAGAATATTTATAGGAATACAGAATTCTCCAGACTAACAAGGCAAAATTCACAATGTCTGGCACCTAACCAAAGATTATCAGGCATGTAAAGAAGCAGGAAAACATGATCCATAATAGGAACCATCAGTGAATTGAAACTGACCCAGAAATGACAGAGATGTTAGAATTTGCAAACAAGAATATTAAAACAGTTCATTATGCTGGGCACGGTGGCCCACACCTGTAATCCTGGCACTTTGGGAGGCCAAGGCGGGCAGATCACTTGAGGTCAGGAGTTTGAGACCAACCTGGCCAACACGATGAGACCCTGTCTCTACAAAAAATACAAAAAAAATTTAGCCAGGCATGGTGGCATGCGCCTGTAATCCCACCTACACAGGAGGCTGAGGCAGGACAATCATTTGAACCTGAGAAATGGAGGTTGCAGTGAGCTGAGATCGTGCCACTGCACTCCAGCCTGGGCAACAGAGTGAGACTCCGTCTCAAATAATAATAATAAAATAAAATAAATTTCTTTTACTCTATGTGAAATGGCATAATATCACTTTAAGGTAGCCCATGATAACCTAAAGTTGTAAACTATCAACCCTACAGCAGGAGTCAGCAAACTTTTTCTGTAAGGAGCCAGATAACTATTTTAGTCTTTGTAGGTCATATGGTTTCTCTTTTTGGTTTTGTTTTTCTTTTTCTTTTTTTGTTTGTTTGTTTTGTTTTTTTGAGATGGAGTCTCGTTCTGCTGCCCAGGCTGGAGTGCAGTGGCGTGATCTCAGCTCACTGCAACCTCCGCCTCCCGGGTTCAAGCGATTCTCCTGCCTCTCAAGTAGCTGGGATTACAGGCGCTCGCCACCACTGCCAGCTAACTTTTTGTATTTTTAGTAGAGACAAGGTTTCACCATGTTAGCCAGGATGGTCTCGATCTCCTGACCTTGTGATCTGTCCGCCTTGGCTCCCAAAGTGCTGGGATTACAGGCATGAGCCACTGAGCCCAGCAGCCATACAGTTTCTTTTGACTACTCGACTCTGCTGTGTCAGTGCAAAAGCAGCCACTGACAATATGTAAATGAGTGAGCTTGCTTGCGTTCCAAAAGAACTTTATTTATGGAGCTTGAAATATGAATTTCATACACTTTCACTTGCCATATAATATTATTATTCTTTTGATTTTTAGAAACTGTTTAAAAATGTAAAGACCATTCTTAGCTCACAACCATACAAAAGCCATATAATATTATTATTCTTTTGATTTTTAGAAACTGTTTAAAAATGTAAAGACCATTCTTAGCTCACAACCATACAAAAGCAGATGGCTGGCTAGATTTTGCCTGGAGGCCATAGTTTGCCAACCCCCACCTTAAAGCAACCACTAACATAACAAAAAGAGGAATATCTAATAAGCAAACAAAAGAAATAAAATGAGGCCGGGCGCGGTGGCTCACGCCTGTAATCCCAGCACTTTGGGAAGCCGAGGCGGGCGGATCACAAGGTCAGGAGATCAAGACCACGGTGAAACCCCGTCTCTACTAAAAATACAAAAAAAATTAGCCAGGCGAAGTGGCAGGTGCCTGTAGTCCCAGCTACTCGGGAGGCTGAGGCAGGAGAATGGCATGAACCTGGGAGGCGGAGCTTGCAGTGAGCCGAGATTGCACCACTGCACTCCAGCCTGGGTGACAGAGCGAGACTCCATCTCAAAAAAAAAAAAAGAAATAAAATGAAAAACACTATACAGAAGGAGCAGGATTGAAAAAAAAGTAACAAAAACTATACCCAATAAAAGGCAAAAAGGAGGGAGGAAAAAGAAAACATAGGTAAGTAGAATATATATAATAGACATGGGATAAATTTACACAATCATATCAATATCAAATTAAATGTAAATGGTCTAAACACTAATTAAAAGGCAGAGACTGTCTGGGCACAGTGGTTCATCCCTGTAACCCAGCACTTTGGGAGGCCAAGGTGGGAAGAATGCTTGAGCTCAAGAGTTTGAGACCACAGCTGCACACAGTGGCTCACACCTGTAATCCCAGCACTCTGAGAGGCCACAGCGGGTGGATCACCTGAGGTCAGGAGTTTGAGACCAGCCTGGCCAACATGGTGAAACTGCTGTTGCTACTAAAAATACAAAAATTAGCCAGGTGTGGGGGCACGTGCCTGTAATCCCAAATTTGGGAGGCTGAGGCAGTAGAACTGCTTAAACCCAGGAGTCAGAGGTTTCAGCGAGCAGAGATAGTGCCACTATACTCCAGCCTGGGTGACAGAACAAGACTCTGTCTCAAAAAAAAAAAAAGAGTTTGAGAACATAGGGGGACAAAAAAATTTAAAAATTTGCCAGGCATGGTGGCATGTGCCTGTGGTCCCAGCTACTCAGGAGGCTGAGGTGCAAGGATCACTTGAGCCAGGAGGTTGTGGCTATAGTAAGCCATGATCATGCCACTGCACTCCAGCCTGGGCGACAGAGTGAGACTTCGTTTCAAAAAAAAAAGTCAGAACAGAGACCAATTGAATAGAAAGTAAAAAAAAATTAATGAAACCAAAATTAATTAATGAAATTTAATGAAAATTAACGAGACTATAAAGCTGGTTGAGATCAATATTCAGTGCCTCCTGGATCAGGCCCTGCTTGCATCACTGGGCATACAGCAGTAAACACAACAGACAAAAAACCCAGTACAATCCCTCATCTGGGCCTTTGCAACTGCAGTTCCTTCTCCTTGAAATGCTCTTATCTTGTTTATCTATTGCCTCATTTTCCTGCTTTATTTTTCTCCAAAGTACTTAACTACCTCTGACTTTATTTCCTTTTCTTACTTTCTATGTTTCTTTCTTTCTGCGTGTCTTTCTTTGTTTCTTCCTGTCTTTCCATTTCTTTCCTTCCTTGTGGTCTTATCAATCTGTTTATTTAGCTCCACTAAAATGTATGCTCCACAAGGGCTTAAGTTTTTGTTTGTTTTCTTCACTGCCTTTATCACTAGCACCTAAACGGAGCCTGGAACGTGGTAATGTGTAAAGAATATTTGTTTAACAGATGAATCCTTGGTCTCATGGAGCTAACATTCTTTTTTTTAATTTTCCTATTTTTTTACTTTAATTAGGAATTCAACATAGAAGAGCTTACATTCTCTCTCTTTGAATTTAAGATTTGAAGAACACTGCTCAGAAGACAGGATCTTAGAGTCAGGGACCAAGTATTAATTTCGGAAATCAAACTCTAGGGCTCAAATCGGGAACTAAGAATCAAAGATCATATTTGGAGGTTAGAAGTCAGGAGAAGCCACAGTTCTAACAGAAGTCTCAGGACTGGAGTCAGGTTTGGGTATCAGTGGATACAATGTGGATTCCAGGAGCTGAGAATCATAGTTCAAGAAAAGAAGGTAAGAAATGATTGGGTTAGGATCATAGCTAGATAGAAGATTGGTTTTGTTAAAAGTTAGGACTCGGGGGTTAGAGGTCAGGAAGTTCAGCATCGGAAGTCAGATTTAGGAGTATGAGGTTAGGAAGCCTCAGGGATCAGAGATTAATGAGGAATGTGACGCCGGGTCCTAGGGCTCCGTTTGGCAGCCTAAGGTTCACTCACGTGTCCCCATCCTCAGTGACGTAGCCGAAGACGAGGGGAGCCCACGACAGCCCCGGGCCCAACTCCGCGCCCAACCCAGGTCCTCCGGGGGCCGCTGCGTCCGGACCCAGGGAGCCCAGGCCGCTGTCGCACCATTCATCTGCGTCGGCAGCTTTTCCCAAGCACGCGACCCCAGCCATGGCCCCCGCCGCCTCAGGGGCCCCCCGCAGTCGCCCGCCTGTAGCTGGGCTTTGCCGGGAGTTCTGGAGCTTCCGCCCTGCGGGAAATTCCCCACCACGCCCCCTGATTCACCCAATGATAATATGCTGAATCGCTCACACCCCGCCCTCGTACTGCATCCTGACCAATCAGAGTATTCGGGAGGACTACAACTCTCTAGCCGTTCCCACATTTTCCGGGCGCCCTTTACCAACATGGCTGCTGACGCCACGCCTTCTGGGACTCGTAGTCCGGTCCTCGCGCGCTTTCTTACCTAACTGGGGCGCTCTGGGTGTTGTACGAAAGCGCGTCTGCGGCCGCAATGTCTGCTGAGAGTTGTAGTTCTGTGCCCTATCACGGCCACTCCCATTTCTGGTGCCGTCACGGGACAGAGCAGTCGGTGACAGGACAGAGCAGTCGGTGACGGGACACAGTGGTTGGTGACGGGACAGAGCGGTCGGTGACAGCCTCAAGGGCTTCAGCACCGCGCCCATGGCAGAGCCAGACCGTGAGTCGGGGATCCGGGTAGGAGGGTCGGGCCGCGCCGGGGCCTGGCTGAATGCTGCAGGCCCCGGGGCCCAAGGGTGGCCGCGGTGGGGCGGGAAGTAGGGAGCGCTTCGGGGAGTGGGATTCTGAGGGCTGTTGCTTAGCGATCTGTATCGCTAGGCTGGTGGGTTTCTGGGTCGCAGTGTGTTCAGGGTTCGTTTACCACATCCACTTGCCAAGTTGCCAATGATCGCGTGTTTCTCGCACCTTGGTTGCTAAGGTCCCTCGCTGCAAAGAACATAAGTTGCCCCGGTCCCGCTTGCTATGGGTACCTGATTGTTAGAGGCAACCAGAGGATGCTGAGGGACCCCTGCTGACCCCTCCTATGGCTTCCCCTTGTTCCGCGCCTCTCCTAAACCTACCGCCTCCACTGCACCACTGCACCTCCCTCCTAAACCTGCCTCCCAGCCAAAGCGTCTCTTCCCTTCTCTTTTCCTTTCTAAACTTCCCTCTGCCTTGTAAATCTAACCCTCCCCGCACACACACTCACACACTGTCGTGTCCTTCCTAACTCCTCCTGAGTGTTCCTTCATGCCCTGAATCCCCTAGGTAGGAGGAGGAGGATCGCTTGAGCCCAGGAATTTGAGGCTGCAGTGAGCTATGATCGCACTATTGCACTCCAACCTGGGTGACATGAGCGAGACCCTTTCTCTAAAAAGTAAAAAAGAAAGAAAGTAAGTCAGGGCCAGAAACAATGGCTCATGCTTGTAATCCCAGTACTTTGGGAGGCCAAGGTGGTTGGATCGCTTGAGCCCAGGAGTTCAAGACCAGCCTGGGCAAAAGCCCCTACTTTCTCCCTGTCCCCCTAAATCTTCCTCTCCAGCCTCTCTGCCCCTCACTAATCACCTCTCCCGGCATCACTTTGCATGTAGATAAGATCTTTTCTCCGTCCCCTCCCTCCCTCTGCTCCATTTTTACCACCATCCCATCCCAGTGTAACTAGGTTGGTGGGTGTTCTTGCCCCCTCACTGACCATTTGAACCCCTTTATTCCCCCCTTAATCGTTCTCCCCACTGTAACCACCTCTGCTCCCCTCCCCCAGCCTCTCACCCTCTGGAGACCCAGGCAGGGAAGGTGCAGGAGGCTCAGGTGAGATGGGGGAAAGGGTGGAGGGGAGGAGAGAGACGGACTTGTTCCACATCCCACACTGGGGGGAGGTGGCAAAGGGGAAACAGTCACCCCAGGGCCCTCGGCTCATTGCCCCAATCCCTCACACCACCCAGTGCAGCTTTCTGGGGAAAGGCAGATTCTGGGGATTGTCAGAGAAGAGTTTCCAGCCTCAAGTCCAGGCCTGTCCTCCCAAACTTTCCTTCTTCCTTGCCACTGCCTGCCATCCCTTCTGAACCACATTTGTCCTGGGACTGGAAGAGACAGGTATCCCATTTGGTCTTGGAACGCACAGATCTCGTGGACAAGTGATGGGAAAAAATGATCTCACAGCGTGATGACGAAAGTAACTCAGGGGGCCAGATGCAGTGGCTTATGCCTGTAATTCCAATAACTCAGGAGACTGAGGCGCGAGGATCGCTTGAGCCCAGGAGTTTGAGGCTGCAGTGAGCTATGATTGCATCACTGCACTCCAGCCGGGGTGAAAGAGCAAGACCCTTTCTCTAAAAAGTAAAAAAGAAAGAAAGTAACTCAGGGCCAGACACAGTGGCTCATGCTTGTAATCCCAGTACTTTGGGAGGCTGAGGTAGGAGGATCGCTTGAGCCCAGGAGTTCCAGACCAGTCTTGGCAACATAGGGAGGCCCCCACCTCTACAAAATATTTAAAAATTAGCCATGTGTAGTGGTGCATGCCTGCATTGCCAGCTACTCAGGAGGCTGAGTTGGGGGAGGATTGCTTAAGCCCAGGAGGTTAAGGCCGTAGTGTGCCTTGACTGTGCCACTGCACCCCAACCGGGGCGACAGAGCAAAACACGGTCTCAAAAAAAAAAAAAGGAAGAAAAGTAAAGAAACTCAGGGTACTGTGGGAGCACAGAGAAAATTTTCTGGGTCAAAGAAGATTCTAGCCAGGCCATTCCCTGGAGGAATCCACAGGCTGGTCTAGCTGTCAGACCAAGATACAGACACAGCATAAGTGAAGAGTGACTTAGAATTTTCTTAGACAAGGTGAGAAATGGTGATCCACACAACAGGTATCGCTTGTGCAAAGACCTGGGGGGCATGAAGGGGTGTGATGTGTTCCATAATTGGGTGGCTGGTGGTGGTCAGCTTGTTATAGTCGTGGTTAGCATTTACTGACGGCTTACTAAAGCTGGGCCCACTGTTTAGTGCCAAACGTGCCTCATCTCAATTTCATCTTCCTGGCATCCCTGTGAAGAGAAACGCCTATCACGGCCATTTTACAGATGCAGAATCTGAGGCAGAGTTGTTAAGTCACTTATCCCCCGTCCCTCGGCTACAGGAGCAGGGAAGGGTTTGAGTCCCCCAGCACTGGGCACGCCACCTGTCAGAGGCTGCCAGGAGAGGTGGACAGGCAGTCTCATAGGAGCTTGAAGGCCCCCGTCAGCACCTCCGGCTCTCCCTTAGGCCAAGCTGCAGACACATGCTGGGCACAGGCCTTCCACACAGCCTCACTGTGTACAGCCTGAAAGAGTGCCAGCCCACCCACACCCCTGAGATTGCCTTTCAGACGTGGGGTGGTGCAGAAGCGGGCATCAGAATACCTCACAAATGCACAGTGGAGCTTTGCTAAGGATATAAGAGCCTCCTGTTAGGCTGTGGCAACTCACTCGCCTGGCTCCCAAAGCACGACCACTGTCAGAGAAAAAGGTTGAATGTTAAAAAGGATCCTCAGTCCCAAAGAGAGAGAGGCGAGGATGTAAAATGCAGCATTGTCCGTCACAGGGCAAAACTGGAAACAGTCCAAATGGCTGTCAGTGGATGGGTTAAATGAACTATGGTTCATCCATACAATCCAATACTATGTAGCTGCTCTGAAAAACGAGGTGAGGCCGGGCACGGTGGCTCACACCTGTAATCCCAGCACTTTGGGAGGCAGGGGGATCACTTGAGCCCAGGAGTTTTGAGACCAGCCTGGGCAACATAGCAAGATGCCGTCTCTTTTTTAAAAAATTATTTTTTAAATTAGGTGGGTCTGTAGCATATTGTTCTGCCGAAAACTCAAGATGTTGTATTGTACTATGACCTATTTCTGTAAAAAATATTAGTTTTATGCAGAGAAAACTGGAGTAATTTCCATTAAGCTTAGCTAACAGTGGTTATCTTTATAAGGGTGGGCTTGGGCAATTACAAGGTGAGTGCCGCAAGTTATATGTTGTTGAAGTATACATGAGTATAATCAAGGTTTTTGCAGAGGTTGTCCAATCTCTCTTTCTCTCTGTCTCTCTCTCTCTCTCATTCTCACTCTCTCTTTCTCTCTCTCTTTTTTTTTGAGACGGAGTCTCGCTCTGTCACCCAGGCTGGAGTGCAGTGGGGTGATCTCGCTGACTGCAACCTCCACCTCCCAGGTTCAAGCGATTCTCCTGCCTCAGCCTCCTGAATAGCTGGGACTACAGACACGTGCCACCATGCCTGGCTAATTTTTTGTATTTTTATTAGACACGGGGTTTCATCATGTTGGCCAGGATGGTCTCGATCTCCTGACCTCGTGATCCACCCACCTCAGCCTCCCAAAGTGTTGGGATTACAGGCGTGAGCCACCGTGCTCAGCCTTTCTCTCTCTTTTTAAATAGAGACAGAGTCTCACTGTGTTGCCCAGGCTGGTCTTGAACTCCTGGCATCAAGCAACCTTCCTGCCTCAGCCTCCCAAAGTGGTGGGATTACAGGCATGAGCCACCACGCCCAGCCGGAGTTGCACAGTCTTAAAAAGCAATTTTTTAAATTGTCGTATGTTCGGAAGGGAGGGTCTTATTCAAAAAGACTTGGACGCAGAGCAGTGAGTATCCGGGGAAGGGAGTTGTCTGAGGTGGTGGCTTGGTCAGAACTGCATTTTGGTGAAATCCATTGCAGGGCCCAGCCGTGGTCCAGCCTGAAGCAGGCATTCATTCCAAGGTAGAGGAGCTCCTGGAGCTCCTGCCAGGAGCCAGACCCTGTTCTCAGTGCTGGGCACCCAGACAAAGTCCCTGCCCTTGTGGACATCCTGGCAATTCCATAGATGTCTGGGAAGACTGCAGAAGCCAGAGAGAAGGGCCTTTGAAGTGGAGAGGGGCGAGCTGACCCAGACAGCCTCACATGCAGGGCAGCAGGGTGGATGGGAGGTGGAGACTGAGGCTGGGAGGCTGGGGGAGGAGGCTGGGGCAGGACCCCCGGAGGAGAGGACAGGCTGGACCAGGTGGAGCGCCGGGGAGGGAAAGGGGGTTGGTGGACAGACCCTTAGGAGGCTCAGCGTACATGCTCTGGAGCTGAAGGGCTGTGGCAGGAGGGCGAGGAGGGAGGCGGGGGCAGGAAACATCTGGCTGATGGGGGGGACAGTACGATCGCATTGAGATGAGGCCTGGGAGGAGGATGGGCTTGGAGGAGATGCCAGGGTCCATTTGGGACATAGTAGGAGTGAGAGGCTGGGGGGCACCTAGGGCAAGGTGTCCAGGAAGCCAGGGAACCCCGGATCTGAGGGCAGAGAGATGGTATCATGAGTGACGAGGCAGAGGTCATTGGCATGGATGAGACAGGTAACCCCAGGAAAGTGGAAAGAGAAAGCAGAGAGGCCCTGGACAGAGTCCCAGAGACCTGCCAGTCTGGAGCTGGGCTGAGGGGAGGCTTCGAGGAAGGAGACAGAGGTTGCTGGAGAGGTGGGCAGAGTGTCTGAGGCCTCGAGCAGGGGGCACATAGGTCCTTGAAGTGAGGGCCAAGGCTTTGCATTGGAATCATTCCCAGAGTGACTTGGGACATTATTCAGAGGCCCCCAGGGCTGCTGGGAAGGGACAGCAGGCCCACGCTCCAGGGGACCCGGGAACGAAGGGAAGACCCCAGGCTGTGATAATAACAGCAACAGCCAGCGCTTACCAAGCACTTCCCCCGCCCCTGGTGCTGCGCCCAGCACCCAAGCTCCCTTTCCAAGGTGAGGGACACCAAGACTTAGAAAATCAAAGTCACGACCAGGCACAGTGGCTCACGCCTGTAATCCCAGCACTTTGGGAGGCCGAGGCAGGAGACTTGCTTGAGCCCAGGAGTTCAAGACCACCCTGGGCAACAGAGGAAGACCTCGTCTCTACAAAGCAAACAAACAAACAAACAAAAAATGAGCCTGGCATGGTGGCACGTGCCTGTGGTCCCAGCTACTTGGGAGGCTGAGGTGGGAGGATCCCTTGAGCTTGGGAGGTTGAGGCTGCAGCAAGCTGTGACTGCACCAGTGCACTCCAGCCTGGGCAACAGAGCGAGACACTGTCTCAAAAAAGAAAAGCAAAGCAAAGCCACTCACATGAGGTCTTGCTCCTGGGGACGGGCATGGCCAGGACTCCAACCCCGGCAGCCTGTCCCAGAGCCCTGGAGCTAGCCCCAGTGCAGTCTCTCCACCACCCCGCACTTCCTCAGGCCACCTTCCTGCCACAGCCTTTTCCCCAAACCTGGTATCACCCCCTCTCCTCCCTCCCTAATCCCACCTCTCGGGCCTGGCCACTCCACCCCACCCCTTCCAGGACTCAGATTCAGACTCTGAGGGAGGAGCCGCTGGTGGAGAAGCAGACAGTGAGTATCTTCCTGGAGGGACAGGGAGCAGGGTTCTGGGGGGCGGGGGGATTTCAGGGCAGGGGTGTGGGTGATACCTCCTCAACTCCATCAGGAGTGACATCCAAAGTATGTAGCAGTGGGTTGGGTACCAGTGCCAGAGCAGGCTCCTGGAGGCCGCTGGCTGGGCCGGGCCTTGTGCCTTTAGATGTGGGGAGGCCGGGAACCCCAGGGCTGGGGCCAGGGTGCCGGAGACATCCATGCCCCTGGCTGAATGCCCGTCCTGCCGCTGTCTCTCTTCTTTCCGGTCAGTGGACTTCCTGCGGAACTTATTCTCCCAGACGCTCAGCCTGGGCAGCCAGAAGGAGCGTCTGCTGGACGAGCTGACCTTGGAAGGGGTGGCCCGGTACATGCAGAGCGAACGCTGTGAGTCCCCTGTCAGGATTGGGCCACTTTGCCTGGCTCCTGGCCCCAAGTGACCTCCCATCCCCAGCCACTTGAACCATTTATTGAAACCTTTTCTTTATAAGTAGCAAGAAACCCAGCTGGAACTGGCTTAAGCCAAAAAGGAGTGTGTTGGCTCTAATCCAGCTTGAAGCACGGCTGGGTCCAGGTGCTTCCACTTTGTTAAAAATCATAACTCTCTCTGATGCTGCTTTTCTTGTTTTGGGGTAAAGGTAACTCCTGGCAGCTGCAAATGCAGGTTCCACTAGCCTAGGAGCTGCCACCGAGAGAGCACCTTTTCCCAGTAGTTCAAACCAAACAGCAGAGATTGGCTCCCATTGGTCCCGGTTGAGTCAAATGCCTGCCCCCATGCCTCTGATTGGCCAGACCTGGGTCGCTTCTCCATTGCTGAGTGAATTACTGCACTCTGATTGACCAGGCCTGTTTCATAAAATGAGGATAATGATTATAGTATCTAACTCATAAGGTTATTGGCGGGGCTAAATAAATTAATATAGGACCAGGGGCAGTGGCTCATGTATGTAATCTCAGCACTTTGGGAGGCCATCGTGGGAGGATCACTCAACGCCAGGCGTTCAAGACCAGCCTGGGCAACATAGTGAGACCCCCCCGCCATCTCTACAAGAAAAAAAAAAATAGTCAGATATGGGGGCGTTGCCTGTAGTCTCAGTTACTCAGGAGGCTGAGAAGGGAGGATTGTTTGAGCCCAGGAATTGGAGGCTGCAGTGAGCTATGATGGCACCACTGCACTGCAGCCTGGGCAACACAGTGAGACTCTGACTCTAAAAAAAAATAAAGTAATAAAATTTAAAAGATAAATAAAAATGCAAATGCTTAGAGCAGGGCCTGGAACATAGCGAGAGCTGTGGCAGGGTGTGCCGTGGTTATTACTACAGGAGGCTTATTTCAGATGTGGTGGATAGGTGTCCACTTACTGAGTCAGCATGAAATTTATATTTCTTTTTCTTTTTTTTTTTTTGAGATGGAGTCTTGCTCTGTTGCCCAGGCTGGAGTGCAGTGGCACAATCTCAGCTCACTGCAACCTCCACCTCCCGGGTTCCAGCAATTCTCCTGCCTCAGCCTCCCGAGTGGCTGGGATTACAGACGCACACCACCACGACTGGCTAATTTTTTGTATTTTAGTAGAGACAGGGTTTCACCATGTTGCCCAGGCTGGTCTTGAACACCTGAGCTCAGGCAATCCACCCTCCTCGGCCTCCCAAAGTGCTAGGATTAGAGGCATGAACCACCCGTCCCGGCCTGAAATTTATATTTCTTGCCACAAGTTGAGGTCACCAAAGTCTGAGAAACCAGGCCCTTGGCAGTCCTCAACTAGAACAATCGACCCTTTGTGGTTCCTGAGCAGCCTTTTGTTGAGGACATCTTCTCCTGTGTCCCTGTCCTCCAGCTGCCACTGTCTCCCTCCTCAGGCAGCCAGGCCTGCTGCCCTGAGCCTCCCTCTCCTGCGGCAGGCGAGCAGCTGTCTGCAGCCATCTTTTAGCCTGGGCAGGCCCCAAAGACAACACAGGCAGTGGCTACAAAGCATTTGTTCCTTGTGTCCTCCTGCACCTGGATTCTGGGGTAATTGGCTCATGAGGGTGCCCAGGAGGAGATAGTAATGAAAAATAACAATTAGTTGAGGCCGGGAGTGGTGGTTCAGGCCTATAATCCCACCATTTTGGGAGGCTGAAAGCAGGAGGATCGCTTGAGGCCAGTAGGTCAAGACTAGCCTGGGCAATAAGCGAGACCCCCTCTCTGCAAAAATTTAAAGGTGAGGCTCCAACCCTCACCTCACTGCTCTAAAAATTTATTATTATTATTATTTTGAGACAGAGTCTCACTCTGTTACCCAGGCTGGAGTGCAGTGGCGCTATCATGGCTCACTGCAACCTCTGCCTCCCGGGTTCAAGCGATTCTCCTGCTTCAGCCTCCCGAGTAGCTGGGATTACAGGCGCGTGCCACCACGCCCGGCTAATTTTTGTACTTTTAGTAGAGACGGGGTTTCACCATGTTAGCCAGGCTGGTCTTGAACTCCTGACCTCAGGTGATCTGCCCCCCTCGGCCTCCCAAAGTGCTGGGATTACAGGAGTGAGCCACCGGGCCCGGCCCTAAAAATTTCTTTTTAACCACTTAATTGAGGCTTCACTATTTGCCAGGCACTGGGCTCAGCACTTTACAAGTGCCCTATTATTTGATATTCACATTATACCTGTAAGATCATTATGGAAGTGATCTGAACAGAGGAGGAAAAGGAGGCACAAAAAGGTCACGACTCAGTGTAGGGTCAAACAGTTGCCAAGTGGCAGAGCCAGGATTTGACCCCAGGTCCCCTGAATCCAGACCACATGTAGCCACCACTGGATTCAACCAGGCCTGGCCTGATGGCATCTCAGAGCTGAAGCTCAGGGCTGAAGCTGTGGCAGGCTTTGTGCTCTGTTCACCTTTGCTGTCCTCCCTTGGACAGGGCATCCCAGAGGCATCTGATCCACAGCATATCACACTTGTGCCTGTCTATCAGCTGATGGGCAGATGCCAGGGTACTATGGCCTGGTGGCTACTCACCAGCCACCAGCTAGCTATTTCTGCTCAGCCCAGGGTTCTTATCCTAAAGTGGCCTTTTCTCAAGTCCAAGTTGGTGTGATTTCCAACAGTGGATTCTCTTTTTTTTTTTTTTTTCCTTTTTTTGAGATGGAGTCTCGCTCTGTCACCCAGGCTAGAGTGCAATGGCATGATCTCGGCTCACTGCAACCTCCGCCTCCCGGGTTCAAGTGATTCTCCTGCCTCAGCCTCCCAAGTAGCTGAGATTACAGGCACGTGCCACCACGCCTGGCTAATTTTGTATTTTCAGTAGAGATGAGGTTTTGCCATGTTGGCCAGGCTGGGCTCAAACTCTTGACCTCAGATGACCCGCCTGCCTCAGCCTCCCAAAGTTCTGGGATTACAGGCATGAGCCACTGCACCCAGCCCAACACTGGATTCTTTATCCGCTGGCTGGCTCTTCCGCAGTTGATTGTGTGACTTCTTCCCCTATCTGAGCCCCAGTTTTCTCATTTATAAAATGGGGATGTTAACACCATCCCCGTCTAGATGATTGGAAGGCCCGTCATGCATCTGAGATGCTTGCCCCAGGGCCTGGCATGGAGTAAACGATGTCAGGGGCTGTGATGGGTGGTGCTATCGTAGGGACTGAGCAAACGGTGTCATATGGTGCATAAGTTCCTCTCCTCCAGGTCGCAGAGTCATCTGTTTGGTGGGAGCTGGAATCTCCACATGTAAGTAACCCTTCTCCCCCAGCAGCTACCCCCAGGAACTGGGGAGTCCCTCCCAAGGGCTGGGGAGGAGCCCTATCTGAGCCCTGTCCTGGGAGGGTTAGTATGGTATAGACCAACTGCTCCCTGACCCCCCTTTCCTAGCCGCAGGCATCCCCGACTTTCGCTCTCCATCCACCGGCCTCTATGACAACCTAGAGAA
Source organism: Homo sapiens (assembly GCF_000001405.40). Lineage (NCBI taxonomy): Eukaryota > Metazoa > Chordata > Mammalia > Primates > Hominidae > Homo > Homo sapiens. The sequence continues at coordinate 38,889,903 of NC_000019.10, read as the reverse complement.
GTACCATCTTCCCTACCCAGAGGCCATCTTTGAGATCAGCTATTTCAAGGTTTGTGCTCCCCCAGGAAGGGGCGTCTGTGAGGGGTGGGGATGGGGTCACCTGGCTCCAACCCTCACGCTACCTGGGGCATCTGGCCCTCTGGCTGTCTCTCCTACAGAAACATCCGGAACCCTTCTTCGCCCTCGCCAAGGAACTCTATCCTGGGCAGTTCAAGGTGAGATCTTTGTTTTGCAGGGGGCGAAACAGGAAGGGTTGGGGGAGGGCACGCATGAGAAGCCCCGCCAAGGCCCTGCAGACAAATATTATGTAGCCATTAAGTACATGGGTGCTGGGCCCAGACTGCCTCGGTTCAAGTCCTGGTTCCTCGTGTCTTCATCTTACGACCTTGAGCCTCCGATTTGCCTCCTGTGAAGTGAAGCTAATGGTACTGTCTGAAGAGGGCTGCTGCGAGGCTTAGCTGACTAATGATGCCGTTGAGAGCCCGGGACCCTGCAGCCGGGCTGCCTGGGTGTGAATCTCAGCTCTGCAGCTTACCCACCGTGTGACTTTGGCAACACAATCCCCTTCCCTGTCCTTCAGTTTCCTCATCTGTGATCTGGGGATAGCAGTGGTCTCTCCCCGACGCGGCTGCTGTGACGGTTCCCTGGGGGTAAAACAGTCACAGTGCCTAGAACAGTTCCTGGCATGCGGCAGTGGCCTGTGGCTGTTCCCTGCAGTCGTCAGCAGTGCTGTCGCTCTTCCCTGCAGCCAACCATCTGTCACTACTTCATGCGCCTGCTGAAGGACAAGGGGCTACTCCTGCGCTGCTACACGCAGGTAGGCGGATGCGAGCATCCTGGGAGGAGGATGGGCGGGTGGAACGGGCATGGTGTCCTCAGCAGAGGAGCAGAGCTGCGTGCCCAAGAGCTCAGGCGGGGACTCCAGCAATGCGGGGCCAGGGCTTGGCCTACTGCCTCCTTGCTGCATGACCTGCCGTGAGTCACGTCTTCTCTGCCTCAGTTTCCCCTTCCGTCAAACAGGGGCCAGAAAAGGTTTGCCCTCTCAGGTCTGCCCTCTCAGGTCTGCAGTGCGGTGGCAGTGACCTCCTCTCAGGGCCATCCCATGTGTGATGTGGAAGGAGCCTATGGCTGAAGGGACTCTGTGTGCACTATAGGCACCCCAGATTTCACATTGGTTATGAGCGAGTTTCCAAAGTGACTTCATCTAACAAAATCCATACACTATGACACGTGTCCAACAAGTAGATGTTGTGCCTTAAGGAAGGGGCACCTTTTTATAGTTTTTTGTGCTTTGCCCAATTATAAACATGTCTCGTACACGTCAGGTGCTTAGCCAAGGGCCTCTCCCTGGGGCATTCAAGCAAGGATGGCTCACATTGTTGGCTTCTGGTTTGGAGAGTCTCACACCCCTAACAGTAAAAAAATCTTGATGGGCTGGGCACAGTGGCTCACACCTGTAATCCCAGCACTTTGGGAGGCCAAAGCGAGAGATAGCTCGAGCCCAGGCGTTTGGGACCCGCCTGGGCAACATAGGGAGACCCTGTCTCTACAAGAAATACAAAAATTAGCTGGGCAGGGTGGCGTGTGCCTGTAGCCCCAGCTACTCAGGAGGCTGAGGTAGGGGGATTGCTTGAGTTCAGGAAGTCAAGACTGCAGTGAGCTATGATGGTGCCACTGTACTGTAGCCTGGGAGACCTGGTTTCAAAGAAACAAAAAACAAATCAAAACAACAACAAAATGTTGCTGCCTCTACCTGTTTTATGAATATGTATAGAAATGACATGATGCACTACAACAGTATTAATTCAAGCTCTAGATCACACCTCAGAACCCCGAATTATAAAACAGGTGGCCGGGCGCGGTGGCTCACGCCTGTAATCCCAGCACTTTGGGACACCGAGGTGGGCAGATCACGAGGTCAGGAGTTCAAGACCAGCCTGTCCAACATCATGAAATCTGGTCTCTACTAAAAATACAAAAATTAGCCAGGTGTGGTGGTGCCTGTAACCCCAGCTACTCGGGAGGCTGAGGCAGGAGAATCGCTTGAACCTGGGAGGCAGAGGTTGTAGTGAGTCAAGATTGTGCCACTGCACTCCAGCCTGGGTGACAGAGCAAGACTCCATCTCAATTTAAAAAAACAAACAAACAAACAAAAAAGAGTGGTAACATTGAAAATAAATAAGTGTTCTAGTGTTTTCTCCCTGTACCTGCAGTTTGGCACCTGCAGCCCCAAAAGCTACCGCCAGGGGGAGGAACAACTGGCTTTAAGTTCAGATTTCTCAGGTGGGCGAGGTGTTCCCACCTGGGGCTGGTAGGAGGCAGAGGGCAGCGGAGGCCTCCTTCTTCCAAGAGGAGGAGTCCTGTGATCCCCACACTTTGGGAGGCCAAAGTGGGAGATCGCTTGAGCCCATGAGTTCAAGACCAGCCTGGGCAACATAGGGAGACTCCGGGCTCAGAATAAACCTTCTGCCCAGAGAGTCACCATTATTCCAGGACGTGGCTCAGATATGATAACAGCTTGCTTGAAGCCAAGTGCTTTTTGTGGTTGATGTCATGACACTCACCCCAAGACCCCGCTGGCCCTTGTTTGTCAGCTTCTGTCAAAGTAAATGTTCACTGAGTTGATTCCCTACAGCAGGGAGGGAGATGATGGACAAGATGGAGACACCATATACTGAGCATATAAGATGGTCATGGGTCCCTGGAACACAGTTAAGCTGGAAGGGGAGTCAGAAACGGTGTATGTGTTCGGGAAAGGGGGTGCTGTTGTAAACCCCATCTCTACGAAAAATACAAAAATTAGCCAGGCGTGGTGGCACATGCCTGTAGTCCTAGTTACTCAGGAGGCTGAGGCATGAGAGTTGCTTGAACCTGGGAGGTGGAGGTTGCCCTGAGCTGAGATTGCCCCACTGCACTCCAGCCTGGGTGACAGAGAGAGACTCCGTCTCAAAAAAAGAAAAAAAATGACACATCACATACAAACTATTATATAAAGGCCAGGCGCGGTGGCTCACGTCTGTAATCCCAGCACTTTGGGAGGCCAAAGTCAACGTCAGGAGTTTAAGACCAGCCTGGCCAACATGGTGAAACCCTGTCTCTACTAAAAATACAAAAATTAGCTGGGTGTGGTGGTGCGTGCCTGTAATCCCAGCTACTCAGGATGCTGAGGCAGGAGAATCACTTAAACCTGGGAGGCAGAGGTTGCAGTGAGCCAAGATTCCGCCATTGCACTCCAACCTGGGCAACAGAGCAAGACTCCATCTCAAAAAAAAAAAAAAAAAAATTAGCCAGGCATGGTAGTGCACACCTGTAGTCCCAGCTACTTGGGAGCTTGAGAGAGGAGGATTGCTTGAGCCCAGGATTTCAAGGCTACAGTGAGCTATGATCAAGCTACTGTACTCCAGCCTGGACCAGTAGAGCAAAATCCTGTCAAAAGAAAAAAAAAAAAAAACCATGTTGTCAAAGAATAACAGAACGCAGAGGTATTTCGGTGGTTCTTTTCCACGCTGTTCAGTTATTTGCTTACTGTTCAGTTATTTGCAAATTGCTCACTCACATGTGAGGGAGTCAGTGGGTAGACTGAGTCAAGTACCAAAGGCAAAACCAAGATTTAGAATAGTGGGCAAGGGAGGAAAGTTACAGGGCGTGTGGGAACAGTGACAGTGACTCTTGTCTGTAGGCTTTGGAGATAAGGTGGTTGCTGGTAGGGAGCCCAGAAGGCAGTTAGAGCATTCTTTCTGCCCTTGAAGGGAAACAAACCCTTCCCGTTGTTTCTGGAGTCCCTGGGAAACGCTGTCAGTTTGGCCCTGGGCCACACATGCGAGCCATCTCTGCGTAACCTCTGCCAGTGTCCTCTGTCAGCACCTGTTTTAGCGGCATTCCTCACAGGCAAACAACAGCTGCTCCAAAGGGGGTGGTTGTTTTAAGAAAAATGAGCGCGCACAAATGTCTGTGCAGAAAAGAACATTCCCACCTGTTTAATATGGAAAGTCTCACTGTCTTAAAAGAAAACAGTGGCCGGGCGCAGTGGCTCACACCTGTAATCCCAGCACTTTGGGAGGCTGAGGTGGGCAGATCACGAGGTCAGGAGATCGAGACCATCCTGACCAACATGGTGAAACCCCGTCTCTACTAAAAATACAAAAATTAGCTAGGCATGGTGGCGCGTGCCTGTGTTCCCAGCTACCTGGAAGGCTGAGGCAGGAGAATCACTTGAACCTGGGAGGCGGAGCTTGCAGTGAGCCAAGATTGCGCCACTGCACTCCAGCCTGGCAACAGAGCAAGACTCCGTCTCAAAAAAAAAAAAAAAAATAGCCACGCATGGTGGCGGGTGCCTGTAATCTCAGCTACTTGAGAGGCGGAGGCAGGGAGAATTGCTTGAACTCAGGAGGCAGTGGTTGCAGTGAGCCGAGATAGCGCCATTGTACTCCAGCCTGGGCAACAAGAGTGAAACTCCATCTGAAAAAAAAAAAAAAGAAAAGAAAAGAAAAGAAAACAGTGGCTGGGCATGGTGTCTCACGCCTGTAATCCCAACGCTTTGGGAGGCTGAAGTGGGAGGATCACTTGAGCCCAGGAGTTCAAGACCAGCCCGGGCAAATAGGGAGACCACCCCACCCCCCATCTCTACAAAAATAATTAAAAAGATAAAAAATTAGCCGGGCATGGTGGCATTTGCCTGTAGTCCCAGCTACTCAGTGGGCTGAGGTGGGAGGATGGCTTGAGCCCAGGAGGTGAAGGCTACAGTGAGCTGTGATCAGACCACTACACTCCAGCCTGAGTGACAGAGCAAGACCCTGCCTCCAAAAAAAGAAAAGAACACAGGTGAATATGCCATCTATGAAACAGGCCATAGTAAGAAAGGACCCTGGCTACTAAAGGGGAAGATAGTGATTAAAGCCAAGGAAGGGCCAGGCATGATGACTCACACTGTAATCCCAGCACATTGGGAGGCTGAGGCAGAAGGCTCGCTGACCAGCCTGGGCAACATAGTGAGACCCCATCTCTACAGAAAATTTTAAAAATCAGCCAGATGTGGAGGCTGAGGTGGGAGGATTGCTTGAGCCCAGGAGTTGGAGGCTGCAGTGAGCTATGATTGTACCACTGCACTATAGCCTGGGCGACAGAGTGAGACCTTGTCTCAAATACATAAAAAAACATGGCTAGGCACAGTGGCTCATGTCTATAATCCCAGCACTTTGGGAGGCCGAGGCAAGCAAATCACGAGGTCCAGAGTTCGAGACCAGCCTAGCCAACATGGTGAAACCCCATCTCTACTAAAAATACAAAAATTAGCCAGTCATGGTGGTGCGTGCCTGTAATCCCAGCTACTTGGGAGACTGAGGCAGGAAAATCTCTTGAACCTGGGAGTCAGAGGTTGCAGTGAGCCGAGATTGTGCCACTGCACTCCAGCCTGGGTGACAGAGCAAGACTCCATCTCAAAAAACAAACAAACAAACAAACAAACAAACCACACCTAGTAAGCCCTCCTGATTCATTTATGTTAATGCTTGCCTAGAGCTGCCACATGCAGCTGTGCAGGGTGCGCACTGCACAAGGATGCCACATCTGAGGGGGCTCCATTAATAACAGAGACATTGTAAATGTATGTTAATTTCAGCAATTAATGACAGGTGGAAATAAAGCATCTGGCTCTAATAAAACAACATTTTTTTTCTGAAAAATGAAAGCAAATGGCCTGAATTTGCAGAATAAAAGCCACACAGGCTGTGGAGTGGCTGTGGGCCTGGCCTCATAGATATTTAGGTTTGGGCCCCTTTTTTTTTTTTTTTTTTTTTAATTTTTTGTAGAGACAAGCGTCTTGATATGTTGCTCAGGCAGGTCTTGAACTCCTGGCCTCAAGTGATCCTCCCACCTCAGCCTCCCAAAGTGCTGGGATTATAGGCGTGAGCCGCCATGCCCAGCCTGGCCCCTGCCTTTAAGCAGCCTTGACTGTCACCCTTTAAGTGGCACCATTGGGATGAACAGAAGAGTCTTCAGATAAACCCTGCCACTTGCTTCTCCTCCCTCCCTTCTCCACCTGTCCCCACCACCTCACTGCTCCTCGTGGCCCTCAACTCCCTACTGTGCCTTCTGGCCTACAAGGGGTGGCTCACTCCTCACCCCTCTTCCCTCCATCTCTCCCTCTAGAACATAGATACCCTGGAGCGAATAGCCGGGCTGGAACAGGAGGACTTGGTGGAGGCGCACGGCACCTTCTACACATCACACTGCGTCAGCGCCAGCTGCCGGCACGAATACCCGCTAAGCTGGATGAAAGGTGAGGCTGGAGGGCATCCTGAGGGCAGGCCTCCTCTCAGCACCAGGAGCAGTGTCTCCATGCAGTGGGCACCCATTCTGTCCTGCTCAATTCTTTGGGGTTTTTTTGTTTTGTTTGTTTGTTTTTGAGACAGAGTCTCACTCTGTCGCCCACGCGGGGAGTTCAGTGGGTGATCATGGCTCACTGCAGCCCAACTGCCTGATTTCCTGTCTTTGGCTGTTTTTAATATATGATAGTAGGCCAGGAGCAGTGGCTCACACCTGTAATCCTAGCACTTTGGGAGGCCAAGGCGGGCAGATCACCTGAGGTCAGGAGTTCAAGACCAGCCTGGCTAACATGGTGAAACCCCGTTTCTACTAGAAATACAAAAAAAAAAAAATTAGCCTGGTGTGGTGGCATGCGCCTGTAATCCCAGCTACTCAGGAGGCTGAGGCAGGAGAATCGCTTGAACCTGGGAGGCGGAGGCTGCAGTGAGCTGAGTTCGCACCATTGCACTCCAGCTTGGGCAACAAGAGCAAAACTCTGTCTCAAAAAAAAAAAAAAAAAAAAAACAAGAAGTCACTTATTCCACTCATGGAAAGCCATTTCTGACATTCTTTATGCTGATTTAACAAAGCCTCTGGTGTCCCTGTGAGATAAGGACAGCTGCAGCATTTGCAGAAGGGCCTCTGGAGTGTGGCTGTTCTGATAAAATGCCAGCTGAGTGCCCCTGGGCTGAGGATTCCTGAATAGCCCAACTGCAAGCAGCTGGGGGCAGTGTACAATTCACATTACCCCCATTATGTGTCATTGACAGCAGCGTCACAGGCAGCACCCACGGTGTCATGCTGTCCATGCAGAAATATTTTAAAGAAAATTACCGACTACTGACATTGAAACAATGCTTTATAAATGTGTGCTGAATGAATGAATGGACAGTTGAGCAAATGACTTAGAATTCAGTGGGTTGCAAGTGACAGAAATGCTTTCTTTCTTTCTTTTTTTTTTTTTTGAGATGGAGTCTTGCTCTGTCACCCAGGCTGGAGTGCAGTGGTGCAATCTCGGCTCACTGCAACCTCCGCCTCCCGGGTTCAAGCAATTCTCCCTGCCTCGGCCTCCCAAGTAGCTGGGATTACAGGCACGTGCTACAACCCCTGGCTAATTTTTATATTTTTAGTAGAGACGGGGTTTCACCACGTTGGCCAGGCTGGTCTCAAACTCCTGACCTCAAACGATCCACTCGCCTCAGCCTCCCAAAGTGCTGGGATTACAGGCGTGAGCCACCACACCCGGCCAGAAATGCTTTCAAGCTTCCTAAATCAATAAGAAATAAGGCCAGGCACAGTGGCTCATGCCTGTAATCCCAACACTTTTGGACGTCGAGGTGGGTGGATCACTTGAGCCCAGGAGTTTGAGAACAGCCTGGGCAACATAGGGAGATCCCATCTCTAAAAAAAATAAAATGTAGCCAGGTGCGATGGTGGATGCCTGTGAGCCCAGCTACTCGGGAGGCTAAGGCAGGAGGATCACTTGAGCCTGGGAAGTCGGTGGTGCAGTAAGCTATGATCACACCACTGCACTCAACCATGATTGCACCACCACACTCCAGCCTGGGCAACAGAGTGAGAACCTGTCTCAAAAAAACAAACAAACCAATAAGGCCGGGCGCAGTGGCTCACACCTGTAATTGCAGCTCTTTGAGAAGCCAAAGTGGGCAGATTTGCTTGAGCCCAGGAGTTTGAGACCAGCCTGGGCAACATGGCGAAACCCTGTCTCTACAAAAAATACAAAATTTAGCCGGGCGTGCTGGCATGCACCTGTAATCCCAGCTACTCAGGAGGCTGAGGCAGGAGGATCACTTGAAGCTGGGAGGTTGAGGCTACAGTAAGCCATGATCGTGCCACTGCATTCCAGCCCGGGCAACAGAGTGAGACCTTATCTCAAAAAAAAAAAGAAAGAAAAAAACAAAAAAAATGCAACAACAAGAAGAGAGGTCTTTTCTGAGCAGAGTGGACACCTCAGGAGACACCCATCACACTCCAAGTGATGGAGGTGTGTTCATGTTAACAGTGGAAGAGGGGTGGGGGTGCTGCACCTCCAGACTCCGGCCCAGATCCTCTTACTGCCTTCTCTTTCTTCCCCTTCCCCATACCCAGAGAAGATCTTCTCTGAGGTGACGCCCAAGTGTGAAGACTGTCAGAGCCTGGTGAAGCCTGGTGAGCCTCTGGCCAGGGACCTGCCCAGGTGGATTTGGGTGGGGGTCCCCTCCTCCCCCTGACCCCCTCCCAAAGGCCACACCCGCACACATCTGGCCACCTCTGTCTCTCTGAACAGTGCCCCAGATCCATCCTGGGGAGAATGGGGTCTGTGCCCCTGGCCGGTCCCCACTGCTCCCAACTCCCACTGTGGCCTCCGGGTCTGCCATTGCTCCCACCTGTCCTCTCTGCCTCCCCATGTCACTGTCTCTGTCCGTCCATCTGTCTCCACCTCAGATATCGTCTTTTTTGGTGAGAGCCTCCCAGCGCGTTTCTTCTCCTGTATGCAGTCAGTAAGTGGCCCCCCAGCCTCCCCGCATCCCCAACCGCCGCCTCCACCTGTGCTGGGCCCCATGGGGGCAGCCTGGGCCCTGCCTCAGGAAAGGTCACCTCCCCAGCTATGGGGGGCGGCAGGGAGGTTTGCTGCTGGGGGCGGGGGAGGGAGCGGTGGCGCAGCCTGGGCGGAGGCTCCCAAGCTCACGCCCCTCCCCGCAGGACTTCCTGAAGGTGGACCTCCTCCTGGTCATGGGTACCTCCTTGCAGGTGCAGCCCTTTGCCTCCCTCATCAGCAAGTAGGTTGGGGGCTGTGGCTGGGAGGACGGCTGGGCACCCAGGGCCAGGACAGACCCTGACCCCTTAGCTCCCCCTCCCCACAGGGCACCCCTCTCCACCCCTCGCCTGCTCATCAACAAGGAGAAAGCTGGCCAGGTAAGAGCCCTTCTTCAAGCCCCCGTCGTCACAGGCTCCCCCTTCCCTCTCACCCTTTTCCTCAGAGGGAACCCCCACTGTGGAACCCCAGCACTTTGCATTCCTCAGCTCAGAACCTGGGGCTCTAGAATCCAGAGGGGTCGGGTTCCAGGCCTCTGGGACATTCACTGCCCTTTTGAGCAAGTGATAGAATTCCAACTCAAACCAGCTGAAGCCAGATAGGAAGGCCGGGCTTCCAGGGACTGAGGAGGTGGGAGGGGGTGCAGGGGTCAGGAGAGACAGTGCGGGGGGCGGGGTTGGGTCCACGCTCTGGGTCTCTCAGGTCTGTTTTTCCTGGGCAGCCTCACTCTAGGGCAGGTGCTCCCTCCTAGGTGTTCCCCTCAGGGGAAGTAGGCAGGGTCACCGGGCAAGCAGCGCACGCTGTGGGCAGACACTGTCCCAAGTCTTAGCCTGCGTGAACTCACTGGCGCCACAACCCCATCGCGGTTTTGTGATCACCCCTATTCTACAGGAAACTAAGACACAGAGAGGACAAGTCACTTGACCAAAGTCACTGAGCTGGCTGGGCGCAATGGCTCACGCCTGTAATTCCAGCACTTTGGGAGGCCGAGGCGGGTGGATCACCTGAGGTCAGGAGTTCGAGACCAGCCTGACCAACATGGTGAAACCCCGTCTCTACTAATAATACAAAATTAGCCGGGCATGGTGCTGGGCACCTGTCATCCAGGCTACTCGGGAGGTTGAGGCGGGAGAATCACTTGAACCCAGGAGGTGGAGGTTGCAGTGAGCCGAGATCACATCATTGCACTCCAGCCTGGGCAACAAGAGTGAAACTTTGTCTCAAAAAAAACCAAAAAAACAACAACAAAAAAAAAACAAAGTCACAGAGCTAGGATACAAACCCAGGCCACCTGGCTCCAGGGTCTGTGCTCTTAGCTCTCCCTTCCCTGCTCCTGCCCCTGACCCACCCCCTCCCTGACAGTCGGACCCTTTCCTGGGGATGATTATGGGCCTCGGAGGAGGCATGGACTTTGACTCCAAGAAGGCCTACAGGTGAGGCCCCGCCGGGGGTTGGGGCAGCCTGGAAGGGACAGGGTGAGGTGGGAGCGGGGGCACGAAGGCAGATGAGAGGAGCAGGCAGGGGCGAGCCCGCCTGGGAACTCTGATCTCCTGCTGCACCGCAGGGACGTGGCCTGGCTGGGTGAATGCGACCAGGGCTGCCTGGCCCTTGCTGAGCTCCTTGGATGGAAGGTGAGGAGCTGAGCAACCCCAGCCTGTCCTGAGCCCCATCCCTGGACCCTCTCCCCACCCCATGGGTCCTCTGACCCCATGATGCACAGTGACCTTTGACTTCTGTGACCTTTGCTCCTGCAGAAGGAGCTGGAGGACCTTGTCCGGAGGGAGCACGCCAGCATAGATGCCCAGTCGGGGGCGGGGGTCCCCAACCCCAGCACTTCAGCTTCCCCCAAGAAGTCCCCGCCACCTGCCAAGGACGAGGCCAGGACAACAGAGAGGGAGAAACCCCAGTGACAGCTGCATCTCCCAGGCGGGATGCCGAGCTCCTCAGGGACAGCTGAGCCCCAACCGGGCCTGGCCCCCTCTTAACCAGCAGTTCTTGTCTGGGGAGCTCAGAACATCCCCCAATCTCTTACAGCTCCCTCCCCAAAACTGGGGTCCCAGCAACCCTGGCCCCCAACCCCAGCAAATCTCTAACACCTCCTAGAGGCCAAGGCTTAAACAGGCATCTCTACCAGCCCCACTGTCTCTAACCACTCCTGGGCTAAGGAGTAACCTCCCTCATCTCTAACTGCCCCCACGGGGCCAGGGCTACCCCAGAACTTTTAACTCTTCCAGGACAGGGAGCTTCGGGCCCCCACTCTGTCTCCTGCCCCCGGGGGCCTGTGGCTAAGTAAACCATACCTAACCTACCCCAGTGTGGGTGTGGGCCTCTGAATATAACCCACACCCAGCGTAGGGGGAGTCTGAGCCGGGAGGGCTCCCGAGTCTCTGCCTTCAGCTCCCAAAGTGGGTGGTGGGCCCCCTTCACGTGGGACCCACTTCCCATGCTGGATGGGCAGAAGACATTGCTTATTGGAGACAAATTAAAAACAAAAACAACTAACAATCCGGTCTGGCCTCCTGTTTCTTTCTGTGGGCACCCAGGGAAATCTCTGAAGGGAGGGGGTTAGATCTTGGGCCACTAAGGAACCAGAAAGTCTCCGGGATCCAGAGTGAGGGGTAACAAGAGGGTCCTCACGGGGGCCCTCGTGGCTCTGACCCCTGGACTCCCAGCCTGCCAGTGTCCCTTCCTCTAAGCCCCGTCACTAAAGGCCTGAGGCCCCAGAAAGAGGGAGGAAAGTTGACTTCAGATACCCCAGCCCCGCCTCTTCCCCCTGCCTGCTCAGCTTCCTCTCTCCACTTCCTGCTACTGCAGGCCTCTCCTCCGAGAACAGGTAGGGCCCCCAGGAACCGAGCATCTGGCATCTTCAGCCCCTGCTGCCTCCCTTTGGTATGAGGCAGCTGCCCTGACCCACCCCTGCCACGCACTGCCCACAGCCTCCTCTCCTGCCACGGTACACAAGCAGGCATCTGCTTCCCTCTCCCCTCCCCTCCCCTCCCTTCCTTCCTGCTCTTGCCTGGGCAGGGCACCTGCGCCTCCCTGCCCACCTCCCTCCTTCCTAATAACACCCTGGCCTTCTGGTCAATGGCCTAATGTATTTGTTTAGCTGCCTATTATCCATATGCTACACCTGCCCCAAACAAGAATGGAAGGCCCTGAGGGGAGGAGCCTGTCCTGTTCATCACCCTCTCTCCAGGGCAGAGGCACCTAATTCCAGCCTGTATTCAGTAAATACTGGATGGATGGAAGGAAGGAAGGAAGGGAGGGAGGGAGGGAGGGAGGATGGATCCTCCCCCGATCCAGGTCTCCTGCTCCTGGGACTGCTGCTGGGATAAGTGCCACCCTAAGTGATAACCTACGTAGGACTCTGTACCTGGTTAGGAGCTGGGGCCTGATGGGTGGATGAAGAGAGAGAGGAACAGATGTGTGATAAAGCAAGATGAGTAAAATGTTCATGGTAGAATCTTGGTAGTGGGCATAGGGATGTTTCCTGTACAATTCTTTCAGCTTTTCTCTATGTCTGAAATTTTTCATAATAAAATGCTGGGGGAAGAGATTCAGTGGCCCCTCCATGGTGTGGGAAGGGAGGAAGAGGGGATGTTATTACCTTTCCAGATATAGGGACTGCCTACTCTGGGCCAAGAACTTTTCCAGGCGCTGACTGGGTTTTGCCAAGGGCTGGCCCACATTTACACAGCCCCCATGGCTGTTAAAAATCTTAACATATTTCCTACCACTTCAGTAAAGAGCTATTGTTTTGAGTCCTCTCCCCACACCGCAAGACACACTGGCCTCTCTCCTGGGATCCCCAGATTCCCCACCATCCGGTACTAAAGATTTAACCCCTGCCGGCCGGGTGTGGTGGCTCATGCCTGTAATCTCAGCACTTTGGGAGGCCGAGGCGGGGGGATCACTTGAGGTCAGGAGTTTGAGACCAGCCTGGGTAACACGTCAAAACCTTGTCTCTACTAAAAAATACAAAAATTACCCAGGCGTGGTGGTGCACGCCTGTAATCCCAACTACTCGGGAGACTGAGGCACAAGAATCGCTTGAACCTACGAGGCGGAGGTTGCAGTGAGCTGAGATCGTGCCACTGCACTGCAGTCTGGGCAATACAGTGAGACTCCGTCTCAAAAATAAAATAAAGAATTAACCCCTGCCACGGCAAGCGGCCTCTGGGGTCCATTCTGATTGGTCAGGGTCTCTGCCATATTGATTGTAAATATCTTGAACATGACCCGAGGGCTAGAGCAGCTTTGAGTCTTACCTTTCTCCCTGCCAGAGGCCAGGTCATGACTCACTGGCTTCCTGCAACCTGACGATGGCCCAGCCAGAAGACAAGGCACCTGAAGTCCCCACAGAGGGGGTGAGGTGAGGCTACTAGGGCTGAGGCTATGCCCTCCTTCCCCTGCATCCAGAAACCCTTTCCATCCAATACCTCCCTCACTACAGAATCCTGAATCACATCTCTGAGCCTCTGCCCTGGGCCTGCCCCTTCCTGTACCTTTGACCTCACCTCATTGTCCCACTGCCCACCTCTGACCCCTGACTCCCTGGACACTGTCCATCCCAGGCTGGTCCCACCACAGGTGAACAAAGCAGACAGGACCCCTCTAGGGGTCCTCAGCACCCTAGAGCCACTTACTCGCCTGCAGAGGACATGGGGGGTGTGGCATGTGCCAGAGCTGGATACCCAGGATGCGGAGGCCCTTGTGGGGCTGTGGCCACTAGGGGTGAGTACTCACAGCTGGGGGCCCATCCTGACACCCTAGATTAGGACTCTGCTGGTTACTAGTGACAAACATGACACAAATTGGGCAAACCAAAAAGGCTATTTATTGCTGGGTGCAATGGCTCATGCCTGCAGTCCTAGCTACTCATGAGGCTGAGGTGGGAGGATCATTTGAGCTCAGGAGGTCAAGGCGGCAGTGAGCTGAGATCATGCCACTTCACTTGAGCCTGGGTGATGGAGCAAGACCCTGTCTAAAAAAAAAAAAAAAAAAATGTAATTTCAAGAAGCTCTGGATCCTGAACTTCAGAACACTTATAAATTCCTCTTCATCCCATTTCTTGGCTTTGCTTTCAACTGCGGGGAATTTTGGATATTTGGGACTGAATATAACAAACACCTGTCCTACAGCGGTTTAAACAAATAGGCATTTATCTTCCTAACATAACCAAAAAGGCAGCTGCTGGCTTTAGATCAGCAGTGCAGTGACATTGAGGCCAGCATAGCTATAATTCTCTTGGACTTCTCTCACAGCTTCCCGGGGGCTGCCCCAGGCCCAAGCACCTGCGTGCATTCCAGGCAGGAAGAACAGAGGCACCACTTGCATCTGTTTATTTTACAGGAAAAATAAAGGTTTTCTTTTCTTTTTTTTTTTAATTTTGAGAGTTTCACTCTTGTTGCCCAGGCTGGAGTGCAATGGCATGATCTCGGCACACTGCAACTTCCGCCTCCCAGGTTCAAGCGATTCTCCTGCCTCAGCCTCCTGAGTAGCTGGGATTACAGGCATCTGCCACAACGCCCGGCTAATTTTTTGTATTTTTAGTAGAGATGGGATTTCACCATGTTGGCCAAGCTGGTCTCAAACTCCTGACGTCAGGTGATCCACCCACCTCTGCCTCCCAAAGTGCTGGGATTACAGGTGTGAACCACCGTCCCCGGCCAAAATAAAGGTTTTCACAACTGATTCAGAAAATATAGATGGCTGGCCGGGTGTGCTGACTCACGCCTGTAATCCCAGCATTTTGGGAGGCTGAGGTAGGAGGCTCGCTTAAGCCTAGGAGTTCAAGACCAGCCTGGGCAACAGAGCAAGGCCCAGTCTCTATTAAAAAAAAAAAAAAAAGAAAAAAGAAAAAAAAAAGGATGGGGCCCAGGTAGCAATATTTTTAATTTTTTTATTTATTATTTTTATTATTATTTTTTGAGATGGAGTCTCCCTCTGTCACCCAAGCTGGAGTGCAGTGGCACGATATTGGCTCACTGCAACCTCTGCCTCCCGGGTTCAAGCGATTCTCCTGCCTCAGCCTCCCGAGTAGCTGGGATTACAGGCGCCCGCCATTACACCCGGCTAATTTTTGTATTTTTAGTAGAGACTGGGATTCACCACGTTGGCCAGGGTGGTCTCGAACTCCTGCCCTCAGGTGATCCACCCGCCTCGGCCTCCCAAAGTGCTGGGATTACAGGCGTGAGCCACCGTGCCCGGCTGTAGCAATATTTTTAACAGCTCTCTTGGGACGTATACAGCCAGAGCTAAGAACCACCACCTATATCAATCATGATCCATATATCAATCATACTCATGGCTGGGTATATTAATGCCGTGAACAAGGAATTCTGCAAGGAATGTGGAATAGGTTTGGAGACGACAGCAAACGGGGGCTACCACAGCTTCCTCCTCAGGAGGGTATCATCCTTCCCAGCTCAGAGCTGTATCCCACCAGTTTAGCAACACCAGTGTAACAAATGAAGTCTTTCCAAAAGAGCTCCAGCACGCAGTGGCTCACGCCTATTATCCCAGCACTATGAGAGGCTGAGAAGAGCGGATCACTTGAAGTCAGGAGTTCAAGACTAGCCTGGCCAATGTGGTGAAACTCTGTCTCTGCTAAAAATACAAAAACTTAGCCGGGCGTGGTGGCAGTCGCCCGTAATCCCAGCTACTTGGGAGGCTGAGGCAGGAGAATCGCTTGACCCCGGGAGGCGGAGGTTGCAGTGGGCAGAGATTGTGCCACTGCACTCCAGCCTGGGCGACAGGGCAAGACTCCGTCTCAAAAAAAAAAAAATCCTGTGGAAGATGTCCATTGGCTGAGCTTGAGTCACATGCCTGTTCCCTGAACCAAACAGTGGGCCGAGAGCACCCTCATCCTGTTGGCTAGATCAGGTCATGGGCCCACCCCGCCAGGGCTTGGGGGAAGTCAGCCCAACACACATGGACTGAAAGTAGGGAGAGGGTTTCCCTAAAGGAAATTTGGGGTGTGGAACCCAAAATAAGGGAAATGGATGCTAGTCAGGCAAAAGCAACAGACATCTGCGCACACCTTTGTCACGCTGGCCTTTGTCTCTATCCCCCAGAGTTTCTTGGTCACAGGACGTGACCCCAGCCAGGCCCTGGTGTTGAGGTCAGGACCTTTACCAGGAGAAGTCAATACCTACCAGATCCAGAAGATTCCCAGAGGTAAGGCACCTCCCCTGAGGTTCCAGCCCACAGTCAATTGATCACTAAGAACTATCAGCTGGACCGGCGCGGTGGCTCACGCCTGTAATCCCAGCACTTTGGTAGGTCGAGGCGGGTGGATCGCTTGAGGCCAGGATTTTGAGACCAGCCTGGCCAACATGGCAAAACCCCGTCTCTACAAAAAATACAAAAATTAGCCGGGCTTGGTGACGCGCGACTGTAATCCCAGCTACTTGGCAGGCCGAGGCACGAGAATAGCTTGAACCCAGGAGGCAGAGGTTGCAGTGAGCCAAGATCACACCACTGCCCTCCAGCCTTGGCAACAGAGGGAAACCCTGCCAAAACAAAACAAAACAAAAACACCTGTCAGCTTTGTTTCCAAAATATCTGATGAATATTTCCAATCCTGTCTCCCTTTCCTTCCCACAATCCATTCTGAGCCCAAGATATTTTTCAGTATCAATCAGATGTTATACACCCCTGCCCCAAATCCTGCAAAGAGCATGCAACGTCCTTAGATACAAAATGTAAACTCCTTGTCATGATCTATAAGGTGCTGTGTGATGTAGTTCCTTCCTGTCTCTCTATCTATTGCCCCTCATTCACTCTGCCCCATACACACTGTTACACTCTGTGTGTCTTTAGCATGCTAAGTGTGTTCCAGCTTCAGGACCTCTGCTTGGGTTCATCCTGTATGAATGCTTTTCCTAGAGGGGCTGGTTTAGTCTCCATCCTCCAGGCCTCTGCAGAAATGTAACCTTTCTTGACCATCATAGTTAAAAGATGGCACCTTGGTCACTTTCTTTTTCTTTTTTCTTTTAGACAGAGTCTCACTCTGTCGCTCAGGCGGAGTGCAGTGGCCCAATCTCAACTCACTGCCACCTCTACCTCCCAGGTTCAAGCAATTCTCATGCCTCTCAGCCTCCCAAGTAGCTGGGATTACAGGTGCACACCACCACACATGACTAATTTTTTGGTTTATTTTTATTTTTATTTATTTATTTTTTATCGTACTTTAAGTTTTGGGATACATGTCCAGAATGTGCAGGTTTGTTACATAGGTATACAGGTGTCATGGTGGTTTGCTGCACCCATCAACCCATGATCTACATTAGGTATTTCTTCCTAATGCTATCCCTCCCCTAGGCCCCCACCTCCCAATTTTTTGTATTTTTAATAGAGATGGGTTTTGCCATGTTGGCCAGGCTGGCTTGAACTCCTGACCTCAAGTGATCCACCCACCTCAGCCTCCCAAAGTGATGGGATTACAGGCGTAAGTCACCATGCCTGGCCTCTTGGTCACTTTCAATCACTCCATTTTCTTCATAGCACTCAATACAATATCCACTTTGTTTACTCGTTTTTAAAATTTATTTTTATTTATTTATTTATTTATTTATTGAGATAGTCTCACTTTTGTCGCCCAGGCTGGAGTGCAATGGCTTAATCTCAGGTCACTTCAACCTCCACTTCCCGAGTTCAAGTGATTCTCCTGCCTCAGGCTCCCAAGTATCTGGGATTACAGGCGCCCACCACCATGCCCAGCTAATTTTTGTATTTTTAATAGAGATGGGGTTTCGCCATGTTGGCCAGGCTGGTCTCGAACTCCTGACTTCAGGTGATTCACCCACCTCGGCTTCCCAAAGTGCTAGAATTACAGGCGTGAGCCACCGTACCCTGACTGTTTATTCATTTATATTCTGCCTTTTCCCCCTCCGCCCCCCGCTAAAAGGTAAGCTACAGGAAGGCAGTGAACTTGTCTGCCTTTTGATAACTGTATCTCCAGTGCCTAGAAAGGACTAAGGGCTCAGTAAATGTTTGTCTAATGAATGAATCCTTGTTGGTGGCATAAGTGGTACACAAGAGTAAAGATGGAGACTCCAAAGAGTGGGAACTTCCCTGTTCTGAAGGTCCCTGGGGGGATTCTGAAGGAATGGAGGAGCAAGAGCATCCCAGGGGACAGAAAACTGCCACCACTCAAGTTTACTTTCTCCTTCTTCCTCCCCCCACCACAGGTGTGTCCCTGGAATCCTCCAACCTCTGCATGCCAGACCTGCCCCATCTCCTGGCCTTTCTATCAGCCAGCAGGTACAGGTCACCCATCTGAGGCACTAAGGGGGACCCTTCCCTAAGACACCCCACTGACACTGTGGCTCCCACCTCTTTATTCTCAGGGATGTTCTGCCCAGAACCCTGCTCTTGCCCCCTCCCACTCTAGGGCCCAGAGATGAACACACAGGTGAGGCACGGTTCTCTAAAGAGGGCACAGCCAACCTGCCAATTTCCTTGCTCCAAGGGAATGAATGGGGCTTTGGGGCCCAGACTACTGGGTTTGAGGAGAATATAGAACTGGAGACTAGAGAGAGCTGGGGGCCTGGACTTTGTAGTCCCAGAGGGAGGAGGGGATGGGGGCCTGTATTCCTAGGTCCTAACAGAGGAGAGGATTGGAGGAGGAAGGAACTGGGGGTCCCGGACGCCTGGGCCTAAGTGAGAAGGGGACTAGGGGCCTGGACTCCTGGGTCTGACTGAGGAGGGGCCAGGAGCTAAGCCTCAGCACCTCCAGCAATGAAGCTGGGAAGTAAGTCTCCTGGCGCCTTGAGGGGACCAGGGTTGGTCCCTTGGATACCTAGGACACCTTCTCACTTCTGCTGGCTCCAGATCCTGTGCAGATCGGCAGGGTCCAACAGGACACCCCAGGGAAGGTGCTTTCCATTGTGAACCAGCTCTACCTGGAGACCCACAGAGGCTGGGGGAGGGAGCAGACCCCTCAAGAAACAGAGCCAGAGGCTGCTCAGAGACATGATCCAGGTTAGCTGGGCGGGGCCCTGGGCCTCTGAAGGGGAGGGAGCTGCTGCCCCTGTTCTAGGCGACCGAATGCCCTCCTCACTTCCAGCCCCCAGGAACCCTGCGCCTCACGGGGTCTCCTGGGTGAAAGGCCCGCTCAGCCCGGAAGTGGACCATCCTGGGCCGGCTCTCGCCAGCCTACTGGAAGAGGAGGAGGAAGACCTTGAAGGAAAGGAGGAAGGAAGGGAGGACGACCCTGAAGAGGAAGGCCCTGAGGACGTGCTCACCATTCACGTCCAGTCTCTGGTCAGGGCCCGGAGCAGCTACGTGGCCAGGCAGTACCGAAGCCTTCGGGTGCGCATCGCCTCAGATTCTGGGGGTCCCCACGGGTCTGGGGACCCGGCCACGGAGCTGCTTCAGGATGTGCGGCACCTCCTTACTGACCTCCAGGATCACCTGGCAAAGGACTCCTACATCAGGGCTGTCTTTGGAAGCAGGGGTCCTGGGCTCCCCAAGAAGGACGAGGATCCAGGTAATGGGAGGACTGGAAGGGAGCCCCCACGGGTTCAAGTGTGCAACTTCGTCCTCTCCATCGGTGCGCACACGTTTCCTTCTGCACCCACACGCCCTTCCTACACATCCCACGCGTTCTATCGCCCACGTATGCGCGCAAGTTCACACCCAGGCTAACTCTTCCACACATGTTCACAACCATGTCTACACTCACGGGGGACCAGAGCTAGGCAGGGGTGGCTGTGGGCCAGGGTGGGTTGTTGGAGCGCGTGGGTGGGCGTGGGACAACTTGGCGGTCCTGTGCTCACCCGTCCCCCACACCCCGCAGGCCCCGCGCTGGAGACGGCGGTGTGCCAGGCGGTGCTGGCGCCCCTGAAGCCGGCCCTGTGGACACGACTCCGCACACTCCGAGCACCGGAGCTGCGGCGGCTGCGGCGGCGACAGACAGCCCTGCGGGCGGGGGCGGGGCCTCCGGGGGCACAGGGGCCGGGACCGGAAGGGCAGAGCCCCGCCCCCGCCTTGCGGAGCCGCATCCACGAGCGCCTTGCGCACCTCCACGCTGCCTGCGCCCCGCGCCGCAAGGTGGCGCTCCTCTTGGAGGTGTGCAGAGATGTCTATGCGGGCCTGGCTCGAGGCGAGAACCAAGGTAAGGGAGGGGTCAACGTCTAGCGTGGTGGGGAGAGCCTTGAGAGTTGGAGCCAGGCGGGAGAGGGTAGCACTGGTGGGAGGAATCTATGCGGTCCTGAAGATTCTGGTAGGAGGCGCTGTCATGCCCGACAAGGTGGAGGGGCAGCCAGCCCTCGTGGTCCTGGGGATCGGATGGAAGGTGTCTACGCGCCTTGAGATGGGGATCCATCTCAAGACCTTTCCTCTGGTTTTCCCAGATCCCCTGGGGGCCGACGCCTTCCTGCCGGCGCTGACCGAGGAACTCATCTGGAGCCCGGACATTGGGGACACGCAGCTGGACGTAGAGTTTCTTATGGAGCTCTTAGATCCAGATGAGCTGCGGGGAGAGGGTGAGCCCCCAACTCCAGAATGCTGGAGCCCAGCGATCCAGTACCTCCGGGATCCCAAACAGCCTCCCCCCGCAGCAGGAGGGACGGCAGGCAAACTGCAGGGGGATTTGGGGCGACCAGGGAAGCCGAGAGGGCGGAGCTGACTTCCCTTTCTGTCCCCAGCTGGGTACTACCTGACCACGTGGTTTGGGGCGCTGCACCACATTGCCCACTACCAGCCCGAAACAGACCGCGCTCCCCGGGGGCTCAGCTCCGAGGCCCGCGCCTCCCTGCACCAGTGGCACCGCAGGCGGACGCTGCACAGAAAGGATCATCCCAGAGCCCAGGTGACTGCCCATCTGGCTGCAAGTAGAAGGGAGGGTGAGACCTGGTGCCCTTCTGACCCAGCTCCCACCTCTCCCCACAGGCCAACCTGCCCTTTAAGGAGCCATGGGCAGAAGAGACTGTGACAGGGACCAGTGACAACTAGGGGTTTCACACCCCTCCGTTCATGCCTGTAATCCCAACATTTTGGGAGGCCAAGGTGGGAGGATTGCTTGAGCCCAGGAGTTTGAGACCAGCCTGGGCAAAACAGTGGGACCCCCATCTACCAAAAAAAAAAAAAAACAAAAATTAGCCGGGCGTGGTGGCGTACTCCTGTGGTACCAGCTACTCAGGAGGCTTTGCAGTTTTAGACAGGCGTATCAGAGAAAGCCTCACTGAGGTGACATCTGCAGAAAGGCCTGAAGGAGGGGAGGGGAAGGGAGGAGCAGAGTGGGTATTAGGAAGAGCATTCCGAGAAGCAGGATGAGCCAGTGCAAAGGCCCAGAGGTAGGCTGTTCCCTTTTCCTGGGACCCCTCCCTCCTCCTTGCTGCTCCTAAACCACATAGGTCAGGAGTCTGGACTGACCCAGGTACGTCTGGCATCTTGCTTGAGGAACAGGGGGTTTTGTTTTGTTTTGAAAGAACGTCTCTGTCTGTTGCCCAGGCTGGAGTGTAGTGGCATGATCTCGGCTCACTGCAGCCTTAACCTCCTGGCTCAAACAAGCCCCCTGCCTCTGCCTACCAAGTAGCTGAGACTACAGGCACCTACCACCGTGCCTGTCTAATTTTTAAAATTTTTTATAAAGATGAGGTCTCTCTTTGTTGCCCAGGCTGGTCTCAAACTCCTAACCTCAAGCAATCTGCCCACGTCGGCCTCCCAAAGTGCTGAGATTATAGGCGTGAGCCACCGTGCCCAATTGTGATCGTTTTTCCCAAAGAATGTATCACATGCTAACAAACCATATATTTATGTATTTCATTGTTCATAGTAACTACAATTTAAAAAACTAAAAAGAAACAAGTGAGGCCGGGTGCGGTTGCTCATGCCTGTAATCCCAGCACTTTGGGAGGCCAAGGTGGGCAGATCACCTGAGGTCGGGAGTTCAAGACCAGCCTGACAAACATGGAGAAACCCGTCTCTACTAAAAATACAAACTTAGCCGGGCATGGTGGCGCATGCCTGTAATCCCAGCTACTCCGGAGGCTAAGGCAGGAGAATGGCTTGAACCCGGGAGGCGAAGATTGCGGTGAGCGGAGATTGCGCCATTGCACTCCAGCCTGGGCAACAAGAGTGAAACACCATCTCAAAAATAAATAAATAAATAAAAAGAAACAAGTGAAGTTAACGTTAATAATAATATATTTGATTTAACACAATGTATCCCAAATATTATCACTTCAACATGTATCCATATTAAAAAGTTACTGACATATTTAAAACTTTGTATGTTTGTGTGTGTGTATGCTAAAGCTTTGAAATTTACTGTGCATTTTACACTTAATCACATCACAGTTTGGACTAGTCACATTTCAAGTATGCACTAGCTACATGAGGTATCTATCTGTGTCTATACGTATAGATATATCTATATATAGATAGATTTATATATTTACAAAAATAAAAAATAATTTATATATAAATTAAAATATTTAATTTATAATCATAATAATTATATTAATTTATAAAATAATATAAATATTATAAAACAATAATATAATAATTTATATATATATAACTTTTTTTCAATTTGTAAATAAACTGGACAGCCTCCAAACCACAATAGGTTCAGAGAGGCTCCTGACGTTGGCTTTTTTTTTTCTTACCTCACATGTGTAGCAGCTGGACTGACCCTGGCTGTTCGAAGAGCCCTGGCCAGTTGTCCTGTGGACAGTCCCAGTTTCTGGCCTCGTCTGCTGCTTCCTCATGATTAAAATCTGGTCTTGCAGCTGTGGGGAAGAATACTCCGCAGGGACGCTGTGTCCTTCTCGGTACCTGAATCCCATCAGGGGCCGTGATTGGTAAAGCTAACTTTGACCATTGAGCTAAGGAGATAGGCTAGTCGGCTAGAGCTGCCATCAAAAAGACCACAGATGGCCGGGTGCGGTGGCTCACGCTTGTAATCCCAACACTTTGGGAGGCTGAGGCAGGTGGGTCACGAGGTCAGGAGTTCGAGACCAGCCTGGCCAACATGGTGAAACCCCGTCTCTACTAAAAATACAAAAAAAAAAATTAGCCGGGCATGGTGACGCGCCTGTAATCCCAGCTACTCGGGAGGCTGAGGCATGGTGATGCGCGCCCATAATCCCAGCTACTCAGGAGGCTGGGGCAGGAGAATCGCTTGAACCTGGGAGGCGGAGGTTGCAGTGAGCTGAGATTGTGCCACTGCACTCCAGTCTGGGCGACAGAGCGAGACTCTGTCTCAAAAAAGAAAAAAAAAAGATCACAGACTGTGTGGCTTAAACAACAGAAATTTATTTCCTCCCAGTGAAACTGTGTTTGCAAAATTATGACTGAGACAGTGAAAGAGATCTAACATAATTGACTCCATCTTGCTTCTAATCTCCAAGCTGTCCTTGTTCATTCCTAGATGTAGGCCGAACTAACTTTGAGAGAAAGAGTTTATAGTTTAAACAAAGTTGAAAACAGCCCTTTCCAAAGCAGAACTCCCTCTTTTTTTCTTTTTTTTTTTTTGGTGAGACAGAGTCTGGCTCTGTTGCCCAAGCTGGAGTGCAGTGGCACAATCTCAGCTCACTGCAACCTCCGCCTCCCGGGTTCAAGCAATTCTCCTGCCTCAGCCTCCTGAGTTGCTGGGACTACAGGTATGTGCCACCACGCCTGGCTAATGTTTGTATTTTTAGTAGAGACACAGTTTCACCATGTTGGCCAGGATGGTCTCGATCTCTTGACTTTGTGATCAGCCCACCTCGGCCTCCCAAAGCGCTGGGATTACAGGCGTGAGCCGCCGCGCCCAACAGCAGACCTCCTTCTTGTCTGGGAACTAGATTGCCTTTGTAGGACTAACATTAATCATAAGATTAGAAATTATGGTTTAGGAGTCATGCAGCCAGAGGCTACAAGATTCTGACCCTCCCTAAACTGCTCCTAAGATCAGTGCTTGGAACATTGTGCAGACCCTGCGCTTGATGGATCAGTGGGCACCACCAGATCAATAAACTGGCTCTTCTGATCTTGTGGCCCCCTATACAGGAACTGACTCAGCTCAAGAAGACAGCTTCGACTCCCTATGATTTCATTCCTGAGCAATCAACACTCCTGGCTCACTAGCTTCCCCCCACCCACCGCGTTGTTGTTAAAAGCTCTGATCCTAGAATGCTCAGGGAGACTGATTTGAGTAATAATACAACTCCGGTCTCCCGCACAGCGCACAGCGGGCTCTGGCTCCTCTGCGTGAATCACTCTTTTTTTTTTTTTTTTTTAAGGCGGAGTCTTGCTGTGTTGCCCAGGCTGGAGTGCAGTGGCGTGGTCTCAGCTCATTGCATCACTGGAAGCTCCGCCTCCCGGGTTCACGCCATTCTCCTGCCTCAGCTTCCCAAGTAGCTGGGACTGCAGGCACGTGCCGCCACGCCCGGCTAATTTTTTGTGTTTTTAGTAGAGACAGGGTTTCACCGTGTTAGCCAGAATGGTCTCGGTTTCCTGACCTCGTGATCCGCCCACCTCAGCCTCCCAAAGTGGTGGGATTACAGGCGTCAGCCACTGCGCCCAGCGAATTACTCTTTCTCTATTGCAATTCCCCTGTTTTGATGTATGGGCTCTGTCTAGGCAGCAGGAAACGTGAACCCCTTGGGCGGTTACAATAGTTCCAGTTCGAGGTGTCAGCACAATAGACTTCCTTCTGAGGGCTCTCTCCTTGGCTTGCAGATGGTCATCTTCTCCCCTTGTTTTTTGTTTTATTTTTTGTTGTTTGTCGGTTTGTTTTTGAGACAGGGTCTCACTCTGTCGCCCAGGCTGGAGTGCAGTGGTGTGATCTAGGCTTACTGCAATCTCCACCTCCCACGATCCTCCCACCTCAGCTTAGTAGTACTAGGACTACAGGTGCACACCACCACCATGCCCGGCTAATTTTCGGTATGTTTTGTAGAAATGGGGTTTCGTCATGTTGCCCAGGCTGGTTTTGAACTCCTGACCTCAAGTGATCCACCCGCCTCGGCCTCCCAAAGTGCTGGGATTATAGGCGTGAGCCTTTGAATTCTTGCATCATCTGTGGGTGTCACCTTGAGACCTGGTGACCAACCTGTTCCTCAACACCTTTCACCCAATGCTTTTAGCACTTCTCTGTTGTTGCTGAATCATTGGATTTATTTGTACTATTAGAGTCTATGTGTGCCAACTGACACTGGTTTTCCACTTCCTGGAGTGAAATGACATCTCCTGTTTAAATAAATGTGTTGAATTAAAAACAAAAGAGTGGGTTGATTTAAAGAAAATTATTAAGCAGTGAAGTGGGCAGGTGATGCATGAATGTGTGGCAAAAAAAAAAAAAAAAGGGACGTGAAACTCAAATGGCAGCTGTTTGGGGTATCGCTGGTTGAGGGCTTAGGGTCAAACTCAAGCTCCTGTTTGCTGTGGAGCTCTGGGCTTCATGCTAGAAGTCTCCCCTTGGGCTCTCACTCACATCATGGAAAAATAATTTTTAATAAAGGAAGTGGGCCGGGCATAGAAGCTCATGTCTGTAATCCCAGCACTTTGGGAGGTGAAGGTGGAATGATTGCTTGAGCCCAGGAGGTCAAAGCTGCAGAGCTGTGATCACACCACTGCACTCCAGCCTGGGCAACAGAGCAAGACCCCACCTCAAGAAAGAAGAAAAAAAGAAAAAGGGAGGAAGTGAACAAAGGAAGTGGTCATACCAAGCACACAGGGTTTTTTTGTTTTTGAAAAAAAAAGTTCTAGTCCACGAAAAAAGATTCAAAGAGAAAAGTCAGAAAGCCCTTTTAAATATATATATATATATATATAAAACTTGGGGCCGGGCATGGTGGCTCACGCCTGTAATCCTAGCACTTTGGGAGGCCGAGGCGGGCAGATCGCGAGGTCAGGAGTTCGAAACCAGCCTGGCCAACATGGTGAAACCCCGTCTCCACTAAAAATACAAAAATTAGCTGGGCGTGGTGGTGCACCCTTGTAATCCCAGCTACTGGGGAGGCTGAGGCAGGAGAATGGCTTCATTGAACCCAGGAGGCAGAGGTTGCAGTGAGCCGAGATCGTGTTACTGCGCTCCAGCCTGGGTGACAAGCAAGACTCAGTCTTAAAAAAAAAAAAAAAAAAAAAAAAAAAAACTTGGATATTAGCTTTTGATTAAGCTGACTTCTAACTATAAAGCTCTTTAAAATAACTACTCTTAAATTTCTTATTACCAGATTAAATTTCTTATTAAAATAAATAAATTTATTTATTTATTTATTTTATTTTTGAGATGGAGTGTCTGTCTGTTGCCCAGGCTGGAGTGCAGTGGTGCAATCTCAGCTCACTGCAACCTCCGCCTCCTGGGTTCAAACAATTCTTTTGTCTCAGCCTCCCAAGTAGCTGGGACTACAGGCAGACACCACCATGTCCGGCTAATTTTTGTATTTTTAGTAGACATAGAGTTTCACCATATTGGTCAGGCTGGTCTCGAACTCCAGACCTCAGGTGATCCACCCGCCTTGGCCTCCCAAAGTGCTGGGATTACAGGCGTGAGAGCCACAGTGCCCAGCCGTATTACCAGCTTTTAGTTGGGACAAACAGCTGGTATTCCTGGCTTGTGAACTTCTTCACCACAGGTACTCTCCCAAGTGAAACCTATAAGCCTTAACCAAGGTTATGACTTAACCAAGGATGCAGGGCATCTACAGCCGTCCTCCCAAGATCTAGAACCACTGCAAAGACAGCTCAAAGAAAGGAAAGTTTTGCTAGCTGCCAATGGAGTACAGCTCACATTTCTCTCTGGCCATATTCTCTAGGGTCTCCGCTCCACAGAGTTGACTGTTTACTCACAAAGGCCCAAAAGTCCTGAACGCCCTCACAGATGGAAGATAGGAAATAAAAAGTTGTCCGTGGAAGCAAAAAGAATCAATAGCGAGACCGGGCGCGGTAGCTCACGCCTGTAATCCCAGCACTTTGGGAGGCCGAGGCGGGTGGCTCACTTGAGGTCAGGAGTTCGAGACTAGCGTGGCCAACATGGTGAAACCCCATCTCTACTAAAAATATAAAAATTAGCTGGGCGTGGTAGCAGGCGCCTGTAATCCCAGCTACTCGGGAGGTTGAGTCAGGAGGATCACTTGAACCTGGGAGAAGGAGGTTGCAGTGAGCCAAGATAGCACCACCGCACTCCAGCCTGGGCACAACAGACCAAGACTCTGTCTCAAACAAAAGAAAAAAAAAGAATTTCAGGAACTGGCCTTAGGAAGTAACCGAGGGTGTGAGTGTCCCAGCTCCGGAAGGAAAGCTGAACAATTGATTTACAGCCTTGTTGCACCTGCCAGAACACCATGTGGCCCATTACTCAAGATAACCATCGCAGCCAGACAAGTGTCCTCATGAGTGCTCTACTCCTCACATGTTTTGCCCAGCTCAGCCTGTATATCCTCCCGCTAATGTCAATTCCAGAGCTTTGCCTAATAAAAAAGCCCTACTGGCTCTTTTCCAAGAGTCAGCCAGCAAATTTGCTCTCTTTCTCTTGTGCTGTCTCCCTCATACCCAGGCATAAACTCCAATGAAGTCTTGTCTGGGAAAACTGTTTTGGCCTCAAGTCAATTTCAGTTGCATTCAGATCCCAAGAACTTGTGGTCTGTAACACTGGGCGGGGGACAGTGAAAAACAGAGGGTTTACAAGGAGGCTCAAGAAAACTTCTGCAGGCGTGGTGGTTCACACCCATCCCAGCACTTTGGGAGGCCAAGGCAGGGGGATCACTTGAGGTCAGGAATTCAAGACCAGCCTGGGCAACATGTTGAAACCCTGTCTCTACTAAAAATATAAAAATTAGCGGCTGGGTGTGGTGGCTCATGCCTGCAATCCCAGCACTTTGGGAGACCAAGGCAGGCAGATCACCTGAAGTCAGGAGTTCAAGACCAGCCTAATCAACATGGAGAAACCCCGTCTCTACTAAAAATACAAAAAAATTTAGCCAAGCATGGTGGCACATGCCTGTAATCCCAGCTACTCAGGAGGCTGAGACAGGAGAATCGCTTGAACCTGGGAGATGGAGGTTGCAGTGAGCCGAGATCACACCATTGCACTCCAGCCTGGGCAACAAGAGCAAAACTCCATCTCAAAAAAAAAAAAAAAAAAAAATTAGCTGGGCATGGTGGTGCATGTCTGTAATCCCAGCTACTAGGGAGGCCGAGGCAGGAGAATTGCTTGAACCCAGGAGGTGGAGGCTGCAGTGAGCTGAGATCATGCCACTGCACTCCAGCCTGGGCGACAGAGCAAAATTCCGTCTCAAAAACGAAAAGAAAACTTCTGTGGGTGTGGTAGCTCACTACTGTAATCCCAGCATTTTGGGAGGCTGAGGCAGGAGGATTGCCTGAGGCCCGGAGTTTGAGATCAGCCGAGGTAACGTAGCAAGACCCCATCTCTACCAAAAAAACAAACAAAAAAAAACCCAATTATATTTATATATATAATATATATATAATATAGTATATATTATACACTATATATAATATAGTATATATTATATATACTATATATGATATGCTATATATAATATAGTATATATTATATGCTATATATGAGATACTATATAATATAGTATATATAATATATGCTATATATGATATACTATATATAATATAGTATATATAATATATGGTATATATAACTATTATATATAATATATAGTATATATAGTGTGTATATATATAACTATATATATATTTTATATACATATATATTATATATATATATATATAAAATGGCCATGGGGTGGCAGGAACCTGTAGTCCCAGCTACTTGGGAGTAAGCCACAGTGAGCTATAATCACACCACTGGACTTCAGCCTGGATAGCAGAGCAAGACTATCTCAAAAAAAAAAATAAAAAACAAAAAACAAAAAAACAAAAACACTTCCTGGGGATGATGAATACTGTTTTTACCTTGTGGTCACTATCTTGATTTGTGGTGATGGTTTCCCAGGTGTATATGTAAGTTAAAACTCATCAATTGTACACTTTAAAGGTCTGGTTTCTCACATATCAGTTAGACCTGATTGAAGCTGGGGGCGGGGAAAGGTAGGGAAAGGGTCAGGACTGCGTAATGCAAATGAGAAACTTTCCTCTAAGGGGTGGCTTTCCCCACTGGTCCCTGAGGGTGTCTGAGTTTTCAATCTGAAGCACAGCAGACCGTGAAGCTATTTCTGCTTGGAGCCGGAGGAGGCTTAACAACAAAAAAGAAGAAAGCAGGTCGGGCACAGTGGCTCATGCCTGTAATCCCAGCACTTTGGGAGGCCGAGGCAGGCGGATCGTAAGGTCAGGAGATAAGAGACCAGCCTGGCCAACAAGGCAAAACCCAGTCTCTACTAAAATTACAAAAATTAGCCGGGCATGGCGGCGGGCGCCTGTAGTCCCAGCTACTTGGGAGGCTGAGGTAGGAGAATCGCTTGAACCTTGGAGGTAGAGGTTGCAGTGAGCCGAGATTGCACCATTGCACTCCAGCCTGGGCGACAAGAGCTAAACTCCGTCCCCCAAAAATAAAAATTTAATTTAATTTAAAAAACATGGGTGAAACTTGAAAACATGCTAAGAGAATCAGACACAAAAGGCTACATACTATATTTTTCCATTTATATGATGTGGGTGAAAGATTACCTAGGTGCCGAGGCAAGAGACTGAAGGCACAAACTGTTTCAGTATAATAAAGAAAATAGTTAGAATAAGAATAGTCATAATACAAATTAGATATAGAGATGATCATGGACAATTATCAATCATTATTATAAACATTATTAATCATTAGCTTTTAATATTACTCTTTGTTGCATTACTAATATACCCTAAGGATAACCGGTGGGTATAGGGTCAGGTGCTGAAGGGACATTGTGAGAAGTGACCTAGAAGGCAAGAGGTGAGCCCTCTGTCACGCCCACATAAGGGCCGCTTGAGGGCTCCTTGGTCAAGCGGTAATGCCAGTGTCTGGGAAGACGCCCATTACTTAGCAGACCGCGAAAGGGAGTCTCCTTTCCTTGGAGGAGTCAGGGAACACTGCTCCACCAGCTTCTTCTGGAAGGCTGGATATTATCCAGGCCTGCCTGCAGTCACCGGAGGCCTAAACCCCTCCCTGTGGTGCTGTGCTCCAAAGGTCACGCTCCTTGTCCACTTTCACGTTCCTCCCGTACTCCTGGATCCTCTTTGAAGTTGGTAGTAGATAGCGGTAGAAGAAATAGTGAAAGTCTTAAAGTCTTTGATCGTTCTTATAAGTGCATAGAAGAAAACGCTGACGTATGCTGCCTTCTCTCTCTGCTTTGGCTACCTAAAAGGGAAGGGCCCCCCACCCCCGTCCTATGATCACGTGACTTGCTTCACCTTATCAATCACTTAGAGGATTCACCCTCCTTACCCTGCCCCCCTTGTCTCGTATGCAATAAATATCAGCGCGCCCAGCCGTTCGGGGCCACTACCAGTCTCCACAACTTGATGGTAGTGGTCTCCCGGGCCCAGCTGTTTTCTCTTTATCTCTTTGTCTTGTGTCTTTATTTATTACCATCTCTCATCTCTGCACACGGGGAGAACACCTGCTAAGCCCCGTAGGGCTGGACCCTACAATATGAAATGTCCAGACTAGACAAATCCATAGAGACAGAAAGTAAATTGGCGGCTGCCGGGGGCTGAGGGGAGTGACTGCTGAAGGATATGGAGGCTGGGCACAGTGGCTCACGCCTGTAATCCTAGCACTTTGGGAGGCTGAGGTGGGCGGATTGCAACGTGGCAAAACCCCGTCTCTACTAAAAATTCAAAACACTAGCGGGGTATGGTGGTGGGCGCCTGTAATCCCAGCTAGTCCAGAGGCTGAGGCAGGAGAATTGCTTGAACCAGGAGGCGGAGGTTGCAGTGCGGCGAGATCACGCCATTACACTCCAGCCTGGGCGACAGAGCAAGACTCTGTCTCGAAAAACAAAAAAAGGGTATGGAGTTCCTTTTGAGGGTAATATTCCAGAATCAGACAGTGATGATGGTTGCATGACTATGTGAGCATACTAAAAACCACTCAACACTCAATCATACATATACACAAACATACACACACACACACAAAACTTCTTCCTCCCAGGTTCAAGTGACTCTGGTGCTTCAGCCTCCAGAGTGGCTGGGACTACAGGCGTGCACCACCACGCCTGGCTAATTTTTGTATTTTTAGTAGAGAGGTGGTTTCGCCATGTTGACCAGGCTGGTCTCAAACTCCTGACCTCAGTGATTTGCCCACCTCGGCCTCCCACATAGCTGGGATTATAGGTGTGAGCCACCAGCCCAGCCAGTCATACACTTTAAAAGAGTTAATATTTGGCTGGGTGCAATGGCTCACGCCTGTAATCCCAGCACTTTGGGAGGCTGAGGCGGGCGGATCACCTGAGGTCAGGAGTTCGAGGTCAGCCTGGCCAACATGCAGAAACCCCATCTCTACTAAAAATACAAAAATTAGCCGGGCATTGTGGCAGGTGCCTATAATCCCAGCTACTTGGGAGGCTGAGGCAGGAGAATCGTTTGAACCCAGGAGGCAGAGGTTGCAGTGAGATGAGATCGCATCACTGCACTCCAGCCTGGGCGACAAAGCGAGACTGCGTCTCAAATAAATAAATAAATATATAAAGAGTTAATATTATGGTATGTGAAATATAGCTTAATAAAGATGTTATATTTTTTAATCCAAAAAAAATCTGATCTCATCACTCTTCTGTTTTTTGTGGAGTTTTTTGGAAAGAAGTTATCACTCTGTTGCCCAGGCTAAAGTGCAGTGGTGCAATCATAGCTCACTGCAGCCTCAAACTCCTGGGCTCAAGTGATCCTCCTGCCTGAGTCTCCTGAGGACCTGGGACTAGGGGCATTACACCATGCCCAGCTAATTTTTTTCCTTTTTTTTTTTTTTTGAGATGGAGTTTCACTTTTGTTGCCCAGGCTGGAGTGCAATAGCACAGTCTTGACTCACTGCAACTTCTGCCTCCTAGGTTCAAGTTGATTCTTCCGCCTCAGCCTCCCAAGTAGCTGGGATTATAGGCACCCACCACCATGCCCAGCTAATTTTTGTATTTTTAGTAGAAATGGGGTTTCACCATGTTGGCCAGGATGGTCTCAAACTCCTGACCTCAGGTGATCCACTCGCCTTGACCTCACAAAGTGCTGGGATTACAGGTATGAGCCACCGCACCTGGCCTTTTACTTTTTTTTTGTAGAGATGGTGTCTCACTATGTTAGCCAGGCTCATCTAAAACTCCTGGCCTCAAGGGATCCTCCTGCCTTAACATTCCCAGAGTGCTGGGATTACAGGCTTGAGCCACCATGCTCAGCTTGTCATTCTGGTTTTTAACCCTCTCATGGTTCTTTTCTCACTTAGTAATAAGACCAAAGTCCTCATCCTCAGCCCGTCTCAGTGGGCCCCACATAACGTGCCCCCATCACCCCTCTGACCTTGTCCCCTCAGACTCACCCTGTCACTCCCTCTGCCCAGCCACAAAGGTCTTCAGTTCTCATGTCAGGGCTTTTTGTGTGTGTGTGTGTGTGTGTGTGTGTGTGTGTGTGTGTGTGGCGGAATTTCGCTCGTTGCCCAGGCTAGAGTGCAGTGGCGTGTGATCTCAGCTCACTGTAACCTCAGCCTTCCGGTTTCAAGTGATTTTCCTGCCTCAGCCTCCTGAGTAGCTGGGATTACAGGCAACCACCACGACGCCCAACTAATTTTTGTATTTTTAGTAGAAATGGGGTTTCACCGTGTTGGCCAGGCTGGTCTTGAACCTCGTGATCTGCCCACCTCGGCCTCCCAGTGCTGGGATTACAGGCGTGAGCCACCATGCCCAGCCGACTTCAGGGCTTTTGCATTTGCTGTTTCTTCTCCCTGGGATGTTTTTTCTCTAGCTGTTCCAATTCCCATGTGAACACATATGGTATACGCTCACATACACACACACGATTCATTCAATAAGGTAAATATAAAGTAAATTAAAATTAAAACCAGTTTTTACCTCAGATTGACAAATGTAAAACAAAATGTGCAGTATTTTGAGATAGTGGGGAAAATTCATTTTTTACATAGAAATGCTGAGAACTCAAATTGTTACAGTGCTAATGGAGGGTAATTTGGCAAAATCTTTCAAAATGCAAAATGTACCAACTTGCAAGTATTTTAGCAAACCACAACAACAAAATAAGTTAAAAATGCCATCTGTCTGAGAGAAATTAGAATGGAAGTTCCAAAACACCTTTCTGTAAAATGCAGCCAAATTAAAATGGAGAGGGAAATTCAGAGCCTCCGTGCTTATATTAGAAAAGGAGAAAGACGTATCAAAATTTAAGAAGTTTTGGAAAAGAACAGCAGAAGAAACCTAGGCGCTCTCCCTCTCCCTCTCCCTGTCCCTGTCCCTCTCCCTCTCCCCATGGTTTCCCTCTCCCTCTCTTTCCACGGTCTCCCTCTCATGCCGAGCCGAAGCTGGACTATACTGCTGCCATCTCGGCTCACTGCAACCTCCCTGCCTGATTCTCCTGCCTCAGCCTGCGGAGTGCCTGCAATTGCAGGTGCGCGCCGCCACGCCTGACTGGTTTTCGTATTTTTTTGGTGGAGACGGGGTTTCGCTGTGATGGCCAGGCTGGTCTCCAGCTCCTAACCGCGAGTGGTCCGCCAGCCTCGGACTCCCGAGGTGCCGGGATTGCAGACGGAGTCTGGTTCTCTCAGTGCTCAATGGCGCCCAGGCTGGAGCGCAGTGGCGTGATCTCGGCTCGCTACAACCTCCACCTCCCAGCCGCCTGCCTTGGCCTCCCAAAGTGCCGAGATTGCAGCCTCTGCCAGGCCGCCACCCCGTCTGGGAAGTGAGGAGCGTCTCTGCCTGGCCGCCCATCGTCTGGGACGTGAGGAGTCCCTCTGCCTGGCTGCCCAGTCTGGAAAGTGAGGAGCGTCTCTGCCCAGCCGCCATCCCATCTCGGAAGTGAGGAGCGCCTCTTCCCGGCCGCCATCACATCTAGGAAGTGAGGAGCGTCTCTGCCCGGCCGCCCATCGTCTGGGATGTGGGGAGTGCCTCTGCCCCGCCGCCCCGTCTGGGATGTGAGGAGCGCCTCTGCCCGGCCGCCACCCCGTCTGGGAGGTGAGGAGCGTCTCTGCCCGGCCGCCCCGTCTCAGAAGTGAGGAGACCCTCCGCCCGGCAGCCGCCCCGTATGAGAAGTGAGGAGCCTCTCCACCCGGCAGCCGCCCCGTCTGGGAAGTGAGGAGCATCTCCGCCCGGCAGCCACCCCGTCCGGGAGGGAGGTGGGGGGTCAGCCCCCCGCCCGGCCAGCCGCCCCGTCCGGGAGGTGAGGGGCGCCTCTGCCCGGCCGCCCCTACTGGGAAGTGAGGAGCCCCTCTGCCCGGCCAGCCGCCCCGTCCGGGAGGGAGGTGGGGGGGTCAGGCCCCGCCCGGCCAGCCGCCCCGTCCGGGAGGGAGGTGGGGGGGTCAGCCCCCCGTCTGGCCAGCCGCCCGGTCCGGGAGGGAGGTGGGGGGGTCAGCCCCCCGCCCGGCCAGCCGCCCCGTCCGGGAGGTGAGGGGCGCCTCTGCCCGGCCGCCCCATCTGGGAGGTGAGGAGCCCCTCTGCCCGGCCACCACCCCGTCTGGGAGGTGTACCCAACAGCTCATTGAGAGCGGGCCAGGATGACAATGGCGGCTTTGTGGAATGGAGGGGGGGGAAAGGTGGGGAAAAGATTGAGGAATGGGATGGTTGCCGTGTCTGTGTAGAGGGAGGTAGACATGGGAGACTTTTCATTTTGTTCTGTACTAAGAAAAATTCTTCTGCCTTGGGATCCTGTTGATCTGTGACCTTACCCCCAACCCTGTGCTCTGAAACATGTGCTGTGTCCACTCAGAGTTAAATGGATTAAGGGCGGTGCAAGATGTGCTTTGTTAAACAGATGCTTGAAGGCAGCATGCTCCTTAAGAGTCATCACCACTCCCTAATCTCAAGTACCCAGGGACACAAACGGTGCAGAAGGCCGCAGGGTCCTCTGCCTAGGAAAACCAGAGACCTTTGTTCACTTGTTTATCTGCTGACCTTCCCTCCACTATTGTCCTATGACCCTGCCAAAAGCCCCTCTGTGAGAAACACCCAAGAATGATCAATAAAAAAAAAATAAATAAAATAAAATAAAATTAAATTAAATTAAAAAAAAAAAAAAAGAAACCTAGGCTTGGTGCCATGGCTCACACCTACAATCCTAACACTTTGGGAGGCTGAGGTGGGAGGATTGCTTGAGCCCAGGAGTTCAAGATCACCCTGGGCAACATAGTGAGACCCCTGCCTCTACAAAAAAAAAAATAAATAAAAATAAAAAAATTAAAAAAATTTAAAAAAATTAGGGTGGCTGGGCGCTGTGGCTCATGCCTGTAATGCTAGTAGCACTTTAGGAGGCCGAGGTGGGCAGATCACTTGAGGCCAGGAGTTAAGACCAGCCTGGACAACATGGTGAAACCCCGTCTCTACTAAAAATACAAAAATTAGCCTGGCATGGCGGCGTGTGCCTGTAATTCCAGCTACTCAGGAGGTTGAGGCAGAGGAATCGCTTGAACCTGGGAGGCAGAGGTTGCAGTGAGTGGAGATCACACCCCTGCACTCCAGCCTGGGCAACAAAGTGAGACTCCATCTCAAAAAAAAAAAAAAAAAAATTAGGGTATGATGGCATGTGCTTGCGGTCTCAGCTACTCAGGAGGCTGAAGTGGGAGGATCACTTGAGCCTAGGAGGTCGAGGCTGCAGTGAGCTGTGTATGCATCACTGCACTCCAGCTTGGGGGACAAATTGAAACTCTTGTCTCAAAAGAAAAAAAAAAAAGAATGAGACCTTCTCATATACTGCTGGTGGGAATATATGGTACAGATATATTGAATAACAATTTGTTACTACCCAATAATGTCAAAATATGTTACACGACCCAGCAATCCCACTCCTACCTACATGCCCTTAAAACTCTCACACATGGACACAAGAAGATATCACTAGGAATGGTCACAGCAGCATTACTATTTTTTCTTTATTTTATTTATTTATTTATTTTTTACTTTTATTTATTTATTTTTGAGACGGAGTCTCGCTCTGTCGCCCAGGCTGGAGTACAGTGGAGCGATCTCGGCTCACTGCAAGCTCCGCCTCCTGGGTTCACGTCATTCTCCTGCCTCAGCCTCCCCAGTAGCTGGGACTACAGGCGCCTGCCACCATGCCCAGCTAATTTTTTTTTTAATTTTTTTTTTATTTTTAGCAGAGACGGGGTTTCACCGTGTTAGCCAGGATGGTCTTGATCTCCTGACCTCGTGATCCAGCCGCCTCAGCCTCCCAAAGTGCTAGTATTACAGGTGTGAGCCACCGTGCCCGGCCTATTTTATTTATTTTAGTTTTTTGAGACAGAGTCTCACTCTGTTGCCCAGGTTAGAGTGCAGTGGCACAATCTCGGCTCACTGCAAACTTCACCTCCCGGGTTCAAGCAATTCTCCTGCCTTAGCATTCTGAGTAGCTGGGATTACAGGCGCCTGCCACCACGCCAGCCTAATTTTTGTATTTTAAGTAGAGACCGGGTTTCGCCATGTTAGCCAGGCTGGTCTCGAACCCCTGACCTCAAGCGATTCTCCTGCCTCGGCCTCCCAAAGTGCTACGATTACAGGCGTGAGCCACGGCGCCCAGCCATATTTTTCTGGGGTGTTGTTTGTTTTTGAGACAGGGTCTCGCTTTGTCAGCCTCCACCTCTTGGGCTCAAGTGATCCTTCCGCCTCAGCCTCCCCAGTAGCTGGGACTACAGTTGCACGCCACCACGCCCAGCTAATTTTTTTGTATTTTATGTAGAGAGAAGGTTTCACCATGTTGCCCAGGCTGGTCACGAGCTCCTGGACTTAAACAATCTGCCCACCTCGGCCTCCCAAAGTGCTGGGATTACAGGGGAAGCCACCGTGCCCGGCTGGCATGGGTTTACAAGGATCTGCAAGGGTCCGATTAAGTTTTGTGTGGATTAAGAACGGGAGCGACCTGCTCTTTCAGAGGCTGCCCAGCTGTGGTAATTTTTCGCGGTTCTTCCACTCTCTGGGCCAGTTTTACTTCAACTGTGAAATGGGGGTAGTCCTCTAAGGTCCCGTTTCCATTCTCTGCATTCCTCATGACGACCCAGACGAAGCTCCTACTGCCATCCCCCTAACGGATGAGGAAGGCTAAGTTACTTTCCTAAGGCCAGAGACAGTAAATGCAGCTTCCACGTTGGAACCCCGGTAGGGTGGCTCCAGTCCCCTGCTCTGAACCCCCCATCTCTACAGCCTACCCCATCACCCTAATAAGCCCTGCAAGTGCAGTGGTGATGCGTCTGCTCCGGCGTCAGACCAGCCCCGCCATGCCACTTGCAAGCTGTGGCATCCTGGGTTAGTCACTTGCGTCCCTCCAGCCCATTTCCTTATGTGAGCAATGTACACCCCAAACACTTGCCTCAGCCAAGACACTTGCCTGACCAGGAGGAAAGATGCGCGAGTCTCAAACAACTGCGTGACTTTCCGTCTGCGGGGGGCGGGGGTGGATTTTTGGGGAAAAGGGACGCGGAGCCCGAACACCGCGGCTCCAAGGTCTTCCCGCTCCTTTCTCGCCTGGTTTCCTCCATTCCCCCGCGGGGCGACCCTCGGTCTCCTGCCGTGTCCCCGCTCCCGCGCCCCCTGCCCCCAATTTTTCTTCCCCCCACGGGGCTGAAAAAAGGTCGTGGTCCCTTTAAGGCCCGCCCCTCCCTCTCCCAAAACTTCCCAGTGTCTGCTCTTTTCGATCCGGGACGGCCGGTCAGGCTCGCCGCCGAGCTGGTAGGGGCTGGGGGCGAGGGGTGCGGGAAGGTGACCGGGGCACTGGCGGGCGGCGCCGCGCGCGGCCGGGGGCCAGGGTCCGAGCAGCGGGGTGGGGGCGGGGCGGTGGCCGGGAGCGCGGGGGGTGCGGGTCACCAGGCCGGGCCGGCGGCCTGGAACGTGCGGCGCCGGGGAGACCGTTCCGCCGTGCTCCGGCCGTGCGCGCCGGCGCGAGGGGCGTCCGGGCCGGCCGCGGGGGCGGGGAGGGGAGGGGCCCTCTCTCTCCCCCTCCCCCCACCGCATTCCTCTGACGTTGGGACGGAGCGACCCCGCCCTTCGTCGCGACCGGCCCGGCCTCCTCCCGTCACGCGGGCCACGTGCTTCAGACGCGGCCCCGCCCCCGTCTCTGTTCCGTTGGCGTGGTCGGATCTTCCTGGTGTCCGGGGGAGCTGACCGAGGTCCCCAGCAAGGCCCCCTCCCCTAACTTTATTTCCCCTCACCGGCAGAGCCACCAGGCCTGTCCCCTCTTGTATTGCCATAAACCCCATTTTTTCTGATAGGGTCTCGCTCCGTCGCCCACGCTGGAGTGCAGGGGCGCGATCACGGCTCACTGCAACCTCGAAATCCGGGGCTCAAGCGAGCCTTCCGCCTTGGCCTCCCCAAGTGCTGGGATTACAGGTGTGAGCCACCACACACGGCCTCCATTTCAAACTTAGTTTCCACCCGGACCTCAACTCGAAATCCCCCATCAGCCGGGCAGAAAGGTCCTGGAGCACTTTTGGGGCGTCCGCCGCGTTTCTCACGACGCTAGCTTCGCTTTTATTTCTTTTCCCCCCTTTGGCGATATCGTCACTTGCCAATAGCTTCGCTAAGGTGTTCCCCCCCACACCCTGCGCGGGCAGCCCCATAATGTTAAATGCCGTAGGACGGGATCCCGGGTTAATCCCCGTTTGACCCCGCTGCCTGCGCGTGATAACTGGGGCGCGCTCCTCTCCACCCCCCAGGCTCCGCCAGTTGGGCTTCGCCGGAGTCTGGAGATACCCTCCGACATTCTCTTGGTGCAGTGCGGGTGGTCTTACCCCGCCCTTGAGGAAGAAAGGCCCGACGCAGGCACAGATCACAAGAACGCCTCCCCTGTGCAGGGGGCTTGCACTGTGCCAGGTGCTGTACTGGGCGCTTGGTAGGTGGCCACCCTCTCCAGGGTCGGGGCCAGGACCTCCTGTGGTGCTCAGAGGGGTCGAGCTGTCAGGTGAAAACCACTGGCCCGAGTTATGGCTTTGAAGGGAATCCTGGGGGTCTGGGATGGCAGGGACCTGTTAATTTAGATCGCACGGACAAGATGACTTGGCCCTTAGCTCCTGCAGGAGGGGTAGTGGACTATTGCAGGTGGAAGGGACTGCATGGGCACACATGGAGAGTGCGCGGAAGAGCCTTCTCCCAAGGGAAACTGAAAGGGGTTGCGGCTGAATTTAGAACTGGACAGGGTCCGAAGACAGTCGGCAGCAGCGAGTGGTTTTCTACTGAGGAAAAGGCTCAGATTTGGGATTTTAACAATTCCTCCTAGAGGTAGAAATGAACACGGTATAGTGATGGCGACAGAGATACCCTGGGAGTTCCTGTCAATCTTGGTCTAGCCTTCCGGCGCACACACAGCGGTCGCTCCATAAGGGGGCCCCGCCTCTGGGCGGTGCCTGAAAGCGTATTTGCGCATGCGTTCTCGCCTTCGCTCGTTTCGTATACTGCACCAAAGAGCGCCTACCCTGGGGCGGGGCTCCCCATTTCATCCAATCAGAGCGTATCAACAGTCCTACCATCTGGTGAGAGGGTGCGCTCCACTCTCCATTGACCAATCAGTGGAGACGCAGAAGAATGGGCATCTGTAACCACCACTGGAGAGAGACCAAAAAAGGGCGGGGCTTCCTTGTCTCCTTGCGAAGTGGCGCGGGAAGGTCGTCATTGTGACTGGTGCTGACGGATTAGCGAGGAGACCAATGAAAGTGGGAGGGAGGCGGAGATTCTTGGGAGGTTTAGAGCGCCGTTCCTATCAGGTGCTTTTAGGGAGGCCAGCAGCGCCAGAAATCCGACCTATCAAATTGGATTTTATTTTAAGGCGGCGGGGTCGACGGAAAGACTGGCAGAAAGCGACCACCTATAAGGAGTGTCTCAGACAAACAAGGGCGGGCCCTCCTGCAGAACGGCGTGGGCAATGTCCAATAAGCGCGCAAGGCGTGTGGCGGCCTACCCTCCCCCCGCGGCGGGACCAGTGGCTCCCCCTATCGGGTGGGGGCGGCGGGTGACGGGCGTGTCCCTCCCCCAATGAGAGGCGGGGGGAGGCGGGTTCTGCGCCGCCATGTCGCGGAGGCTGCTGCCCCGGGCGGAGAAGCGGCGTCGGCGGCTGGAGCAGAGGCAGCAGCCGGACGAGCAGCGGAGGCGGTCGGGAGCGATGGTGAAGATGGCGGCGGCGGGCGGCGGAGGCGGCGGTGGCCGCTACTACGGCGGCGGCAGTGAGGGCGGCCGGGCCCCTAAGCGGCTCAAGACTGACAACGCCGGCGACCAGCACGGAGGCGGCGGCGGTGGCGGTGGAGGAGCCGGGGCGGCGGGCGGCGGCGGCGGTGGGGTGAGGCCAGGGCCCTAGGCGCTGGGAAGGCCGGGAACTGGGGGACAATTTCCCAGCTTGAGGGCATTTTATTTTTTGAGGGGGGCCTCTGCGCACGCGCCCAGGCCATCGCGTCGTTGACGGTGTGGGGGAGGGGCGGCCGTTGGGCAAACGGCGGGGTTTGCGCGAGGACAGGCGCCTGCGCGTGCGCGGGGTCCGGAGCGGGGTGTGGGGGAGCGCAGAGGAAGTAGCTCGTGAGGCGAATGGCCCAGTGCGCAGGCGCCGCGGGCTGGCGTGTGGGGGCCGGGCACGCGGCCCGGCCGGTTTTTTTCCCCTTTATCATTTTCTTCGCTGGCTCCATGCGCAGGCGCAGTGTTCCCGCCCGGCCTCGTGGGCGGTTAGGGGAGCGCCTGGTGAGCGGGAACGGGTGGG
This sequence comes from Homo sapiens, assembly GCF_000001405.40. NCBI lineage: Eukaryota > Metazoa > Chordata > Mammalia > Primates > Hominidae > Homo > Homo sapiens. The sequence goes on along the minus strand of NC_000019.10, from coordinate 38,849,288 downwards.
CGGCGGCCTTGTTCTCTAGAGTGGGGAATTCCGTCTGATGGCAGCTTAATCTCTAAGGCCCAGCCTTGTGTCTATACAGAAATGGATGTGTTTGAGCCTAGATGCTCTCATTTTTGTAGGCATTGAAAATGGGAAGAGGACTTGTGAAATGCACTTTTAGCCTTTTAGGAGTTGAGCGAAGCCTTGAAACCATCACAAGTTTGCTTACAGTTTCCGGGGATTCACTGGGTACCGAGGATTTGATAAACCAAACTATTTCCTGGCCATGTTGGAAGCATTTCGACCCCCTGTAATCAGTCCCTCCGAAAACACCAGTCGTTGCTTTTGGAGTGGGGCCCAGTCCCCACTCTTTCCAAAATCTTGAAGTCTTACAGGGCCGCCTATTTGCAGGGTTTTCCAGGGTTTAGGGGTTACGAGTTGCTAGCGTTTTAATCTTGGCCTTGTCCCACACATTTTAAAGACATCTTAATTGAAAATCCTTAACGCTTCCTGAGGTTGGGGGAGATACTGGGATTCCCGATTTACAAAGGAGGAAATGGGCCAGGAGAGAGATGAGATGAGGTGAATTACTGTAGGTGGCACAGCTAGTGAGGGGCAGGGCTGGAGTTAGAACTCCCATTTGTGGGAGCTGCTAACCTGGCGGGAGTGCCTCACCCTGTGGTTCGCGTGGATCGCTCCTGAAATAGAATCCAATTCTACCCACCTTCCACGCACTTCTGCCCAGTGATTCTCAGACAGGGGGCCGGCCCCAGAGCCCAGGAGAGGCGGAAGAGAGTTAATCTTTCTCCTGATGACCAGAGGCTTTTGTCGGTGGGTGTAAGATACTTCTCTTAGGAAGGAGCAGTCGGTTCTTAATGGTATGGGTTGGAGTCTCTGGTCTTTCTAAAAGACTTTCCATCCGGGAGTGGGGGCTCATGCCTATAATCCCAGCACTTTGGGAGGCTGAGGCAGGCAGATTACCTGAGGTCAGGAGTTCGAGAACAGCCTGGTCAACATGGCAAAACTCCGTCTCTACTAAAAATACAAAAAAATTAGCCAGGTGTGGTGGCGAGGGCCTGTAATTCCAGCTACTCGGGAGGCTGAGGCAGGAGAATCGCTTGAACCTGGGAGGCGGAGGTTGCAGTGGACTAAGATCACGCCATAGCACTCCAGCCTGGGTGACAGAGTGAGACTCCATCTCAAAAAATAAATAAAAGACTTTTCTTGTCTGGTTTTTCTTAGTCTGACCTAGGCAGTAATTTCCAAAGCAGATTTTGGTGGGAGGGCGATTCAAGACTAGAAGGGGTCAAGACTGGCCTGGCTGCCCCAGTTTCTGGGGCATGTGTTGTTTTTTGCCCTGACTGAACCTGGGTGTGAGTGGTGGGGAACAGGTGTGCTTAGCTAGATGATGGTGGCTCAGCCAGTTAAAGGGCAAGGAATTTGGGGCACATGCAAAGGGGATGTCCTCATTCAAACTGTAGCAGATAGCTGTTAGAGCCCTTGCTGCCAGTGTATCTCCTTTTCCAGCTACTCTTTTCCCATGTTTCCTTGGTCGAGTGGACCAGTGGGAAGAGAGGGGGGTCCCTGGAAGAACGTAAGATTTGGGACTTGTGTGGCCCTCCCTCCGTTATACCTTCCTCAGAAGCTACAGCAAGAGCCAGTGGGCAAGTGATCACCCACTCAGGACCACTGTTCTGCTGACCCAGAATCCTTCTGGGCTGATTGGCTTCAATTGCTGCCCCTAGTCTTTCCTGTGCATCCTTCACGGATGACCTCCAACTGTTTTATCTGACTGGGTCTACAACAGTACAGAGGCCAGTGGGGCGTCATCTTGTACAGCAAGAAAATAATTCTTGTTTTTGCTTCCTTTCTCAGGAGAACTACGATGACCCGCACAAAACCCCTGCCTCCCCAGTTGTCCACATCAGGGGCCTGATTGACGGTGTGGTGGAAGCAGACCTTGTGGAGGCCTTGCAGGAGTTTGGACCCATCAGGTACTGGGCTCAGAGGCCAGGTGTTGGGCTTCCAAAGTTGACTCCTGGGTGTCCTTGTGTGTCCACGATTTCTGGTTGGAAATAGTGATTTTGTTGCCATCCTGGTCTAGATTCTGTGGCCGCTCTGCTTTTGGGTTGGCCATTGTACTTTGTGTCAGATTACAGCAAGTTCCATGACCCTTTTTCCTTCCTTCGTTTTTCCTCTGCCTTGTAGTTTCTAGTCAGTGTTCTCTTTTTCAGACAGAGCAAGGTCTCGCTTTGTGGCCCAGGCTGGAGTGTAGTGGTGCAGTCTCACCCAGGCTCAGGCAGTCCTTCTGCCTCGGCCTGCTGAGTAGCTGGGACTATAGGCATGCGCCACCATGCCCGGCTAATTTTTACATATATATATTTTTTGTTTGTTTGTTTGTTTTGAGACAGTCTCTTGCTCTGTCGCCCAGGCTGGAGTGCAGTGACAATCTCAGCTCACTGCAAGCTTTGTCTCGTGGGTTCACGCCATTCTCCTGCCTCAGCCTCCCGAGTAGCTGGGACCACAGGCGCTGGCCACCCCACCCGGCTAATTTTTTGTATTTTTAGTAGAGATGGGGTTTCGCTGTGTTAGCCAGGATGGTCTCAATCTCCTGACCTCGTGATCTGCCCGCCTCGGCCTCCCAAAGTGCTAGGATTACAGGCGTGAGCCACTGCGCCCGGCCTAATTTTTATATTGTTCTGTAGAGGTGAGGTTTTGCCATGTTGGCCAGGCTGGTCTCAAACTCCTAGGCCCAAGCAGTCTGCCCACCTAGCCCTCCCAAGTTTTAGGGTTACAGGCATGAGCTACTACTGCTCCTGGCCAGTGTTCTTTCATTCAGCAAGTAGTTACTGAATATTTGGTGCATGCTATATACTGCAAATACAGTAGTGAGCTGTATCTGGATGCTTCTCTTAGAAAGTTGCCCTCCTAGAGTGATTTGCACTGTCATAGTGTAAGCTCAAGAAGCCGTCTGTGGGTGGCATCTGACAGTCTGGTGAGGAGAGGTCAGGAAGGCTTCCCAGAGGGACATGATGGCTCAGCTAGACCTCTTTGGCTTTTGGTACTACTTGTGGCACAGGGTGTTCAGGTCGGGGAACCATGATAGGGTTGCAGAGGAGTTCAGAGGCCATGGAGGAGTCAGTTCTCAAAAAATCAAATGATACCCTCCTCCTGTCTACATTTTCCTGAGAGGATTGAAACCTGTGTTCTCTCTGCCAGCTATGTGGTGGTAATGCCTAAAAAGAGACAAGCACTGGTGGAGTTTGAAGATGTGTTGGGGGCTTGCAACGCAGTGAACTACGCAGCCGACAACCAAATATACATTGCTGGTCACCCAGCTTTTGTCAACTACTCTACCAGCCAGAAGATCTCCCGCCCTGGGGACTCGGATGACTCCCGGAGCGTGAACAGTGTGCTTCTCTTTACCATCCTGAACCCCATTTATTCGATCACCACGGTACGTGCCAGCAGGCATTTCTTGTGAGGTCTCCCTTCCTTTTCTCCCCTTATTCCCTCCCCCAAGCCAGACTGATCTGCCAGTGCCCCTTCATCTTGCCTGTGTTTGCTTTTGCAGGATGTTCTTTACACTATCTGTAATCCTTGTGGCCCTGTCCAGAGAATTGTCATTTTCAGGAAGAATGGAGTTCAGGCGATGGTGGAATATCCTTTGCTGGAAAACAGGTGTTCCTTAGGGTAGGGACTCTTGCAGGGCTTGACAGTGGCCATTCTTTGAGCCAGCATGTGTCTGCTGACCACGGGAGTGGCTGCCATGTGCCAGATGCCTTCACAGAGCCCAGTGACTGAGTAGGGAGGCAGTTAAAGGACCAGGCATATCGTGTGGACGTGCAGATCTTAGGGGAGAGAGCAGTGTGTTGGGAGATACAAAGGAATTTATTTTTCTTTTTGTTTTCTTTCTGTTATTTACTTATTTATTTATTGAGATGGAGTTTAGCCCTTGTTGCCTGGGCTGGAGTGCAGTGGTGCGATCTCAGCTCACTGCAACCTCTGCCTCCTGGGTTCAAGCAATTCTCCTGCCTCAGCCTTCCTAGTAGGATTATAGGCGCCTGCTAATTTTTTTTATTTTTAGTAGAGATCTGGTTTCGAACTCCTGACCTCAGGCAATCCACTTGCCTCAGCCTCCCAGATTACAGGTGTGAGCCACCGCGCCTGGCTAGGAATTTATTTTTAAAGATGTTTATTCTAAGTTCAAATATGAGTGACAAAGATTTGGGGAACATAGTCTCAAGAGGTCCTGAGAAAATGTGCCCCTGGGAAAAGGAATTTATTTAAAAGGGGATATGGGGCCGGGCACAGTGGCTCATGCCTGCAATCCCAGCACTTTCGGAGGCCGAGGTGGACAGATACCTGAGGTCAGGAGTTCGAGACCAGCCTAGCCAACGTGGTGAAACCCTGTCGCTAATAATACAAAAAATAGCCAGGCATGGTGGTGAACGCCTGTAATCCCAGCTACTCTGGAGGCTGAGGCAGGAGAATCGCTTGAGCCTGGGAGGCGGAGATTGCAGTGAGCCGAGACTGTGCCACTGTATTCCATCCTGGGCAACACAGCGAGACTCCATATCCAAAAAAAAAAAAAAAAGGTGGGGCATGTGTGAAGGTTGCTGAGGAGGTGATGTCCTATGAGCAAATAGGAGCTTATACTCAAGGTGGAGGAAACAGCCTCTGCAAAGGTTGTAAAGTCAGAAGGAGCTTGTGTTGGATGGAGAAATTGAAAGACCTGAGGATTGCAAAGTGGCTGGCAAGCAGACGGGTTTGGAATAGACATTGGAAGAAGCTTTTAGGGCATCCTAGACAGCGTTGCGATGCTTGGGGCAGGGGCAGGAAAAAGCCACTGATGGACTTTCAGGGCAGAGCTGTAATCGAGTTGATGTTTCAGATTTAGTCGAAGGGTGTGAGAGGGCTGAGACGGAGAAAGTGGTGTGGCAGAAGAGGTTGCTGGTGGCCATGGGTCGGGGTGCAGATTATGAGAGAACTCTGGCCAGTGACTGCTCACCCGGGGCAGCGTTGAGTCCATCAACACCGTTTTGGTCTCTTAACCTGAGGCTAGTGGCTGGGCAGTGAGCTAATCCCAAAGCTTCCGTCTGTACCACAGTCTTGGGGTGCTACCTTGTCCTTATCACACTCTGGGGTAACTTGAAGCCCTTCTCAAAGATCTCCTGTGATGGGACTTTCCTTAACTTGACTCACATTTGACTCAGTTCAAAGTGCCCAGCGGGCCAAGGCCTCTCTCAATGGGGCTGATATCTATTCTGGCTGTTGCACTCTGAAGATCGAATACGCAAAGGTACATCTGGGAGGTGACTGACTGCCCCTTGTCAGCTTCCAGGTGAGCTGGGGCATGGCTGACCTCAAGTCTTGTCTTGTCCTGTCCTTGCAGCCTACACGCTTGAATGTGTTCAAGAATGATCAGGATACTTGGGACTACACAAACCCCAATCTCAGTGGACAAGGTAATCTTGACGACCACTTTGTTCTAAACATACCCGCCTTGCTTTCACTCGACTAGTGCACTTAATAGGCCTGGGCTCAGGGTTATGTAATGCCATTGGGCCCCCCATGGACATGGGAGGGCCTTGGGGTCAGCACTTGGACACCCTAGTGGGATGGGGGAGTGAGAGGCCTCCATGGGTCTTCACTGCTGCTTGGGGCCCTCCGATGCTGCTCAGGATACAGAGGCAAGGCAGAAGCCTGGATGGGCGGGGAGCAGGGCCTCACTGAGGATGAGGCGTGGGGGCGGCCTTAGAAACCAGCAGTGGCTCCTTTGAGAGTCTGGTGAGGGTCACTCACTCCATTCTTGCTGGACCAGGAATTGTCCTCTTGTTCTGCGCTGTTGAGAGGGTCTGATTTGGGGGAGTGACAGTGTTGGGGGGCGATGAGGTCTCCTGGGCTCTTGCAGTGAGCCTTGTGAGCAAGCTGACCCTGTGGAGGTGAGACACTCTGGATTGGACCAGGGCGGACATGCCTCACATCATTTGTAGAGGGGACGCAACATCTCTGCAGGTGGCCCAAATGGACAACTCCCTTCCTAGTGTCTGTCAAGAATGGTTTGCCTTTGGTAGCAGGGAGAGGTGGAGGATTGCCTATGAGAAACAGCGGCAGCCCCCCAACAAGACCATCCATCTCGGTGTCTGTCTTGGTCTGATACGTCGGACCAGGCCATGGGCTGAGGGAGGAGGCTCGATGCTGACATCGCACAGGCCCTGAGAGGCCAGAGCCCCCCATTCCTAGGCAGGCCTGTCTTGCTCGCCCTTGCATCTGGGAAGCAGTGGGCAGGGTGGGCTAGACTCTTCCCCAGGATCCTCACAGTGGGCCCTGTGGGCCTGGCTGCTCCCTCCAAAGGTCAGAGGCAAATTGGTGACCAAGTGAATGTACCAGAGCGGGCAATGGCATTACATGACTGCTAACAGAAACATGGCAACAACCATTTCTTCTCCAAGGAACATAAATAGAAGATGTGCAGACCGGCAGGGGCTAGTGGCAGGGGGCTGGCTGTGCATTGGTTTTGATGCCTCTCAGCTTTGGCAGCCCCAAGGCTGGGGCCCAAAAAAAAACGAGGGCTGATGAGGTGACCTGGAGTGAGGGCGGTGCTTCGCCACCCCTCAGGAACCATACTTCAGCGGCTCTGCCTCTGCACATTGCTCACCAACACACAGGGTAGAAAACCACTAGCTCTTCCTGGAGAGAACAGAACATGCAGCCTCCACCACGTCCCCAGAAACAGCCGCAGACTTGAGCTCACTACATCAAGAACACCACACCGCGCTCCAAGGAACAGCTACAAGCACAGAGACAGAGGCATACAGAGACAAAGAGAGAAAGAGACGCAACATGGCAGCAGACACTGCTTTTTTTATTAAACATTAAAAAAAAGGTCAAAATCCAAGCAAACTTGAACCCGAGAATGTACACAGAAGTAGGAAACACAGAGAACAGAGCTGTCCCAGCCAGCCAGCGAGCGATGCTCTTTTCGGAGAACGTTTCATAGACGGAAGTAGATTCCATGGGCCTCCAAGACAATAGGATCCTCTCTCCATTCCTCGCCATATGGGTTTTGTTTTTTAAGTCATTTGGTTTGGGGAGGGCCTTGTTTTTTTTCTGTTTTGATATTTTTATTTTTTCTGCAGTCACCGGCTGCCAACATAATCTGCACCAACTGGAGATCAGAAACCAAAAAAAAAAAAAAAAATTTTAACCACAACAAAAAAAAAATCAAAAAAACCAAAACAGACCTAAAACCAGACAGCCAAACAGCTCAGAGGCACACAGTTACCTGCTGCCGGGTAACCAGGCGCGCTCCCAAGGCCAAAAGCGCGAGCGTAGTGGGGCCACTGGCACACCTCATACCAGGAGACACGCACACGGAGCGCTACACAGCCAGAAGCACCGCACCACCGCACTGCAGCACATATGTGAGGAGGTGACAACATGGAGGGACACTACCCACTTCATACACCTTTATTTCCACTTTTCTGATATCTTCTGAGGACAGAACATCTGTGAGCCATTTTTGATTTAATCAAAATATTGACTTTTAAAACAATTCTTTAAAAAAATTGTAGCGGATGTGTACCGTGACTTGTATTTATGACTGTAAAACCATGTGATGCAGGGTCGCAGTGTATGTTTGATGGGACGCCATCTTTCAGAACTGTGCTAACTCACTGTTGAAGCGTCCAATGGTAAGAGAAAATACAGATTTGTTTTTTGTGACAAATGGACATTGTACTCTGTACTTCTGCTGTAAGTAGTCCTTTTCCATTTTGTAATGACTGGTAACAAAACCCAGGCCGGGTGGCAGGAAAGGGCAGTGGTTTCGAGCCCTGGGTTTTGGAGTCAGCCAGACCTGGGTTCAAATATGGCTCAGCCACTGTCTTGCTTTGTGACTTTGGGCCAAAGTGTCTTTTAACTGCTCAGTTAAAAGTTAACAACTCAGTCTTCTTATCTGTAAAATGGGGCTGAAATATCAGAACCTACCTCATAGGGTTGTTGTGAGGAATTTCAGAAGCTGTGATGTCTGTAAAGCGCTTAGCCCAGTGCCTGCCACTTAAGCGCTAAGTTAAAGGCAGTGATTACGAACTGCTGGGGTCGGGGTGGATCTGCGCCATTGCTGGGTGTGGGAATGTCGATGCCTTGTACATGATTGCTTATTTGAACTGATTCTGCTGTTGCCCTGCTTGTCAGCTACAGTCAGTCCCTCTTGGGCTGGCGGGACTGGGAGGGAGGGGGGACTGGGATTAAGAAAGAAGGGATCTAACAGAGACAGTCTGGAGCTCCTAGAACTTTGGGGGCTTTGGGGGTCAAACTTGCTTGCTTCCCTCTGGGGTTATTTTCCTCTTAATCTACTCTCCCTTCATTGGGAGTCACTTTAGAAAGCTGCTTTTGGCCCGCCATAATATATCAGCTTCTGTAGCAGCTGCACATTCCCCAGAGGGCCTGGGAGCTGGGCTTTCTCCCAGGGCCAGGGTAGGTGAGAGCACAGAATCTGGCCTTGTCCTTCACAGAACAAGGCCAGCCCTTTGGTATGAGCAGGGGAAGGAGAGTGGGCACCAGCTTTGAGGCTCGGGCTTCATGCCCGCCGTAGGTCAGATCACAAAAGGAGGCCCCACAGCCCTCGAGGAAGGGAGGGCTTGCAGTTGGCAGGAGCTGGGGGCTCAGATCAGCCTGTGCAGTCAGGAGGGAGGGAGAGACCCCAATTTCTGAGTGAGACTCCTAACTGTTTTCTCTCTCCACAGGTGACCCTGGCAGCAACCCCAACAAACGCCAGAGGCAGCCCCCTCTCCTGGGAGATCACCCCGCAGAATATGGTGAGGGCAGGGGGTTCCCCTCCGTGGACTCCCGTGGCTCATGTGCCCCTGCCCGCCGCCCGCCGTGCAAATTCTCACCCGTCCTCCCTCTCTTTCCTTCCCACCCCCCAGGAGGGCCCCACGGTGGGTACCACAGCCATTACCATGATGAGGGCTACGGGCCCCCCCCACCTCACTACGAAGGGAGAAGGATGGGTCCACCAGTGGGGGGTCACCGTCGGGGCCCAAGTCGCTACGGCCCCCAGTATGGGCACCCCCCACCCCCTCCCCCACCACCCGAGTATGGCCCTCACGCCGACAGCCCTGTGCTCATGGTCTATGGCTTGGATCAATCTAAGATGAACTGTGACCGAGTCTTCAATGTCTTCTGCTTATATGGCAATGTGGAGAAGGTGAGCTGCTGCCGGGCCCCCTGGGTTCCTCGCTGAGCCTCGTATCTTGCCAGTCAGCACGGGAAAGAACCAGGGGGGAGCCTGGTGTGGCGCTGGGCGGGCAGACGCCAATGAGTGACTCAGTGAGCTCAGGCAGCCTGCTTGCAGACGGGTTTTGTTTGGTCCTCACTGTATGTGGGTGTTGTGTTTTTGAATTACCAATGTTTAAAAAAAAGATTTTATCACATAAAAGTACTAATACCAGTACATGAACATAGAGATTTATAAAACATAAAAATGAATCCATTATAGTGAAACACCATCGTTTAAGGATTTCCTCCTGAAAACTTAAGACCTGGCAACACCGGGCCTTCTGCCTTCCCATGGGACAGTTGACTGGGGCTAGCGGTGGCTGAGTGTCTACCTGAGACCAGGCGGCATTTTGCTTAACATTAAACCCGTCTGGGTCTTGGGGGCCTTTGTGCAGCTCATGACTTGGCCCATTACTTAGAGTAGTTCGTAACACAGGTGAAGTGTTGTTAGTTACCAGGCACTGTTAAAGATGCTTTACATGTAGTGACCTGTGTAATTTCTCACATTAATCCTTAATGAGATGGACAGGGGAAGTGGAGGACGGGGCTTAAATAACGCGCCCAGGTTCACATAGCCTTTATGTGAAGCAGGACTCAGAGCCAGACTGCCTGGCTCCAGAGCCGGCACTGCTCTGTTGTAACCCAGCTGAAGGAGTATTTTACCTTGTGACTGTAGACACAGCCATCCATAGATCACACACGTCTGTGTGTAACAGACAAAATGGTGAAAATGGCTGATTTGATTTCTGATTCCTGTACAGTTTTCTGTCATGCTTCACTAAATGATTTACTGGTGGGTTATGTCCCACAGTTAAAAACATGGCCCAGGCTCTGCTTCTCACTATGGGTTGAGCACTTGGTGTGGGCCAGGCATGTTTTTCTAGTGGTCCCGATTAACTGTGAGGACATGGGAGGCCAGAGCAGGGGTTATTATCACTAACTTGGGAGGGGCAGGAGAGGGGACCCTGGCAGCTGGACAGAGGTGCTGACTGCAGCTACTCTCCCCAAGGTGAAATTCATGAAAAGCAAGCCGGGGGCCGCCATGGTGGAGATGGCTGATGGCTACGCTGTAGACCGGGCCATTACCCACCTCAACAACAACTTCATGTTTGGGCAGAAGCTGAATGTCTGGTAGGTGCTCAGGCTCGGGAGGGCAGCAGAGGTACAGGGGAGAGAAAAGGAGGGGAATGGGGCCCAGCAGAGGAGCACAGTGAGGCCGAGGTGTTGACTCACACAGAAATGGGATGTGGCAGGTGTGTTCCCAGACGTGTCTCTGACACCACAGGAGAAAGTGAGTCAGCCTTGCCTCAGGTGTAGAGCAATGCCCCAAGGCACACAGGGCAAGCTAAGCCTCTGGAGGCCACAGGGGAAAGCTTCAGGGACAACTTTGGGTATGACAAAGGCTCCCCTTTCTTCCTTGCTGCAGTGTCTCCAAGCAGCCAGCCATCATGCCTGGTCAGTCATACGGGTTGGAAGACGGGTCTTGCAGTTACAAAGACTTCAGTGAATCCCGGAACAATCGGTTCTCCACCCCAGAGCAGGCAGCCAAGAACCGCATCCAGCACCCCAGCAACGTGCTGCACTTCTTCAACGCCCCGCTGGAGGTGACCGAGGAGAACTTCTTTGAGGTGTGTGCCGTGGAGCTGCGCAGGCAGTCGGGTCCTTGCCACGGCCGTCTGAGTAGGCCATTCATTTCAGTCTTTTCTGCAAATAGCTGTTGAACTCCTGTCCTGCCTGGCCCTGGGTTGAGTGCTAGGGACACAGCAGAGGCCAGGACAGATAGGAATCTGTGCTCTCAAACTGGACAGGGTGAGAATGGCACCAAGTTTCTAGCAACACCATTTGCCGCGTTCCTTCCTTTTACATTTTTGGCAAGCAGGGCAACTGCTCGTTTGCTGGGAAAGCTGCTTCACAGGCCCAGTGATGAGGGCCCAATTTCACAAGAACCGCATTGGCGTAGGCTTCGGGTGCCATCACCCTGATACCATCAGAAGGTGGGGCCCTGTAAAGCTCAGTCAGGGGGAACTGAGGCAGCGGAAGGGAGGAGGAACTCAAGTGGATCTGGCTGTGGTCTGAAATGTTGACCTTGCATTCAGCAAACAGTGTTCAGCAAACAGCCGGGTGCAGATATCCACATAGCTGTTGAAGTTGGGAACGAAAAAGCAGCTTCCCAGTCTCAGGCAACTTAATAATTAAAGAGCATTGTTGCTGGCCTTTTTATGACACAGGGATGCCTTAGGGTATGTGATAAAATCTACAAGCCTTTTCTCCTGAAAACTTCAAGTACTGAGTCATGCAGGGCCTGGTCTGCTTGAATCCTGTGTGGCGGCCCTTTTGTTTCAGAGTTCATTTACTACCTGTTTTCTTTTGCAGATCTGCGATGAGCTGGGAGTGAAGCGGCCATCTTCTGTGAAAGTATTCTCAGGCAAAAGTGAGTCGAGTGTGCCCACCTCCTTGCCCTAATTGCATGGTGGTTGGTGGGCAGCTGCCTAGTTCCTATTGGGTGAGTCTAAAACCTTTACTTTTCCCCTTGGTTTGCAATCAGGTGAGCGCAGCTCCTCTGGACTGCTGGAGTGGGAATCCAAGAGCGATGCCCTGGAGACTCTGGGCTTCCTGAACCATTACCAGATGAAAAACCCAAGTGAGTATCTGTGTGTCCTGCAGGCATCAACCTGGTGACCTAATGGGTTGGCTGGCTTCAGGCCAGGGATGTCCTTCCTGCCCTTGAGATAGGACCCCGGGATCTTCGCACTGTTGGTGACACAGGCAGGTGGGACCTGCTCATCAGGAGAGCAGCCTGTGCTCCTCTTGGGAGAGCCAGCCTGACTGCCTGCTGCCACTCACTCTGCCAGCTTGGGAGTTGCTCAGGCTTGTCCTCCAGGGAGGTGGCATTCTCTTCTTTGCATCAGAGACTGGCTTAGGTAGGAAAGCCACTCTGTTACCTAGGAAAGAGGCAACACTATCCAGCAGGTAAAACTTGCCCACCCAGTTGCTGGGAGAGGCCCATTGCCTTGGGCTGGCGAAGGAGATAGGAATGGGATTCTCTATGGGAATGAAGGAAGAGAAGGAGAAACGCCGTGCATAATTGGTAATTGGCTCATCTTGAAGCCTCACGTTGGGCAGTCACTCCTTAGACCCCTGCCGTTGACCTGCAGAAAATGGGAGATGGGTACAAACTTGAGGGGACCTGGGTTTGGGGAGCCTCCAAAGACGGGAACCAACCAAACTTGTCTCTCCTTTGCAGATGGTCCATACCCTTACACTCTGAAGTTGTGTTTCTCCACTGCTCAGCACGCCTCCTAATTAGGTGCCTAGGAAGAGTCCCATCTGAGCAGGAAGACATTTCTCTTTCCTTTATGCCATTTTTTGTTTTTGTTATTTGCAAAAGATCTTGTATTCCTTTTTTTTTTTTTTTTTTTTTTTTTTAAATGCTAGGTTTGTAGAGGCTTACTTAACCTTAATGGAAACGCTGGAAATCTGCAGGGGGAGGGAGAGGGGAACTGTTATCTCCCAAGATTAACCTTCACTTTTAAAAAATTATTGTACATGTGATTTTTTTTTTTCCTGTTCATACATTTGTGCTGCCCATGTACTCTTGGCACATTTCAATAAAATTGTTTGGAAAATAAACACAGCACTTGCTGGGATTCCAGGATGTCTGCTTTTCTCCCTCTCTGTCCTGAAGACACAGGCAGGCCTGAGCACAGTCACAGGCCCTCTGGAGGCATACAGAGACCCAAGAGGAGCAGGGTGGGCTGCAGACTGAGAATGGTGCTAGCAATTGAGTCTTTGAGGAAAATCCATCAGGCTTAGTGGCATTCTTACTGGGCCCTGCCCGAGCAAGCTCTATCAGGCCCAGTGGGTCATCACACCTATAATTCCAGCAATCTGGGGAGGCCAAGGTGGGGCACATACTTTGAGCTCAGGAGTTGAAGACCAGCCTGGGCAGCATGGTGAAACGTCACTACAAAAAGGTGGGTTTGGTGGAACACCTGTAGTCCCAGCTACTCGGGAGGCTGAGGCAGGTGGGTCAGTTGAGCCTAGGAGGTTAACAGTGCAGTGATCACATCACTGCACTCCAACCTGGGTGACAATGAGACCCTATCTCAAAAAAAAAAAGGTTTCCAGCCTTGCCATCATGGTGAAACCCTGTCTCTACTAAAAATACAAAAATCAGCCGGGCATAGTGGCGCATGCCAGTAGTCCCAGCTACCTAGCAGGCTGAGGTGGATCACCCCAACCCTGGAGGGTGATGCTGCAGTGAACTGTGATGGGGTCATTGCACCCCAGCCTGGGCAACAGGGTGTCAAAAAAACCCAAAACCTTTGTGTTCTGTATCATTTCAGAGTGACTTGTCTTTACCCTTGCAGTATCATTGTGTGGATGTGTCATGATTTAACCTGGTCCCAAAGGGTAGTTTCCAGGTCTATTTTTGCTATTGCAAACAGCGCTGTAACACGTATCTACACAAGTATCTTGGCCAGCTTCCCTGATACTGATCAGGAGATAAATTCCTGCCAGTGGAATTGCTGGGTTAAAGGATATATATAGCTGGATGTAGTGGCCCATGCCTGTAATCCCAGCACTTTGGGAAGCCAAGGCAGGCAGATCACTTAAGGCCGGGAGTTTTGAGACCTGGGCAACATGGCAAAACCCTGTCTACAAAAAATAAGAAAGTGGGCCGGGCATGGTGGCTCACGCCTGTAATCCCAGCACTTTGGGAGGCCGAGGTGAGCGGAACACTTACGGTCAGGAGTTCGAGACCAGCCTGGCCAACATGGTGAAACCCTGTCTCTACTAAAAAAATAAAAATTAGCCGGGCATGGTGGCACGTTCCTGTAGTCACAGCTACTCAGGAGGCTGAGGCAGGAGAATCGCTGGAACCCAGGAGGCAGAGGTTGCAGTGAGCCGAGATTGTGCCATTGCACTCCAGCCTGAGTGACGAGAGTGAAACTCCGTCTCGAGAAAAAAATATATAGAAAAATGATGTGGGCATGGTGGCACACACTGTGCCTATAGTCCCAGCTACTCATGGGGGCTGAAGCAGGAGGATCACTTGAGCTGTGAGCTGTGATGGCACCACTATACTCCATCCTGGGCGAAAGGGCGAGACCATGTCTCAAAACTTAAAGGATCTATATAATTGCATCATACGGTAGATAGCTTCCCACTTGCAGATGCAAATCTGTGAAGATGCCTTGCGGTGGCGGGTACCACCCGGAAGGATCCTGGTTTAAGGATTTTGACTCCTACTGGAGGGAAGAGGTGACCTGCAGAGGAGCAGGTCACAAACCTTGAAGTTTATGCATGTGTGCTTGAGAATAGCCCACTCTGGGGAATTTACTGTGAATAAAATTTTCTTTTTTGAGATGGAGTCTTGCTCTGTCACCCAGGCTGGAGTGCAATGGCATAATCTTGGCTCACTGCAACCTCTGCCTCCTGGTTCAAGCAATTCTCCTGCCTCAGCCTCCCAAGTAGCTGGGATTACAGGCATGTGCCACCATGCCTGGCTGATTTTTGTATTTTTAGTAGAGATGGGGTTTCACCATATTGGCTAGGCTGGTCTCGAACTCCTGAGATCCACTGGCCTCGGCCTCCCAAAGTAGCTATGATACAGGCATGAGCCACTGCGCCCGGCCTTACATTTTTAACATTTAATGACATCACAAAAGCATCATTTGGCAGATGAACAAGTTTTGCTTCACTATGGGAAGTTTCAAACAATCTTTAGACAAGGAAAAACTACAGTCATCTTGCAGCCATAAATAAAATCAACTAGGGTTTATTGTTTTTAAGCCAGTCAAGGTGATAAAAAGTGAATTTTACCAGTTTGTCTCCTAGCATCCAATTTCATTTCCTGTTACCAGTTTGAGTCTCCTTCCAGAGATATTACATACATACACCATATTCTGTGCAGGTCCAGCTACACTCTTTTTTTTGAGACATTGTCTCACTCTGTCACCCAGGCTGAAGTGCTGGAGTGCAGTGGCATGAGGTCAGCTCACTGCAAACTCTGCCTCCTGGGTTGAAGCAATTCTCCTGCCTCAGCCTCCCAAGTAGCTGGGATTACAGGCACCTGCCACCACGCCCCGCTAATTTTTTTTTTTTTTTAGACAGAGTCTTGCTCTGTGGCCCAGGCTGGAGTGCAGTGGCGTGATCTCACATCAGTGCAAGCTCCGCCTCCTGGGTTCACGCCATTCTCCTGCCTCAGCCTCCCGAATAGCTGGGACTACAGGCGCCCGCCACCACGCCCGGCTAATTTTTGGTATTTTTAGTAGAGATGGGGTTTCACCGTGTTAGCCAGGATGGTCTCGATCTTCTCACCTTGTGATCCACCCGCCTTGGCCTCCCAAAGTGCTGGGATTAGAGGCATGAGCCAACACGCCTGGCTAATTTTTATATTTTTAATAGAGATTGGGTTTCACCATGTTGGCCATGCTGGTCTCAAACTCCTGACCTGAGGTGATCTGCCTGCCTGGGCCTCCTAAAGTGCTGGGATTACAGACCTGAGCCACCGCACCCAGCCCAGCTATACTTTCTTACACCAAAGGAACAAAGGATCATACTAAATGTTCTATTACATCTTCACATTTTTTTCTCACACATTTTTATTTTTGCATAGAGGTTTCAGAGTTTTCTATGGTATAAACAGTCTACTGTTGATGGGTAGTTAATGGTTCTGTCTTTCAAAAGAGCCTGCTTTTCTAGTCTGTGAAAACACACAGGAGACAGGTTCATTAAGGAAAGATACTTCCTTCAATCTCACTGGCCCAGAGACATCTGTTCACCGCCTTGCTCAATGTCTCCCCAAAAAGCATACTTAAGCAGTTTTACAGTACTTTTTTTTTTTATTTTTTTGAGATGGAGTTTCGCTCTGTCCCCAGGCTGGAGTGCAGTGGCGCCATCTCGGCTCCCTGCGAGCTCCGCCTCCGGGGTTCACGCCATTCTCCAGCCTCAGCCTCCCCAGTAGCTGGGGCTACAGACGCCCGCCACCATGCCCGCTAAGTTTTTGTATTTTTTTAGTAGGGACGGGGTTTCACTGTGTTAGCTAGGTCAGGAGGTCGATCTCCTGACCTCGTGATCTGCCCGCCACGGCCTCCCAAAGTGCTGGGATTACAGGCGTGAGCCACCGCGCCCGGCCAGCAGTTTTACAGTACTTTTTATGCCTTTTGGTAGCTGGCTTTTCCCAAGGGAATTTCGGTTTTTTTGTTTTGTTTGTTTTTTTTAAGAACATGAACTTTTTTTTCTTCTTTTTTTTTTTTTTGAGATCTTGCTCTGTCGCCCAGGCTGGGGTACAGTGGTGCCATCTCTGCTCATTGCAACCTCCGCCTCCTGGGCTCAAGCCATTCTCTTCCCGCTAGGATTACAGGTGCCGGACACCGCACCCGGCTAATTTTTGTATTTTTAGTAGAGACGGGGTTTCGCCATGTTGACCAGGCTGCTGTTGAACTCCTGACCTCAGGTGATCCGCCTGCCTCGGCCTCCCAAAGTGCTTGTATTACAGGCGTGAGCCACTGCGCCAGGCTAAGAACATGAACTCTGGTGCCAGGTAATCCTGCTTTAGCCCTTCTGAAGCCCACCGACCTTGAACCTAGTGTCTTCCCGTGCCTGGGCCAGTTTCCTCTGCATATAGTAGGAAATAGTACGACCTCCTGGTGGGAGTTCATATTATACAGTCAGCGCTTAATGTTGGCCCGTCTGTACTCATTCCTTTACCTGAGTAAACTCACAGTACTGCAAGTTTTCTTTTATTTTTAGTTAACATGATATATACATGCATGATTACAAGCTCTGCTGCAATTATGTCCTTGGACATTTCAGCTGTCGCCTATTATTCCACCATTATGAAACAGCTGTGTGATGAACTTTAGCGGGAGCTGTTTGCTTTTCTGTTTTTTTTTTTGTTTGTTTGTTTTGTTTTTTTTAAGACGGAGTGTCGCTCGGTCGCCAGGCTGGAGAGCAATGGCGCGATCTCGGCTCACTGCAAACTCCGCCTCCCAGGTTCACGCCATTGCAGGAGCTATTTTCTTTGGCCAGGTTCCCACTGGGGCAAAGGGTCCATTTCTGAGCCTGGCTCTATGTAAGGCAACCGGAAATCGACTGCCCTTAGTAAAGATGGCGGAAAGAACGGCGTCATTGCCTGTCAGGTTGCGGCATCGGTGCCCTCGCTCAACATGGCGGCCTTCTGTGCCCGCCCCCTCCGCTAACGGGCACGTTACTCCGTCCGAACGCAGTAGACGAAGGCGGCGGCGATGGCGGCGGGGATAGTGGCTTCTCGCAGACTCCGCGACCTACTGACCCGGCGTGAGTCACCTCTTGCCTTATGGGGGTGCGTCGCGCTGTCGTGCTGTTATAGCAGATGTAGGACGGGGAGGGCTATCCGGGGTCACGAAGGGCCCGAGTCCCCTAAATTCAGGGGTGCGTGTGCTCCCTTTTGAAGGACTCCCTAATTCGATAGGCCTGTGTCTTGCAGTCTGGGGTCATCAAAGGCTGTTCCTTTCTCCCCAGGACTGACAGGCTCCAACTACCCGGGACTCAGTATTAGCCTTCGCCTCACTGGCTCCTCTGCACAAGAGGAGGCTTCCGGAGTAGCCCTCGGTGAAGCCCCAGACCACAGCTATGAGTCCCTTCGTGTGACGTCTGCGCAGAAACATGTTCTGCATGTCCAGCTCAACCGGCCCAACAAGAGGAATGCCATGAACAAGGTCTTCTGGAGGTCTGACCTGCAGATCCTGGAGGCCTGCCTGCGGGGGGAGGCGGGGCTGCGGGACTGGGTGAAAGTGGAACGTTGTGGGAAGATGGACATGAGGGCAGGGTATTCCCGCCCCATTTGTAACCCTTCACTCGTTGCTTCACAGAGAGATGGTAGAGTGCTTCAACAAGATTTCGAGAGACGCTGACTGTCGGGCGGTGGTGATCTCTGGTGCAGGAAAAATGTTCACTGCAGGTACCAGACGCTCTTCACACACCCTGCCAGCCTTCCTAGCTCCTGGCAATAGACAGTGGAGCAGTGCTTCTGAATTAGGGTTTTAAGCAGCTTCTGACTTACACACTTTTTTTTTTTTTTTTTGAGACGGGGTCTTGCTCTGTTGCCACGCTGGAGTGCAGTAGCGCAATCTCAGCTCACTGCAACCTCCACCTCCCGGGTTCAAGCAATTCTTCTGTCTGGGACTACAGGCGTGGGCCACCACACCCAGCTAATTTTTGTATTTTTAGTAGAGACGGGGTTTCACCATATTGGCCAGGATGGTCTCCATCTCCTGACGTTATGATCTGCCTGCCTCAGCCTCCCAAAGTGCTGGGATTATAGGCCTGAACCATTGCTCCTGGCCCCTAACTCACACTTTTATCTGTGTGTTTTTTTTTTTTTTTTTGGAGACAATATCTTTCTCTGTCACCCAGGCTGGAGTACAGTTGCCTAATCATAAATCACTGTAACCTCAAATACCTGAGGTCAAGCGATTCTCCCACCTCAGCCTGCCAAAATGCTGGGATTACAGGCAGGTGCCACCATGGCCAGCCCTATCATTTTTTTAAAAAAAGGCCTACTTTAAAACATTCAAATA
The DNA here is from genome assembly GCF_000001405.40 of Homo sapiens. Taxonomy (NCBI): domain Eukaryota; kingdom Metazoa; phylum Chordata; class Mammalia; order Primates; family Hominidae; genus Homo; species Homo sapiens. The sequence continues at coordinate 38,830,458 of NC_000019.10, read as the reverse complement.
TAAGTATTAGTCTGACAGAACACGATGGGATCATAGGCTCTGAAGTCTAGGTTTCCATCCTGGATCTGTGGCCATGAACAACATGCTTAACCTCTCAGCCTATAGCTGTGTCAGCATATAATATAATAACATGCTTTCGTGCAACTATTCAACTCACTAATTGATTTCCAGTTACAGGTCAGTTGGATCTTTGGATTGACCCACTGACCTTTTCTTCAGATTGGAGAATTTCCACTGGTCACAGTTACTAACTGTTTAGTCATCTCTATCCTTCTGTAAAGCCCATCCAGTGATTTATTTTGTTTTATTTTGTTTCAGACGGAGTTTTGCTTTTGTTGCAATGGTGCAATCTCAACTCACTGCAACCTCTGCTTCCTGGGTTCAAGTGATTCTCCTGCCACAGCCACCCAAGTAGCTGGGGTTACAAGTGCCCGCCACCACGCCCGGCTAATTTTTTGTGTTTCTAGTAGAGACGGAGTTTTACCATGTTGGCCAGGCTGGTCTTAAACTCCTGACCTCAGGTCATCCACCCACCTAGGGCCTCCCAAAGTGCTAGGATGATAGGCGTGAGCCACCGTGCCCAGCTACTACCCACTGATTTTAAATTTCAGATATTGTAGTTTTCTTTCTTTTTTTTTTTTTTCTGAGACAGAGTCGCTCTGTCACCCAGGCTGGAGTGCAGTGGTGCGATCTCGGCTCGCTGCAAGCTCTGCCTCCCGGGTTCAGGCCATTCTTCTGCCTCAGCCTCCCGAGTACTGGGACCACCAGTGCCTGCCACCACACCCAGCTAAGTTTTTGTGTTTTTAGTAGAAACGGGGTTTCACCGTGTTAGCCAGGATGGTCTCGATCTCCTGACCTCGTGATCTGCCCGCCTCGGCCTCCAAAAGTGCTGAGATTACAGGCGTGAGCTACCACGCCCAGCCCAGATATTGTAGTTTTCAATTCTCCAATTTCCATTTGGTTCATATTTTATTTTATTTTATTTATTCATTTATTTTGAGACAGAGTCTCGCTTTGTCACCCAGGCTGGAGTATAGTGATGCAATTTTGGCTCATTGCAACATCTGCCTCCTGGGTTGAAGCAATTCTCCTGCCTCAGCCTCCTGCATAGCTGGGATTACAGATGCCCGCCACCAGGCCTAGCTAATTTTTTTTTTTTTTTTTTTTTTTTTTGGAGAAGGAGTCTCACTCTGTTGACCAGGCTGGAGTACAGTGGTGCAGTCTGGGCTCACTGCAACCTCCACCTCCCAGATTCAAGCCATTCTCCTGCCTGAGCCTCCTGAGTACTTGTGATTACAGGCACCCGGCACCACGCCTGGCTAATTTTTATATTTTTAGTAGAGACGGGGTCTCACCATTTTGGCCAGGCGGGTCTTGAACTCCTGGCCTCCAGTGATCGGCCCCCCTCGGCCTCCCAAAGTGCTGGGATTACAGGCGTGAGCCACTGTGCCTGGTCAGTTGTATATTTTTTGTCATGCATGTTTTTCTTCCTGCCATTGAGCATAGTTATAATGACTGATTTAAAATCCTTGTCTTCTGGCCAGGTGTGGTGGCTCACGCCTGTAATCCCAGCACTTTGGGAGGTCGAGGCAGGCGGATCACGAGGTCAGGAGATCGAGACCATCCTGGCTAACATGGTGAAACCCCATCTCTACTAAAAATAAAAAAAAAGAATATTAGCCAGGCATGGTGGCGGGCACCTTTAGTCCCAGCTACTCGGGAGGCTGAGGCAGGAGAATGGCGTGAACCTGGGAGGCAGAGGTTGCAGTGAGCCGAGATGGCGCCACTGCACTCCAGCCTGGGTGACATAGCGAGACTCCCTCTAAAAACAAAATAAAAACAAAACAAAAACTCCTTATCTTCTAATCTCAACATCTGGGTCATCTTGGGGTCAGTCTCCTTATCATCTTTTCGCTTGGAAATGGCAGGCTGGGCTCAGTGGCTCATGCCTGTAATCCCAGCACTTTGGGAAGCTGAGGTGGGTGGATCACTTGAGGTCAGGAGTTCAAGACTAGCCTGGCCAACATGGTGAAACCCCGTCTGTACTAAAAATACAAAAATTTTCCCGGCGTGGTGGTGCATGCCTGTAATCCCAGCTGCTGGAGAGCCTGAGGCAGGAGAATCGCTTGAACCCAGGAGGCAGAGGTTGCAGTGAGCCTACATCACGCCATTGCACTCCAGCCTTGGTGACAAGAGCGAGACTCTGTCTCAAAAAAAAGAAAACGGCTTCACTTTCCTGTTTCTTTGTATTTTGAGTTAGTTTGGATTGTTTCTTGGATATTGGGATATAGGAATAAGATGTGGATACTCTGGATTCTATCATATAGTTCCAAAGAGTGTTGAGTTTCGTGTTTTGGTAGCTTAGTTGGAATTAGTTTTTTTGGTTTTTCTGTTTTTATTTTTATTTTTTTGTAGAGATGAGGTCTTGCTATGTTGCCCAGTCTGGTCTTCAACTCTTGAACTCAAGCGATCCTCCTGACTCGGCCTCCCAATGTGCTGGGACTACAAGCGTGAACCACTGTGCCTGGCTTCTTGCTGATTTACAGACCATACATGCACCCCCAGCAAAAGATTTAAAAACTAATCTTCAGCCAGGGCAACACACTGAGACCTTGTCTCTAACAAAAATTAGCTGGGTGTGATGAATGACCACACTCCCAGCTACTCTGGAGGCTGAGGTGGGAGGATGGCTCGAACCAGGGAGGTCAAAACTGCAGTGAGCTGTGGTCGTGCCACTGCACCCAGCCTGGGTGACAGTGCAAGAACCCATCTCAAAACAAAAACAACAACAAAAACATACATCTCCCAGCAAGAGATTAGGGCAGAGTTGATACACAGAATTCGGGACTCCTCGCTCTGGCTCTCCCCTCTTTGGAATATCCCCCCTCACTTCCCGGCAGCTTTGGTCACCTTGGACTCTATCCTGTGGCTCTTCAAGCACAATTTCAGTCTGCCCTCAGGCTGAAAGTTTTCAAAACCATTTTCAAAAACACCGAGAGAGTGTTCTGCCACTCTCCTAAGTGGTCACTCCCTCCAGAATCTGCCCAGTGCCTTCAGATAATTGTTTGTTTCTTGTCCAGCCAGCGTATGTAGTTGTCCGTGGGAGGGTTGGCCCTTTAGGACTGAACCAGAAGCAAAATATTTCATACACTGATTTCTGCACAGGGCCCAGAGCCTGGTGCTGGGAACCCAGTCTTGACTAGGACAGTCCCAGGCCCTGTTGTCATGGCGTTCCCAACTCAGTGGGGAAGACAGACAGTAAACTATTTCTTTCTGTTTTGTCCATTAACATATTCCCAGGTCCCTTTCTTTCTTTCCCTCCCCTTTCTCCCTCCCCTCCCTCCCTCTCCTCCCTTCCTCCTTCCCCTCCCTCCCTCTCCTCCCTTCCTCCTTCCCCTCCTTCCCCTCCTTCTCCCTCTCCTCCCTGTCCTCCCTCTCCATCCTTGCTGAGGGCCCTGGTCCCTCTGGCTAAGATTAGGCCTAGATATTTGACCTGCTGTAGGCAAAGCTGGGCCTTTGACCTAGACACCTTGTACCCTTGATTAGCGAGAAAGTTCAAGAGATCTAGAGTAGCCTGCTGGCTCGAGGCTTCTGAACTGGGAGCCAAAAGTAAATCATCCATATATTGAAGGACCAGAGTGCCTGGACTTGAGAAGTGGCCTAGATCTTGGGCCAGTGCCTGACCAAACAGATGAGGCCTATCCCTAAACCCTTGGGGCAAGACCGTCCACATAATTTGGGACGTGTGGTCTGTGGGATCCTCAAAGGCAAAGAGAAACTGGGAGTCAGAGTGTAGGGGAATACAGAAGAAGGCATCCTTGAGGTCTAGAACTGTGAACCATTCTGCTGCCTCTGTTATTTGAGAGAGCAGGGTATAGGTGTTGGTTACAGCTGGATATAGAGAAATTACTGCCTCATTGATGAGTCTAAGATCTTGCACTAGTCTCCACTGACCATTTAGTTTTTGTACTCCTAGAATTGGGGTGTTGTAGGGACTGCTGCATTTCCTTACTAAGCCTGGAGCTTTTAAATGTTTAACAATATTCTGTAATCGTTTATGAGCTTCAGGCTTTAAGGGATATTGCCTTTGATAAGGAAAAGCAGTGGGATCTTTTAACCTGATTTGTAATGGGCGGGCATTTTTTGCCCTTCCAAATTGTCCTTCCAATGCCCAGACTTCAGGGTTGATTCCCTCCACAAGTAGGGGGACAACAAATGGGTAACTTGTTCCCCATATTGATGTAGATAATAGCTCCAGCCTTGGCTAATATGTCCCTGCCTAATAAGGGTGTGGAACTTTCAGGCATAATAAGAAAGGCATGTGAAAAGAGCAAAGTCTCCCAATTACAACTGAGAGGTGGGAGAAATACCTGGTTACAGGCTGTCCCAGGATTCATCGGATGGTAACAGACCTTGAGGACAGTCGTCCAGGACAGGAGATTAACACTGAGAAGGCCGCGCCAGTGTCCAGGAGGAAGTCAGTTTCCTGGCCCTCAATGGTTAAACGTACCCGGGGCTCAGTGAGGGTGATGACATGAGCTGGCGCTTGCCCCGGGCACCCTCTGTCCTGTTGTTGGATCATCTGGTTGGGGGCTTCTGACCTAGGGAACCTTCGTCCGCTGGGGCAGTGCACCTTCCAGTGATTGCCTCGGCATAGTGGACATGGACGAGGGGGCAGCTTGTTTCTCATTGGACAATCTTTTTTAAAGTGTCCTAGTAAACCGCATGATAACAAGCCCTACCGGGTGATTGGCCTCTACTATCTGTCCTCTCTGAACCACTAAGGTTTGTTAGTCTGAGGGCCATAACTAAGGCTGCGGCCTTTCTCCAATCTCACTTTTCCTTTTGGGCCTGTTCCTCTTGGTCCCTATTATAGAACACTGAGGTTGCCAGGTTTTGATAATGCCTCCAAATTTTGTTCAGGGCCCAGGGCTTGCTTTTGGAGCTTTCTCCTGATATCTGCGGCTGATTGGATAATAAACTTATCTTTTAGAATCAATTGACCCTTGAGTGATTCGGGTGACCGGGGAGTATATTTTCTTAAGGCCTCCTATAGCTGCTCGAGGAAGGCAGAAGGATTTTCTTCCTTTCCCTGAGTTATGGTGGACATCATTGAATAATTCATGGGCTTTTTCTAATTCTCCTTAGTCCTTCTAGAACACAGGTCAACAGATGTTTACGACTCCAGTCCCCATGATCTAAGTCAAGGTCCCAGTGGGGATCCATACTGGGGATGGCTTGCTGACCGATAGGGAATTTGTCCCTTTCTTCAGGTGTCATTCTATCATTTACTTGATTAAGATTCCAGGTATCTCCAAACTCTCAGGCTGCAGCTAAAGCTGCATTCTTTTCATTAAAGGCCAGGGTTTGATCTAACAGTAGCATGACATCTCTCCAAGCGAGGTCGAAAGTTTGCCCTAGACCCTGTAGGGCATGTATGTACCTATCAGGATCATCTGAAAACTTCCCCAGGTCTGCCTTGATCTGCTTTAAATCAGAGATGGAGAAGGGGACATGTACCCGGGTGGGACCAAATTCCCCTCCCCCTACAGCTTGAAGGGGACATAACCAATAGCCAGGAGGGTTTTGTGGTCCTTTGGAGATTTCTTTGCATATTTCCTTCTGGGCAGGGGAGATTAGAGGAAGATTATCATTAATAGGAATGGGAGCTATAGGGAGGCTAGGATATGGTGGTAAGCTGAGAGGTCCTCCTGTGGGATGTAAATTGTAAGCTTTGCATAGTTGTGTATTCTCCCTCCATGAAAAGAAAGCTTGGACATAAGGTATTTCACTCCATTTGCCTTCCCTCTTACAGAAAAGGTCAAGCTGCAGGATAGTATTGTAATTTGTACTTCCCTCAGGTGGCCATTTTTCCCCATCAGAGAGAGAATACTGGGGCCAGGCCATAGTGCAGAAAAAAAATGAGCCTCCTCTTTTTCAGGGTTTATGGGTCAAATTGGTCCCAACGGCTTAGGATGCATTTCAAGGGTGAGCCTGTTGATGGCTGAATGTTTCCCATCTGAAAGACAAAACCACCCGCGGTTTTGGTTTGTTTTGTTTCTCCCCCTGCCCAAGAAACTGCAACAGTCCCTGTACCCTGCTGATCGGAATAGTTGTGCTCATCAACGCAGCAGCAGAAACACTAGTTTTCCTCTCAGACCACATGGAGGACCAAGGAAGGTCGGATTTAGTGGCCCTTACCGACGCATTCTTGAAAACCTGTTAGAGTTCTAAGCATTCTCCTGTTAGTATTGGGACTTTACCCCTGTCCTATAAAGATGTTATGCCCCAAAAATGAAGTGGAGGGCCATACCCTGAGGGAGGGAAGGGATCTCCAGGGTTGGAAGAGTGACACCTTTTGTCCTCACTTATATGAATAGGAAAGCTACAATTTCTGAGGCTCCCCATATCCTAGCTTCAGGAATACCTTTGTTAGGCCTGTTAGTCTGAGGAGGGATCGTAAAATTCCAGGTAGTCGCCACTATGACAGGGCTTTGGGCAAAAATTATGTCTTTCTGATTGGTGAGCCTGGGTGCCTAAAGAATGTAACAGAGTTCTAGAAGTCGTTCTTATAGGAGAAACTAGAAAAGCACCAGAGACAGCAAATTTTAGAAGCAGGACTAAACTCGGAGAAGAGAGGTGAGAGGAAGTTTGTCTGGCAGGCATTAGGACCCGGGGGCAAGAGTCAGGATAGATAGGATAGATGGGCGAGTCTCGCTTGGGCGACATGCCTTTGAGTGTTCCGCTCATGGCTGCAGGGTCAACGAACTTGTTGTCTTGTCGGGACCCTAGAGCTGCATGGCTTTCCTCTCTGTCGACCCTCGGCTCAGCCCAGAAGTACAGGAAAAGCAGAAGCTGGTTCTAGGCAAACCAACGCTCCCAACTCCAAAGAGTCGGGAGTTGTTAGAGAGCCCTTTCCCAGAAAGCCTGACACCCATGTCTTTAGTCCAGCGGCCATGCTAGTCACTTTTAACTGGCAGACAGGTGCCTGGTATTTAGCCCCCAAATTCTAAGGAAAAATAGGACAGAATAGCAAGTGAAAGGGGTCCAGTGGTACTCACTGCTTGGCGATAGGTGATAGTCTCACCGCTCAGCGATAGGCAGTGGTCTCACCGCTTGGCGATAGGTAATAGTCCCATCTGGGTCACCAAAATGTATCCGGAATTGGTGGGTTCTTGGTCTCACTGACTTCAAGAATGAAGCCGCAGAATCTCGTGGTGAGTGTTACAGTTCTTAAAGGCGGCATGTCCGCAGTTTGTTCCTTCTGATGTGTTCGGAGTTTGTTCCTTCTGATGTTTGGGTGTGTTCAGAGTTTCTTCCTTCTGGTGGGTTCGTGGTCTCGCTGGCTTCAGGAATGAAGCTGCAGACCTTCGCAGTGAGTGTTATAGCTCTTAAGGCGGTGCGTCCAGAGTGGTTCGTTCCTCCCGTCCGGAGTTGTTCATTCCTCCCAGTGGGTTCGTGGTCTTGCTGGCCTCTGGAGAGAAGTTGCAGACCTTCGCGGTGAGTGTTATGGCTCATAAAGGCAGTGTGGACCCAAAGAGTGAGCAGCAGCAAGATTTATTGCAAAGAGCAAAAGAACAGAGCTTCCATAGCATGGAAGGGGACGTGAGTGGGTTGCCACTGCTGGCTCGGACAGCCTGCTTTTATTCCCTTATCTGTCCCCACCCACATCCTGCTGGTTGGTCCGTTTTACAGAGAGCTGATTGGTCTGTTTTACAGAGAGCTGATTGGTCCATTTTGACAGGGTGCTGACTGGTGCGTTTACAATCCCTGAGCTAGACACAAAACTTCTCCAAGTCCCCACTAGATTAGCTAGACACAGAGCACTGATTGGTGCATTTACAAACCTTGAGCTAGACACAGGGTGCTGATTGGTGTATTTACAAACCTTGAGCTAGACACACAGTGCTGATTGGTGTATTTACAATCCCTTAGCTAGACATAAAGATTCTCCAAGTCCCCACCAGATTAGCTAGATACAGAGTGCTGATTGGTGCATTTACAAACCTTGAGCTAGACATAGGGTGCTGATTGGTGCATTTACAAACCTTGAGCTAGACACAGAGTGCTGATTGGTTGTTTACAATCCCTTAGCTAGACATAAAGAGTCTCCAAGTCCCCACCAGATTAGCTAGATACAGAGTGCTGATTGGTGCATTTACAAACCTTGAGCTAGACACAGGGTGCTGATTGGTGCATTTACAAACCTTGAGCTAGACACAGAGTGCTGATTGGTTGTTTACAATCCCTTAGCTAGACATAAAGTTTCTCCAAGTCCCCACCAGATGAGCTAGACACAGAGCATTGATTGGTGCATTTACAAACCTTGAGCTAGACACAGGGTGCTGATTGGTGCATTTACAAACCTTGAGCTAGAAACAGAGTGCTGATTGGTGTATTTACAATCCCTTAGCTAGACATAAACGTTCTCCAAGTCCCCACCAGATTAGCTAGATACAGAGTGCTGATTGGTGCATTTACAGTCCCTCAGCTAGACATAAATGTTCTCCAAATCCCCACTAGACTCAGGAGCTCAGCTGGCTTCACCCAGTGGATCCTGCACCAGGGCCGCAGGCGGAGCACTCCTCAGCCCTTGGGCAGTTGATGGGACCAGGCGCCGCCGAGCAGGGGGTGGCGCTCCTCGGGGAGGCTCGGGCTGTGCAGGAGCCCACGGCGGCGGGGGGAGGCTCGGGCATGGCAGGCTGCAGGTCCCAAGCCCTGCCCCACAGGGAGGCAGCTGAGGCCCGGCAAGTATTCGAGTGCAGCACCAGCGGGCCGGCACTGCTGGGGGACCCGGTGTACCCTCCGCAGCTGCTGGCCCAGGTGCTAAGCCCCTCACTGCTCAGGGCAGGTGGCGCCGGCCCACCACTCCGAGTGCGGGGTCGCCGAGCTCACACCCACCCGGAACTTGCGCTGGCCGGAGAGCACTGCGTGCAGCCTGGGTTCCCGCCCGCGCCTCTCCCTCCACACCTCCCTGCAAGCAGAGGGAGCCGGCTCCGATCTTGGCCAGCCCAGAGAGGGGCTCCCATAGTGCAGCAGCAGGCTGAAGGGCTCCTCAAGCATGGCCAGAGTGGGCTCTGAGGCCAGCGAGCAAGGGCTGCCAGCATGCTGTCACCTCTCACTTCCTTCTCTCTCTCTTTCTTTCATTTTTGAGACAGGGTCTCCCTCTGTCACCCAGGCTGGAATGCAGTGGAGCAATCTCAGCTCACTGCAGCCTCCACCTCCTGAGCTCAACCCCTCCCACCTCAGCCCCTACCACCTCCCCTCATCCTCCCACTTCAGCCCCTCAAGTAGCTGGGACCACAGGTGTGCACCACCATGCACAGCAAGTTTTTTCACTTTTTGTAGAGGCAGGGCTTGCTATGTTGCCCAGGCTGGTCTCGAACCCCTGATCTAAAGCGATCCTCCTGCCTCAGCCTCCCAAAGTGCTGGGATCACAGGCATGAGCCACCGCACCCAGCCTCCTGCTTTCTTTCTGCATCTCCCTCTGTTCCTCCTCTTGTTCATTTGTTCATTCATTTGACAAACATTCAGTGACACAGTCCAGTGCCAGAGCCCCCTCCTGGGTGCTGCAGATGTGGAAACGGGAAGCAGCCCCGATTCCTGACCCCTTGCTCTCATAGAGATCATGTCTGAGAACAGAAAAATGGGGCTTTTTTGTGGCTGTGCCGGGCCCAGGTCCTTCATCTTTCAGCTCCCAGCTGAATGTGGCCGTCTTATCTTATTTTCAGCAGCAAGACCCCGAAGGCCAGAAGGAAGAAACGGCAGGTCATGCAGTGACCCAGTGATAGAGTAGAACTACTAATTAGAGAAAGAAAAAGGTGGCCACAATTATGTAGCACTCATGGTGTGTGACGCCCCTTTCTAAGCACGTTAAACATATTAATTCTAATCACAGTCCACAAGACAGGTTCTGCTATAAGCCCCATTTAAAGGTGAAACAGATCCAGAGAGCAAGAAACTTACCCAATAATCACAGCTTGTAAGTGGCAGAGCTGGGATTTTGGAACTCATGCTGCCTGGCTATAGAGTCCTTGCTCTTAGCTGCTAAATGTCTGTCATCTGAGTAGCTGGCATGCTGGTTAAAAGTAAGGGGGATTGCCGGGCGCCGTGGCTCACACCTGTAATCCCAGCACTTTGGGAGGCTGAGGCAGGCGGATCACGAGGTCAGGAAATGGAGACTATCCTGGCTAACACAGTGAAACCCCGTCTCTACTAAAAATGTAAAAAATTAGCCGGGCATGGTGGCAGGCGCCTGTAGTCCCAGCTACTAGGGAGGCTGAGGCAGGAGAATGGCGTGAACCCAGGAGGCGGAGCTTGCAGTGAGCCGAGATCGCGCCACTACACGCCAGCCTGGGCGATAGAGTGAGACTACATCTCAAAAAAAAAAAAAAAAAAAAAAAAAGTAAGGGGGACTTTGGCCTCAGGCTGTGATCTGGATCCTATTTCCACTTGTCTTTTCACCTCTCTGTCCTGCCATTTTCTTTTCTTTTTATTTTTTATTTTTGAGCCAGGGTCTTGCTCTGTCGCCCAGGCTGGAGTGCAGTGGCGCGATCATAGCTGACCGCAGCCTGCAACTCCTGGGCTCAAACGATCCGCCCACCTCAGCCTCCGAAAGTGCTGGGATTACAGGTGACCATGCCCAGCCTCATGTGCAGCTAATTTTTTCATTGTTTGTAGAGAAGAGGTCTTGCAATGTTGCCCAGGCTGTTCTCAAAATCTTAGCCTCAAGCCATCCTCCTGCCTCTGCCTTCCAAAGTGCTGGGATTGCAGGTGTGAGCCACTACGCCCAGCCCCAAAATATACTTTTTTATTCATTTGTTTGCCTCCCCATGAGGACAGGGACTGTTGTCTGTATTGATCATTTATTGAGCAGCTCGTGTGCGCCAGGCCCTGTGCTAGGCCCAGGGGATGCAGCAGTGGACAGAAAGACAAAAACTCCTGTGTTCTCAGAGCTCACATTCTAGAAAGGGAGTCAGACCCTCAAGCAGATAAGGACCTAATTATAGGATAGCAGCTGTGCAGCCCGGAGGTAAGGCGGGGTCAGGATGCGGGGGATGGGGCCATCGTTGAGCCAGGTTGGCCAGGGAGGGCCTCTCTAGGAGGTGACCTTTGAGCTATAGCTGAAGGAAGTGAAGGAGTCAGTCTGTGGCTGTTGAAGAGGGAGGGATGGTTGTCAGCCCAAAGGTCCTTGGCTCCCTCCCTCTCCTCTGGGTCTTTACTCAAGGTCACCTTCTCAATGAGAAGATTCTGTACCACTGCACAGCCCTCAGGCAGTGATCTGGATCCTATTTCCACTTGTCTTTTCACCTCTCTGTCCTGCCATTTTCTTTTCTTTTTATTTTTTATTTTTGAGCCAGGGTCTTGCTCTGTCGCCCAGGCTGGAGTGCAGTGGTGCGATCATAGCTGACCGCAGCCTCCAACTCCTGGGCTCAAATGCACGTGCCCGCACACACACACACACACACACACACACACACAGAGTTGGAGACCAGTGTGCCCAAAGTAACAGGTTGGGAACAGTGCACACACACACACACACACACACACACACACAGAGTTGGAGGCCAGTGTGCCCAAAGTAACAGGTTGGGAACAGTGTTCATGCAGGGTAGTCATGACAAGGACGTTCCATTTTGTTCTAAGAGCCACAGGTGGGAAAAAGAGGGTCTGGGCCGGGCACGGTGGCTCACGCCTGTAATCCCAGCACTTTGGGAGGCCGAGGTGGGTGGATCACAAGGTCAGGAGTTTGAGACTAGCCTGGCCAACATGGCAAAACCCCGTCTCTACTAAAAATACAAAAATTAGCCGGGCATGGTGGTGGGCGCCTGTAATCCCAGCTACTTGGGAGGCTGAGGTAGGAGAATCACTTGAACCGGGAGGCGGAGGTTGCATTGAGCCGAGATCCTGCCACTGCACTCCAGCCTGGGCGACAAGAGCGAGACTCTGTCTGAAATAAAAAAAATAAAATAAAAAAAAAGAGGATCTGACCCAAGAAGGTGTCCACTGGCTTCCCCTGGCTGCCTGTAGGGAATAGACTGGGGACACAGGTGGAAACAGGGAGAGCAGGGTGGGCTCATGGAGAACAACTGATGCAGGAAAGGTCAGATTCAGGATCATCTTGAAGTTGGAGCCACAGAAATTGCTGCATCGTGAGATGTTTCTCATCTCAGGAAACATCACCACCATTGACTGCATTGCTCACGCTGCAGACCTTGAGTCCCAGGCTGTCTGGCATCTTGGGGAAAAGCATGGCCTCTGGAGCCAGCTGCATGGTTCCAGATTTTAAAATCCTACTTCTGATGCGGCATGGTGGCTCACACGTGTAATCCCAGTGCTTTGGGATGCCAAGGTGGGAGGATCGCTTGAGCCCAGGAGTTCAAGAGCAGCCTCGGCACAGTCCCAGCCACTCAGGAGGCTGAGGTGGGAGGATTGCTTGAACCTGGGAGTTCGAGGCTGCAGTGAGCCATGATCGTGCCACTGCACTCTAGCTGGTATAACAGAGTGAGACCCTGTCTCTAAAAACATTAATGAGTTAATTTAAATAGTTCATTACTCACTACTCACCAGCCAGTGTGACCCCCTTGGGCAAGTGCTTAACCTCTCTGTGCCTTAGTTTACCCATTGGTAACACAAATAGTAATAGGACCTAGCTGGTACGGTTGCTGTGAGGATTCTGTGAGTAATGACTCCACAAATATTAGCTTTTATTTCCTTCCCACCCAACATGCAATCAATCCCTCACCAAGTCCTGTGTGAGTTGTTTTTTTTCCGCCTTGGTGGTTTGGGGGTTCGAACCTGCTGTGCCTGGGTTCTGATCCCTGGTTGAGTCAATGGGTGGGGCCTGGGAGCCTGGATGAGCTCCATCATGCCTTCTCACCAGGTATTGACCTGATGGACATGGCTTCGGACATCCTGCAGCCCAAAGGAGATGATGTGGCCCGGATCAGCTGGTACCTCCGTGACATCATCACTCGATACCAGGAGACCTTCAACGTCATCGAGAGGGTGACTCTAGGGGTCTGGAGGGGATCTTTCTCCATACGCGCCTCCCCTGGGCCAGCCCTGACCCCACTCTTCCTGTTCCCTCTCAGTGCCCCAAGCCCGTGATTGCTGCCGTCCATGGGGGCTGCATTGGCGGAGGTGAGTCTGCGGCTATCCTCCTGCTCGGGTGCTCCCCAGGTGGGGCTGCTGCTCCGATGCCGCGGCCACTGGCATCCAGCCTCAGCTCTGTCATGGGCCAGACTGTGTCCCAAGAGGCAGCCCCACCTCCCGGGAGCCAGGGTTGGTTCTGGTGGTCATTCAGCATCCCTGGCCTCTACCTCCTAGGTGTGGACCTTGTCACCGCCTGTGACATCCGGTACTGTGCCCAGGATGCTTTCTTCCAGGTGAAGGTGAGTCATCCTCCCGAGCTCCTGCTTAGAGCTGGGCAGTGGGGTGAGGTTGGGGGGCCTGGAGTGAGCCTCGAGGGCTTCATGGAAGAGTCGGAGTTGAACCCGACAAAGTAAGACTTGCCCATAGAGGAAGTCAAGAGGTGAAGTTGTGAGTGGGTAAGGTATGAGGTGGGGTTGAGGCTGGCAGGTGTCAGAGGCAGAGATTGCTCCTGGGGCCATACTGGTGAGGGTGGGAGGCAGGATGGAGCCGGGGGATGCAGTAAAGGGGTCTCAGGTAGGGTGAGGAGGGTTCCTCTCTCACAGATGGAGCTGCCCTGAGGGAATGGGAGGGTGCATGAGTGGGAAGGTGGGCTCTATTCTAGGTTGAAGGAACTTGCCTGAGTCAAGAAGCTGCCTGGGCAATGGAATGGGACTTTGGAGGAAGTCACTGGGGTGAAGGTGGGGCGGGACTCTCCAGTAGACATGAAATTTCATGGACGTTGACATTGCGAGGGGCACAGTATTGGGCAGAAACCAAACACTGACCCGATTCCTCCCCCAGGAGGTGGACGTGGGTTTGGCTGCCGATGTAGGAACACTGCAGCGCCTGCCCAAGGTCATCGGGAACCAGAGGTGGGTGCAGGGGGTGTGGGGGTGTGGGCAGGAGACCCCAGAGCATCTCCCAGCCCCGGGGTGGCAGCCGCCTCCTGATGCACGCTTGCCTTTGCAGCCTGGTCAACGAGCTGGCCTTCACCGCCCGCAAGATGATGGCTGACGAGGCCCTGGGCAGTGGGCTGGTCAGGTAGGGCCATGGCCGTGGTAGCTCAGTGCTGGGGGCAGCCAGGCCTGGAGGGTTGGAGGCCTCTCCGGGTCCCCTTGTCTCCTCGCTCTAGAATTCCTAGTGGCATCCTTTCTTGGTGAGCTCATTTCTTTATTGTGGGGTCAGCCCCCTGCTCTGATTGGGCTGTTTCTCTGGGGTCTTGGGCCTTCCTCTGTGAGTGGCCACTTCTTCATCTGCGGGAGGCTGGAGGAGAGAGCCCTTCCCAGCCCACCCGGTCCCTGATCTCTTTCACTGCAGCCGGGTGTTCCCAGACAAAGAGGTCATGCTGGATGCTGCCTTAGCGCTGGCGGCCGAGATTTCCAGCAAGAGCCCCGTGGCGGTGCAGAGCACCAAGGTCAACCTGCTGTATTCCCGCGACCATTCGGTGGCCGAGAGCCTCAACTACGTGGTAAGGTGCACGCTCCGACCAATCACAGCCCTCCTCTAACCCCAGGCGACCAACCAGGGTGCAGGGTGCTCTCATGCTTTATCCTGATTGGCCCCTGCTAATCTCTCTCCTCGTTCTCTCTCAACACCCTCGGTACCAGGCGTCCTGGAACATGAGCATGCTGCAGACCCAAGACCTCGTGAAGTCGGTCCAGGCCACGACTGAGAACAAGGAACTGAAAACCGTCACCTTCTCCAAGCTCTGAGAGCCCTCGCGTCCCAGGCCCCAGCCAGGGGGCCGGCCTTGTCCCGCCTCATCCACAGAAAGGGAGGATGGGCGATGACAGTTGTTTCTATGCCTTCTGACCCAGTTTCCCAGTTTATAACTTTATGACAATGAGTTTCTCAAGCCCAAGGCCTTATCTTCACCCCACAAACAATAAAGCAAAGTAAAGAACCTGGTGCCCTTCTTGGATAGAGGAGAGGTGGGAGGGGCTGGGATGCACCTAGGGGCTCCAGAGACTGCAGTCCTGAAGGCTGGGGCTAGAGGTTGGATGCATGGGAATGGGTGGCATGGAGGTGATGGCCATTCAGACTGGCAGCGGGCAGGCGAGGGGCACAAGGAATTCCGGGGCGGAGGGAGTGAGCAAAAGTCGCTGGGGTCCCTCTGGGTTGCAAGGCTTCCTGGTCTCCCTGCCTGCCCTGGGGTTGAGGGTGGCGTTCGTGCCCTGCCTGGCACCTCTCACTGCACAGCACATGGGATCTGATGCTGGCGTCTCACACCTGTAATCCCAGCACTTTTGGAGGCTGACGCAGGTGGATTGCCTGAGCTCAGGAGTTTGCAACCAGCCTAGTCAACATGTTGAAACCCAGTCTCTACTAAAAATACAAAAATTAGCTAGGTGTGGTGGCAGGTGCCTCTAGTCCCAGCTACTCGGGAGGCTGAGGCAGGAGAATCCTTGAACCCAGGAGGTGAGTTTGCAGTGAGCTGAGATCATGCTGCTGCAGTCCAGCCTGGGTGACAGAGTGAGACTCTGTCTCAAAAAAAGAAAAAACAAAACAAAAAAGGACTTTGGGGTTTCTGGCCGGGTGCAGTGGCTCATGCCTGTAATTCCAGCACTTTGGGAGGTTGAGGCAGGTGGATCACTTGAGGTCAGGAGTTTGAGACCAGCCTGGCCAACATGGCAAAACCTGGTCTCTACTAAAAATACAAAAATTAGCCAGGCGTGGAGTAAGCCTGTAATCCCAGCTATTCAGAAGGCTGAGGCAGGAGAATCCCTTGAACCTGGGAGGTGGAGGTTGCAGTGAGCTGAGATGGTGCCACTGCACTGCAGCCTGGGTGATAGAGCAAGACTCTGTCTCAAAAATGAGCAAACAAAACTTTGGGATTTTTTATCCATATATCATCCCAATCTTCCGGATTTATGTTTGGAATGACTGCAAGAGACCAAGCATTAAGTTAATGACTTCTATATGCTATGTCCTGTTCTGAGCATTTATTATCTTAATGATCAAGGACTCTATGAAGTTGATACTATTATGATTATTATTATTATGACTATTATTGTTGCTATTTTTAGAGACGGACTCTTAGTCTGTCACCCAGGCTGGAGTGCAGTGGCATGATCATAGCTCACTGTAACCTTAACTCCTGGGTTCAAGCGATCCTCCTGCCTCAGCCTCTGAGTAGCTAGGAATACAGATGTGTGCTACCATGCCCAGCTAATTTTTATTTTATTTTTGTAGAGATGGGGGTCTCACTATGTTGCCCAGGCTGGTCTTGAACTCCTGGGCTCAAGCAGTCCTCCTGCTTCAGCTTCCCAAATTGCTGGGATTGTAGGCACAAGCCACCACACCCAGCCTAAGGTTGATACTACTCTTTTCTTTATTTATTTATTTTTCTGAGTGGCAGTTGGACCCACAGCTAGAACTTATTTGGCAGATTAATAACATACAGGCATTACTGGATCACAAATTCATTTTTAAAATATTTTGATAGCTATTCAATACTTGTTTCCTCTCTTATGAATTCCTTTTTTTTTTTTTTTTTTTTTGAAACAGAGTCTCCATCTGTCATCCAAGCTGGAGTGCAGTGGCGTGACCTTGGCTCACTGCACTCTCCTCCACTCAGGTTCAAGTGATTCTCCTGCCTCAGCCTCCAAGTAGATGGGATTATAGGCACCCACCACCATGCCTGGCTAATTTTTGTATTTTTAGTAGAGACTGGGATTTTGCCAGGCTGGTCTCGAACTCCTGCCCTCAGGTGATCCATCCACCTCGGCCAGTCAAAGTGCTGGGATTACAGGCATGAGCCACTGCACCCAGCCGATACTACTATATCCCCATTTTACAGATGAGCACATGGGCAAATTGAGGGTAAGGCACTGACCCATGATCATACAGCTGAGAAGTGGCAAAGGCAGGATTTGAACCTAGAACCTCTGGCTCCACACACTAGTAATCTAAACCACTCTCCCTACAATACAACATACGTGGTAAAGATGTGTGGTGGGCACGCAATCAACGTAGGTCCCTTCACAGTTGCTGGGAGAGGCAGGAATTTGCAGTTCCTCCGCGTTCTCCTCCTCCGCTGCCCACCTGTCCTGGGTCATTCCTGCAGCCTGCCCTGCCCTGCCTGGTCTCACCCTCCCTCTGCCAACAGAAGTCTGGGCAGGGTTTTATGGGCTCTGATAAGGCCCTGGCAGGGCCGAAGTTCATGAGCACTTCCTCTTTGCAGGAGGGCGTAGGGGAGGGGACCCAGGTGATTTGGGTCCTGGCTGGTCACCAGGGAAGCTGGCAAGGGAAGGGAGACTAGGGTGCGCTCTAGGAGAAGCCGACAGCCTGAGAGTCCCAGAAGAGGAGCCCTGTGGACCCTCCCCTGCCAGCCACTCCCTTACCCTGGGTATAAGAGCCACCACCGCCTGCCATCCGCCACCATCTCCCACTCCTGCAGCTCTTCTCACAGGACCAGCCACTAGCGCAGCCTCGAGCGATGGCCTATGTCCCCGCACCGGGCTACCAGCCCACCTACAACCCGGTGAGATGCCAGCTCAGGCCCCACTCCGCCCGCAGCTCCGTCCATAAGCCCTCACACCAATTTTCCCCACTCTGATCCTGGGGGGCCCCATCTGACTCTGTGGTCTGATTTACCCAAAGCTGACCCCGACCCTCGATTTACTCCTACCCTGACCTCAGGCTGTCTGTGTCCACGTCTAACTGTTGGCCCTCGTCATCTTCAACCTGGTCCTCCCCCATGGTTTCCTCTCTCCTGCTTAAGGGACTGGGGGGCTTTTCTGGGAGGGGTAAAGGCTGCAACAGGCAGATGGCTTGTGAGTCCCCTCACCAGGCCTCTTCTCCAGACGCTGCCTTACTACCAGCCCATCCCGGGCGGGCTCAACGTGGGAATGTCTGTTTACATCCAAGGAGTGGCCAGCGAGCACATGAAGCGGTAAGACCCTCCCCAAGCCAGGCCGGGCTGGCAGGGGACTTCCAACTGGGTGCTCTGGGCCTGGCTGTTGGGGGCTTTCTGCCCTTACCCCACCCTGGTGGAGAGGGGACTCTTTTTCTGCCCCACCCAATAGCCAGAGATGAATCTGGGGCAGATCAGGAGTGGGGACGTGGGGGCCAGAAGGTTCAGGGAGGGCTCACCGTGAGAGGCAGTCCCTGAGTTGGACATTAGACTGAAGCTGATGGGTGCAATGGCAGGAATTCAGATCACAGGCTCAGAGCCGGGTCCCCGAGTTAAAATCCCAGCTCTGCCACTCCCCAGCTCTGTGTTGGTGAAAGAGTGAAAGTGACTATACCTCTCTGTGCTTCATTTTCTTTTCTTTTCTGTTTTTGTTTTTTTTGTTTTTTTTTTTGTTTTGAGATGGAGTTTTGCTCTTGTCGCCCAGGCTGGAGTGCAATGGCATGATCTTGGCTCACTGCAACCTCTGTCTCCCAGGTTCAAGCGATTCTCCTGCCTCAGCCTCTTGAGTAGCTGGGATTACAGGCATGTGCCAGCACACTGGCTAATTTTTGTATTTTTAGTAGAGATGGGGTTTCACCATGTTGGTCAGGCTGGTCTCGAACTCCTGACCTCAAGTGATCCTCCCATCTCGGCCTCCCAAAGTGCTGGGATTACAGGCGTGAGCCACTGCGCCTGGCCCAGTCTTAGCTTTTTAAAAAGGGCCTTAACACGTTGATAATGATTGGCCTCATAGGACTTTTTTTTTCCTTAGAGATAGGGTCTTGCTCTGTTGCCCAAGCTGGAGTGCAGTGGCACAATATTATAGCTCACTTCGGCCTCCAACTCCTGGGCTAAAGTGATCCTCCTACCTCATCTTTCCAAGCAGATGGGACTACAGACATGTGCCACCATGCCCAACTAATTTAATTTTTAATTTTTATTTATTATTATTATTTGTTTTGTAGAGACAAAGTCTTGTTATGTTGCCCAGGCTGGTCTTGAACTCCTGTGCTCAAGCGATCCTCTAGCCTCGGCCTCCTAAAGTGCTGGGAGGATCAGGCACTGGTATGAGCCACTCTGCCCAGCCTGTTGTTTATTTATTTATTGTTTACTTCTTCACTGAGTGCCTATTCTGTGTCCTGGCACTAGGGATGGAGGAGTGAACAGGACAGAGACCCCTGCCCTCGTGGAGCTGATGTCCTAGTAGGGGAAACATAAAAAATAAGTCCAGGCCGGGCGCGGTAGCTCAGGCCTGTAATCCCAGCACTTTAGGAGGCCTAGGCAGGCAGATCACCTGAGATCGGGAGTTCAAGACCAGCCTGACCAAAATGGAGAAACCCTGTCTCTACTAAAAATACAAAATTACCAGGGCGTGGTGGCGCATGCCTGTAATCCCAGCTACTCAGGAGGCTGAGGCAGGAGAATCACTTGAACCTGGGAAGTGGAGGTTTCGGTGAGCCGAGATCGTGCCATTGCACTACAGCCTGGGCAACAAGAGTGAGACTCTGTCTCAAAAAAAAAAAAAAAAAAAGTCAAATATGTAAGATGTCAGATGATATTAAGTGCTATGAAGAAAATGAGGAGGGAAGGGAGATGGGGAGTGTATGTGCGGACAGAGGTTCCCTTTAAATTGTCCCCTTAAATAGG
This sequence comes from Homo sapiens, assembly GCF_000001405.40. Taxonomy (NCBI): domain Eukaryota; kingdom Metazoa; phylum Chordata; class Mammalia; order Primates; family Hominidae; genus Homo; species Homo sapiens. The sequence continues at coordinate 38,810,783 of NC_000019.10, read as the reverse complement.
GTGGCCTGGCCGGGCATGGTGGCTTACGCCTGTAATCCCAGCACTTTGGGTGGCTAAGCCAGGCAGATCACCTGAGGTCAGGAGCTCGAGACTAGCCTGGCCAAAATGGCAAAATCGCATCTGGCTGGGCGTGGTGGCTCACGTCTGTAATCCCAGCACTTTGGGAGGCAGAGACGGGCGGATCACGAGGTCAGGAGATCGAGACCATCCTGGCTAACACAGTGAAACCCCGTCTCTACTAAAAATACAAAAAATTAGCTGGGCATGGTGGCGGGTGCCTGTAGTCCCAGCTACTCGGGAGGCTGAGGCAGGAGAATGGCGTGAAACCAGGAGGCGGAGCTTGCAGTGAGCCAAGATTGCGCCACTGCACTCCAGCCTGGGCGAAAGAGCGAGACTCCATCTCAAAAAAAAAAAAAAAAAAAAAAAAAAGGCGAAATCTCATCTCTGCTGAAAATACAAAATTAGCCAGGCATGGTGACAGGTGCCTGTAATCCCAGCTACTTGAGAGCCTGATGTGGGAGAATCACTTGAATCCTGAAGGCAGAGTTTGCAGTGAGCTGAGATCGCATCACTGCACTCCAGCCTAGGTGACAAAGGGAGACTGTCTCAAAAAAATTAAAAAGGTGGCCAGAGAAGGCCTGCCTGGGAAGGGAACATATCAGCAAAGAACAGAAGGAACGGAGAGAGGGATCCCCAGGGACAGCTGAGGGAAGGGCCTTCCAGGCAGAGGGAACAGCCAGTGCAAAGGCCCTGAGACAGGCCTGTCCTGGGGAGTAATTTCAAGGATGCTGGTGTGCCCAGGGGTGCGGAATATGATGCGTCATGGGTGTACACAGGGACCCTCTGGCTGCATGAGGGAAATGATCTTCAGGGCCAGGAGGGGAGCAGGGAGACCCAAAGTGCATAGGACAGGGCCTGGCCCGTGGCAGACTTGTAACAGTCATAACTGGAAGTTGGGAAGAGGGTGGAGGAGGTGGTCTAAGAAGGCAAGGTGGGCTGGGTACAGCAACTCACACCTGTAATCCCAGCACTCTGAGAGGCCGAGGTGGTAGGATTGCTTGAGCCCGGGAGTTTGAGACCAGCCTCGGCAACATAGTGAGACCCCATCTCTACAAAAAAAAAAAAAAAAAAAAAAAAAAGCCAGGCATAGTGGCATGCACCTGTAGTCCCAGCTACTAGGGAGGCTGAGGCAGGAGAATCAGTTGACCCAGGAGGTTGAGGCTGCAGTGAGCCACCATCGTGGCCACTGTACTCCAGCCTGGGGGACAGGGTGAGAACACAAGACCCTGTCTCAAGAAAAAAAATGTCAGGCACGGTGTCTCACACCTGTAATCCCAGCACTTTGGGAAGCCGAGGCAGGTGGATCACCTGAGGTCAGGAGTTTGAGATCAGCCTGGCCAACATGGTGAAACCCTGTCTCTACTAAAAATACAAAAATTAGCCGGACGTGGTGGTGCACGCCTGTAATCCCAGCTACTTGGGAGGCTGAGGCAGGAGAATCACTGGAATCCAGGAGGCGGAGGTTGCAGTGAGCTGAGATCGCGGCACTCCAACTCCAGCCTGGGCAACAGAGCAAGACTCCATCTCAAAAAAAAAAAAAAAAAAAAAAAGAAGGAAAGGCTGTGAGCGAAGGTGTGGTGGTGGGAATCTGCCCCCCTCAGAACTCAGGTCCTCTCCACGCTGTGGCCCACAGTGCCAAGGTTGCCCCTCAGAGCTGGTGCTGAGGTCCGGGCCAGGGAGGCCGAGGACAGGGCGGCAGGGAGAGGGCTTCCTGGAGGAGGCCCCCAGGCCCCGGGAGGTGGCACCAGGGGAATGAGCCCTTTGTGTCCCGCCAGGTTCTTCGTGAACTTTGTGGTTGGGCAGGATCCGGGCTCAGACGTCGCCTTCCACTTCAATCCGCGGTTTGACGGCTGGGACAAGGTGGTCTTCAACACGTTGCAGGGCGGGAAGTGGGGCAGCGAGGAGAGGAAGAGGAGCATGCCCTTCAAAAAGGGTGCCGCCTTTGAGCTGGTCTTCATAGTCCTGGCTGAGCACTACAAGGTCTGCATGCTTTCTCTCTTGTTTCCCAAGCTGGAGTGCAGTGGCGCCATCTTGGCTGCTTCCTTCCTTCCCGCCTTCCTTCCTTTTCTTTCTTTCTTTCTTTTTTTTTTTTTTTTTTTTGAGATGGAGTTTCACTCTGTTGCCCAGGCTGGAGTGCAGTGGCATGATCTCAGCTTACTGCAACCTCTGCCTGCTGGGTTCAAGAGCTTCTCCTGCCTCAGCCTCCCGAGTAGCTGGGATTATAGGCGCGTGCCACCACGCTCAGCTAATTTCTGTATTTTGAGTAGAGATGGGGTTTCACCATGTTGCCCAGGCTGGCCTCGAACTCCCGACCTCAGGTGTTCTGCCCTCCTTGGCCTCCCAAAGTGCTGGAATTACAGGCGTGAGCCACCACACCCAGCCCCTTCCTTCTTTTTCCTCTTTTTCCTTCCTCTTTCTCTGTTCTCTCCTCTTTCCTCCCCTCCTTCCTTCCCCCTTCCCTCCTCTCTTCTTCCTTCTCTCTCCTTCCCTCCTTCATTTATTTCCTTTTTCCATCCCCACTTTTTATGTCAACTTCTTTCTTTTCTTTTCCTTCTTTCCTGCCTATTTTATTTTATTTTATTATTTATTTATTTATTTATTTTTATTTATTGATCATTCTTGGGTGTTTCTCAGAGAGGGGGATGTGGCAGGGTCATAGGATAATAGTGGAGAGAAGGTCAGCAGATAAACACGTGAACAAAGGTCTCTGGTTTTCCTAGGCAGAGGGCCCTGCGGCCTTCCACAGTGTTTGTGTCCCTGGGTACTTGAGATTAGGGAGTGGTGATGACTCTTAAGGAGCATGCTGCCTTCAAGCCTCTGTTTAACAAAGCACATCCTGCACAGCCCTTAATCCATTTAACCCTGAGTTGACACACCACATGTCTCAGGGAACACAGGGTAAGGTTACAGATTAACAGCAACTCAAGGCAGAAGAATTTTTCTTAGTACAGAACAAAATGGAGTCTTCTATGTCTACTTCTTTCTACACAGACACAGTAACAATCTGATCTCTCTTTCTTTTCCCCACATTTCCCCCTTTTCTTTTCGACAAAACCGCCATCGTCATCATGGCCCATTCTTGATGGTCGCTGTCTCTTCGGAGCTGTTGGGTACACTTCCCAGACAGGGCGGCCTGGCAGAGGCGCTCCTCACTTCCCAGACGGGGCGGCCGGGCAGAGGCGCTCCTCACCTCCCAGACGAAGGGCGGCCGTTTCCTGCCTATTTTTAAAAATCCTCTTTTAGCGCTTTTCCTTAGTCCCATTACCCTACTGCTGAGAGTCTTGTAATACATTTCATGTGTATTTCCTCCTACCACTTTGTGTTTTTTGCAAAACGTGTACTTTTTGTTTTCCTCTTGAGACTGGGTCTCGCTCTGTTGCCCAGGCTGGAGTGCAGTGATGCAAACAGCTCACTACAGCCTCAACCTCCCCGGGCTCAGGTGATCCTCTCACATTAGCCTCCGGAGTAGCTGGGACTCTAGGTGCACACCACCACGCCCGGCTAATTTTTGTATATTTTTGTAAAGACGGGGTCTTGCTATGTTTCTCAAGCTGGTCTCGAACTCTTGATCTCAAATGATCCCCCACCTTGGCTTCCTAAAGTGCTGGGATTACAGGCATGAGCCACTGCGCCCGGCCAGTGAGCTGATTTTTGACCTTAGCTTGACCTCTGAGCTGTGGACTCCAAGGTTCCTGATGCTGAGGCTGTCCCAGCTCATCCCCAAGACTATCGACTCCCAATGAAAAAGATCCCTGATCCTTGCTTTTTTTTTTTTTTGAGACAGAGTCTTGCTCTGTCACCCAAGCTGGAGTGCAGCAGCGTGATCTCCACTCACTGCAACCTCCACCTCCCGGGTTCAGGCGATTCTCCTGCCTCAGCCTCCTGAGTATCTGGGATTACAGGAGCCCGCCACCATGCCTGGCTAATTTTTGTATTTTTAGTAGAGATGGGGTTTCACTATGTTGGCCAGACTGGTCTCACACTCCTGATCTCAAATGATCCACCCCCCTCAGCCTCCCAAAGTGCTGGGATTAGAGGCGTGAGCCAGGGTGCCCTGCCCTTGCTTCCTGTTTGTACCTTCCCAGGATCATGGGTGCTGACTCCTGACCTCCCATCTCTGCCCTCCAGGTGGTGGTAAATGGAAATCCCTTCTATGAGTACGGGCACCGGCTTCCCCTACAGATGGTCACCCACCTGCAAGTGGATGGGGATCTGCAACTTCAATCAATCAACTTCATCGGAGGCCAGCCCCTCCGGCCCCAGGTGTGAGGGGTCCCATCCCTTCTTGCGTCCTTTCTTTCTAAATTCAGTTCCACATTCATTTTTTTTCTTTTTTTCTTTTTTTCTTTTTTTTTTGAGACGGAGTCTCACTCTGTCGCCCAGGTTGGAGTGCAGTGGCGCGATCTTGGCTCACTGCAAGCTCCGCCTCCCAGGTTCACGCCATTCTCCTGCCTCAGCCTCCCAAATAGCTGGGACTACAGGAGCCTGCCACCACGCCCGGCTAATTTTTTTGTATTTTTAGTAGAGACAGGGTTTCACTGTGTTAGCCAAGATGGTCTCGATCTCCTTACCTCATGATCCACCCACCTCGACTTCCCAAAGTGCTGGGATTACAGGCGTGAGCCACCGCAGTTGGTCTATTTTTTCTTTTTGAGATGGAGTCTTGCTCTGTCTCCCAGGCTGGAGTACAGTGGTGTGATTCTGGCTCACTGCAACCTCTGCCTCCCAGTTTTAAGCAATTCTCCTGCCTCAGCCTCCCAAGTAGCTGGGATTACAGGCACCCACCATCACATCTGGCTAATTTTTGTATTTTTAGTAGAGACGGGGTTTCACCATGTTGGCCAGGCTGGTCTGGAACTCCTGGCCTCAAGTGATCTGCTGGCTACAGTCTCCCAGAGTGCTGGGATTACAGGTGTGAGCCATGGTGCCCAGCGCATTCCACATTCATTTATTTCCCAAGCATCTCCCTCTGCTGAGTTATGCCAAGAGCCCAGTGATGATCAAGGGATCCCACTGGGAAGACAGACCCATCACTGCAAGGGATAAAGGCCGGGATGGGGAGGCCCTGGCTGAAGGGTTGCAGTTGGGTTTGGGCCCAGACAGAGGGATCAGGGCCAGGACAGGAGGGTGGGTGGAGGCAGGCAGAGGGGTCAGGCCCAGGGCTGGAGACAGGAATGACTGAGATATCTCTGGGCCCTGACCTCACTGGGCTCACAGACATGGCATCAGAGAGTGACAGCCCAGAAATGGTCAGGTCTGTGATAGGGAGGGCACAGGCAGAGGGGCAGGGGCTGGGATATGGAGTATACAGGAGGTTTGGGAGCCTACAGGAAGGGCTTGACTAGTCATGGGTCAGGAAGGAAGTGCTTCCTGGAGTAGGAGGAAGTGTGTAAGGTGAGTCAGAAAGTGAGGATAAGGAAAGGCAAAGAACACACGATAGTGAATGAATTCCCTAGAGGTTGCTTAACACAATCATTAAAAATAAATAACATACAATTAAATTGAGTTTATCAATATTATTATTATTATTATTATTATTATTATTATTATTATTATTTTTGAGGCAGGGTCTGGCTCTGTCACCCAGGCTGGAGTGTGGTGGTGCAATCACAGCCTACTGTATTCTTGACTTCCTGGGTTCAAGTGATCCTCCCACCTCAGTCTCCTGAGTAGCTGGGACTACAGGCACGCACCACCAGCCCCAGCTAGTTTTTAAATTTTTTGTAAAGACAGAGGGGAGGAATTTTCCTATGTTGTCCAGGCTGGTCTTGAACTCCTGACCTCAGGTGATCCACCCACCTCAGCCTCCCAAAGTCCTGAGATTACAGGCGTGAGCCACAGCCCCCGGCTTATAAAGCTACGTTTATTTGTTTGTTTGTTTTTTGTTTTTTGTTTTTTTTTTAGATGGAGTCTTGCTCTGTGGCCCAGGTTGGAGTGCAGTGGCATGATCTCAGCTCACTGCACCCTCTGCCTCCCAGGTTTAAGGAATTCTTCCTCAGCCTCCCAAGTAGCTGTGATTACAGGCACCTGCCACCACGCCCGGCTATATAAAGCTACTTTTAAAAGGCCTTCAGAATAGCTGGCTGAGAATAGAAGTCAAGGCAGAATGGAGTTAATTACAAGGAGGAGAAAAGAGAAGGTAACAGAGAGAAAGAGAGAGAGTAAAAGTTAAAGGTGTTAGACTTGGGAGGGTGAGGCGAGCGGATCACCTGAGGTCGGGAGTTTGAGACCAGCCTGACCAACATGGAGAAACCCCATCTCTATTAAAAATACAAAATTAGCTGGGCGTGGTGGCGCATGCTTGTAATCCCAGCTACACCGGAGGCTGAGGCAGGAGAATCACTTGAACCCAGGAGGCAGAGGTTGAGGTGAGCAGAGATCGTGCCACTGCACGGCACCCTGGGCAACAAGAGCGAAATTCCATCTCAAATAAATAAATAAAAGTGTTTGGCAGAAGGAAGCCCCTGCGCTGAGGTGTGGCCAAGACAGAGAGAGAGGCAGAGACACAGGGACAGAGGCAGAAACTGAGATCAAGATCAGCGAGTGAGGGCCCCGGGACAGCAGGAAGACAGCAAGGGGAAGGGCACAGAGAACAAAATGGACCAAGCATTGTCCTAAAGCTTTGGGGTGACTCACTGGGCATCAGCGATCCCAGAACATGGGGTGCCCCTCTCCGTGAATCTGTGATCGGGGTGCCACCCTTTGATGCCAGAGTTCTCTGGCATAGTGGTGGTGGTGGTGGGCCACCCCAGGGCAGGCACTCTCGACATCTTTCAGTCGCAAATCTGGGGACCCTCTCATAACCGCTTTCTCTTTCTGTGCCCACAGGGACCCCCGATGATGCCACCTTACCCTGTAAGTACTTGCTGATAGGTGAGGGTCTTCCTCCCTAGTGGGGTCCCTCAGCCCCTCTCACCCTTCCTGCCTTCTGTCCATCGTTCAGGGTCCCGGACATTGCCATCAACAGCTGAACAGCCTGCCCGTGAGTGGGAGGGCTGGGAGGGCCCCGGGTGAGGAGTGGGAATGGTGAGAATTGGGGTAGGGGGAGCTAAGAGGGGTTGCAGCCCAAGGTGTACTAACCCAGCACCTAGAGAAACGCCGGAGTCTAATGGGTGTGTCATAGATATCTGTCGACTCTTGGAGAATAATATCGCTTCTTCCTCACTTCACAGACCATGGAAGGACCCCCAACCTTCAACCCGGTATGGCTTGGGGAAACAGAGATGGATGGTGGGGAGGGGGCACGGATCTCCAGGGAATCTGAGACAGCCAGAAAGGGAGTGGGCTGAGGGTTTTGGGGTGGGAGGTAGGGGAAGGGTAGATAGAGTTCGTGGTCAGGTTTAGGGAGCAGAAGGAATTGGGGATGTTTTCCAGGAGGAGTGGGACCTCTCAGAAAATTTGTTCTTGGGCTGGACATGGTGGCTCACGCCTGTAATCCCAGCACTTTGGGATGCCAAGGCGGACAGATCACGAGGTCAGGAGATCGATCGAGACCATCCTGGCCAGCATAGTGAAACTCTGTCTCTACTAAAAATACAAAAATTAGCTGGGCATGGTGGCGCGCGCCTGTAATCCCAGCTACTCAGGAAGCTGAGGCAGGAGAATCGCTTGAACCAGGGAGTCGGAGGTTGCAGTGAGCCGGGATCGTGCCACAGTACTCCAACCTGGTGACAGAACGAGACTCCATCTCAAAAAAAAAAAAAAAAAAAAAAAAAGAAAAAGAAAAGAAAAAGAAAATTTATTCTTGGCCAGACACGGTGGCTCATGCCTATAATCCCAGCCCTTTGGGAGGCCAAGGCAGGTGGATCACTTGAGGTCAAGAGTTCCAGATCAGCCTGGTCAACATGATGAATCCCCGTCTCTACTAAAATGACAAAAGTTAGCCAGGTGTGGTGGCGCACACCTGTAATCCCAGCTACTAGGAAGGCTGAGGCAGCAGAATTGCTTGAACCTAGGAGGCAGAGGTTGCAGTGAGCTGAGATTATGCCACTACACTCCAGCCTGGGCGTCAGAGGGAGACTCTGCCTAAAAAAAAAAACAAAATTTGTTCCTTTGTTCCTGCAAGGCTGGGCGTGGTGGCTCACGCCTGTAATCCCAGCACTTCGGGAGGCTGAGATGGGAGGATTGCTTGAGCCCAGCAGTTTGAGGCTGCAGTGAGGCTTGATCATGCCACTGCACTCCAGCCTGGGTGACAGAGTAAGACCCCATCTCTTATAAGAAAAAAAGACAGGAAAGAAAAGAAAAGAAAAAGAAAATTTCTTCCCACATCTGGCTCTGCTAAGCTGAGAGAGAATGGGACCCCCCGTTCTCTTCCCACAGCCTGTGCCATATTTCGGGAGGCTGCAAGGAGGGCTCACAGCTCGAAGAACCATCATCATCAAGGGCTATGTGCCTCCCACAGGCAAGAGGTATAACGTAAACTAGGTGGGAACCCCCAGCCCCCTCCTCCCTCAGACCCAACAATCTAGACCCTCTGTCCCCTCCTCCTTTAGGGATTCAGAGGTCCAGCCCACTGGCCTCTTCCCACTGGACTCCATCTGACTCCCCCATCCCTCTCTGTCCCCAGCTTTGCTATCAACTTCAAGGTGGGCTCCTCAGGGGACATAGCTCTGCACATTAATCCCCGCATGGGCAACGGTACCGTGGTCCGGAACAGCCTTCTGAATGGCTCGTGGGGATCCGAGGAGAAGAAGATCACCCACAACCCATTTGGTCCCGGACAGTTCTTTGATGTGAGTCTGAGCTCTCTTTTCCCACTTCCTTCCAGGGCCTCAGTCCTGGCCCTGGCCTCATGCCCACCCTTCTCCCTGCAGCTGTCCATTCGCTGTGGCTTGGATCGCTTCAAGGTTTACGCCAATGGCCAGCACCTCTTTGACTTTGCCCATCGCCTCTCGGCCTTCCAGAGGGTGGACACATTGGAAATCCAGGGTGATGTCACCTTGTCCTATGTCCAGATCTAATCTATTCCTGGGGCCATAACTCATGGGAAAACAGAATTATCCCCTAGGACTCCTTTCTAAGCCCCTAATAAAATGTCTGAGGGTGTCTCATGAGTGTGTGTCTCCATCTGCTCCCCGGCTACTCTTCCCTTCCTTGGTTCAGTCATGCACTTCATCTATCCTTCATCCATCCAGTCATCTGACCATCCATCCTCCTGTCATCATAAATCTGGTTATGCCCCAAGCACTGATTTAGGGCTCATTCACTTCTCACAGCAACCCCAAGAGGTAGAAACAATTATTATCATCCCTCTGTAACAGATGAGGAAACAAAGGAAAATAAAACAAATTGCCCAAATTATACATTGCATAAATGGCAGAAGGAGGATTCAAATCCAGCTGATCTGGCTCCCAAGGATCTGCACACTTAACCACTATACAGCCTGTCGTTCCATCCATCCATGCATCCATCTCTCCACTCGTGTATCCCAACATCCATCAATCTCTCCATGTATCCAACCAAAAGTCCATCCAACCATCCATCAATCAAACATCCAACCATCTAGACCTCATCAATCCATCCATTGAGCTGATTGTTCAACCATCCTTTCATCCAACCCTTTATCCATCTACCCATCCATTTACCTCTGCACTCATCATCTCATCGTCAATCTCTCCAAACATCCAGTCAACCATATGTTCACCCATTCATCCAAACATGCAACTATTCATCTACTCACCAGTCTGTCTAGCTCTATCCAGCTGTTTATCCATCCATTCTTTCATTCAACCTTTTATCCATCACCCATGCATCTGATCATCCATCATCTTCTCCATCCATCCAAACATCTAACCATATACCAGTCTATCTGTCTATTCATTCAGCCATCCTTACGAAGTCTAACTTTCGTCCATCCATTCATTTATTCATCCCTCCATTTGTCCATGTAATTCTCTGCTTTCCATCACAGTCATCCATTTGTCCTCCATATGCCCATTCATCCCTCCATTCAGCAATTCATCACTTTTCCATCTCTTTCTATCCAATTATCCATTCATCTCTTCATTATCTATTTTTTTCCAACCCTTTTCCAACTCAAGCTGGAAAGTTATCCATTCATTTATATTTTCTTCTCTCCATCTGTCCACCCAACCATGCTTTCATCAAATCACTCTTTTGCTGATTTCATCATTCATTGATTTCTTGTTTTTATTTTTATTTATTTTTTTTTTGAGACAGAGTTTTGCTCTTGTCATCCAGGCTGGAGTGCAATGGTGCTGTCTCAGGTCACTGCAACTGCCATCTCCCGTTCAAGCAATTCTCCTGCCTCAGCCTCCTGAGTAGCTGGAATTACAGGCACCCACCACCACGCCCAGCTAATTTTTGTATTTTTAGTAGAGACAGGGTTTTGCCATGTTGGCCAGGCTGGTCTTGAACTCCTGACCTCAGGTGGTGCGCCTGCCTCCGCCTCCCAAAGTGCTGGGATTACAGGCGTGGGCCACCGTGCCTGGCCCATTCATTGATTTCTTTCTTTTTTTTCTTTCTTTTTTTGAGACGGAGTCTTGCTCTGTCGCCAGGCTGGAGTGCAGTGGTGCCATCTCAGCTCACTGCAACCTCCGCCTCATGGGTTCAAGTGATTCTCCTGCTTCAGCCTCCTGAGTAGCTGGGGCTACAGGCATGCGCCACCATGCCCAGCTAATTTTTGTATTTTTAGTAGAAACAGGGTTTCACCATGTTGGCCAGGATGGTCTCAATCTCTTGACTCGTGATACACCCACCTTGGCCTCCCAAAGTGCTGGGATTACAGGCGTGAGCCACTGCCCCCAGCTGATTTCTTTACATTTTCATTCATCCATCTATTCTTTATTCACTCTCGTGTTTACTTATTCACCAGTCACTGACTCATCCACTTTCAAATTAGCTGGGTTGGCTTTCTGATGTAATGGGTTAGCAAGCTTCAGGACAAACCATGAAGTGACGAATTAAACCCTCTATATTATTAATTGGATAAAATGCTGTAAAACCGGTTATTAGCATGACTCAAACTAAGTTTAAATGTTTGCATGTCTAAAGCAACTTTCTGGAGTGATGGATATGTTCCATACCCTAGGTCACACAGCTCTGTGCATTTGTTAGAACTCATTGGCTGTATATTTTATTTTATTAAATTCTTTTTATTTTTGTTTTTATTGAGACAGGATCTCACTCTATTGCCCAGGCTGGAGTGCAGTGGTGTGATCACAGCTCATTGCAGGCTCAACCTCTGGGACTCAAGTGATCCTCCCACTCCAGCCTCCCAGGTAGCTGGGACCACAGGTGTGCACCACCATGCCCAGCTAATTAAAAATATATATATTTATAAAGACGGGGGTCTCCTTATGTTGCTCAGGCTGATCTCGACTCCCTGGGCTCAAGCAATGCTCCTGCCCTAGCCGCCCAAAGTGTCGGGATTACCGGCGTGAGTCGCTGTGCCCAGCCAACTGTACATTTTAGATTTGTGCATTTCACCAATATAAACAAAGAATCTTTCCGCAAAGCTTACCACAAGGAAAGAATCATAAACAAATATTGTACTCTAGCTAATGATGTACTTCTGAAATGTTTAGGGGTGACAAATACTGATGTTTACAATTTACTTCGAATGGATAAGTAAATAAAATGATGGCTGGGTGCGATGGCATGAGCCTGTAATCCCAGCACTTTGGGAGACGAGGTGGGAAGATTGCTTGAGCCCAGGAGTTCAAGACCAGCCTGGGCAACATGGCGAGACCCTGTCTCTACAAAAAATAAAAAAGTAAGCCAGATGTAGCAAACATCTGTAGTTCCAGCTGCTAGGGAGGCTGAGGCAGGAGGTTGGCTTGTGCCCAGGAGTTCAACGCTGCCGTGAACCATAATCAGGCCACTGCACTCTAGTCTGGACAACAGAGCAAAACTCTGTTTCTAAAAAAATACAAAATAGCTCCCTCCCCCTCCCCCTCCCCCTCTCCCTCTCCTCTTTCCACGGTCTCCCTCTGGACTGTGCTGCTGCCATCTCGGCTCACTGCAACCTCCCTGCCTGATTCTCCTGCCTCAGCCTGCCGAGTGCCTGCGATTGCAGGCGCGCGCCGCCACGCCTGACTGGTTTTCGTATTTTTTTGGTGGAGACGGGGTTTCGCTGTGTTGGCCGGGCTGGTCTCCAGCTCCTAACCGCGAGTGATCCGCCAGCCTCGGCCTCCCGAGGTGCCGGGATTGCAGACGGAGTCTCGTTAACTCAGTGCTCAATGGTGCCCAGGCTGGAGTGCAGTGGCGTGATCTCAGCTACAACCTCCACCTCCCAGCCGCCTGCCTTGGCCTCCCAAAGTGCCAAGAGTGCAGCCTCTGCCCGGCCGCTACCCCGTCTGGGAAGTGAGGTGCGTCTCTGCCTGGCCGCCCATCATCTGGGACGTGAGGAGTCCCTCTGCCTGGCTGCCCAGTCTGGAAAGTGAGGAGCGTCTCTGCCCGGCCGCCATCTCACCTAGGAAGTGAGGAGCACCTCTTCCCGGCCACCATCCCATCTAGGAAGTGAGGAGCGTCTCTGCCCGGCCGCCCATCGTCTGAGATGTGGGGAGCGCCTCTGCCCCGCCGCCCCGTCTGGGAGGTGAGGAGCGTCTCTGCCCGGCCGCCCCGTCTGAGAAGGGAGGAGACCCTCCGCCTGGCAACCGCCCCATCTGAGAAGTGAGGAGCCCCTCCGCCCGGCTGCCACCCTGTCTGGGAAGTGAGGAGCGTCTCCGCCCGGCAGCCACCCCGTCCGGAAGGGAGGTGGGGGGGTCAGCCCCCCGCCCGGCCAGCCGCCCCGGCCAGCCACCCCGTCTGGGAGGTGAGGGGCGCCTCTGCCCGGCCGCCCCTACTGGGAAGTGAGGAGCCCCTCTGCCCGGCCAGCCGCCCCGTCCGGGAGGGAGGTGGGGGAGTCAGCCCCCTGCCCAGCCAGCCGCCCCGTCCGGGAGGGAGGTGGGGGGGTCAGCCCCCCGCCAGGCGAGACGCCCCGTCCGGGAGGGAGGTGGGGGGTCAGCCCCCTGCCCGGCCAGCCGCCCGGTCCGGGAGGTGAGGGGCGCCTCTGCCCGGCCGCCCCTACTGGGAAGTGAGGAGCCCCTCTGCCCGGCCACCACCCCGTCTGGGAGGTGTACCCAACAGCTCATTGAGAACGGGCCATGATGACAATGGCAGTTTTGCGGAATAGAAAAGGGGGAAAGGTGGGGAAAAGATTGAGAAATCGGATGGTTGCTGTGTCTGTGTAGAAAGAAGTAGACATGGGAGACTTTTCATTTTGTTCTGTACTAAGAAAAATTCTTCTGCCTTGGGATCCTGTTGATCTATGACCTTACCCCCAACCCTGTGCTCTCTGAAACATGTGCTGTGTCCACTCAGGGTTAAATGGATTAAGGGCGGTGCAAGATGTGCTTTGTTAAACAGATGCTTGAAGGCAGCATGCTCGTTAAGAGTCATCACCATTCCCTAATCTCAAGTACCCAGGGACACACACACTCTGCCTAGGAAAACCAGAGACCTTTGTTCACTTGTTTATCTGCTGACCTTCCCTCCACTATTGTCCTGTGACCCTGCCAAATCCCCCCTCTGCGAGAAACACCCAAGAATGATCAATAAAAAAAAAATACAAAAATACAAAAATACAAAATATTAAAATAAAATAAAGAAATAGTGCTCGCTTCAGCAGCACATATACTAAAATCTGGAATGATGCAGAGAAGATTAGCATGGCCCCTGCGCAAGGATGACATGCAAATTTGTGAAGTGTTCCATATTTTTTGGCCAGGTGTGGTGGCTCACGCATGTAATCCCAACACTTTGGGAGGCCGAGGCAGGCGAATCACAAGGTCAGGAATTTTTGAGACTAGCCTGGCCAACGTGGTGAAACTCTGTCTCTACCAAAAATACAAAAAATTAGCCGGGCATAGTGGTGGGTGCCTGTAATCCCAGCTACTCGGGAGGCTGGGGCAGGAGAATCGCTTGAACCTGGGAGGCAGAGGTTGCAGTGAGCCGAGATCGCGCCACTGCACTCCAGCCTGGCAACAGAGTGAGACTCCTCTCAAAAAAAAAAAAAAAAAGAAGAAGAAGAAAAGAAAAAAAGAAGATGGTGATGGATGGATAGAAGGGTGGATAGATGGATCTATGTGTGATAAAGCAAGTTGAGTAAAATGTTATATAGAATCTGGTTAGGGTATATGAGGTATTCATAGAATAATTCTTTTAACTTTTCTGCATGTCTGAAAAAATTCATAATAAAATGTTGGGGGAAACCTTTGCATACAAACTTTGCAAACATTGTATCATACAATGATATGAACTGTAAATTTTTTAGGAGTTAGAATGGTAATGAGGTTTTGTTTAAAAAGAGAGCCTGCCAGGCGTGGTGGCAGATGCCTGTAATCCTAGCTACTTGGGAGGCTAAGGTGGGAAGACTGTTTGAACCTGGGAGTTTGAGACCAGCCTGGGCAGCATAGTGAGACCCCATCTCAAAAATAAAAATTAAAAAATAAATATCATTTAGAATTATACACATATTTATGGATAAGATTATATAACACCTTTTAAAAATCCAATTTAAAATGGGCAGAAAATTTCGATAAACATTTCTGCAAAGAAGATATATAAACGGCAACCCATGTCATTAGGGAAATGCAAATCAAAACCACATGACATATCTCTTCACCAAGTGGTGAAGCCAACCTATTAGGATGGCTATAATAAAAAAGACAGATAGGTCAGGTGTGGTGGCTCATGCCTGTAATCCCAGCACTTTGGGAGGCCGGGGTGGGAGGATCACTTGAGGCTAAGAGTTCAGGACCAGCCTGGGCAACATAGCAAGAACCTGTCTCTACAAAAAATTTTTAAAAATTAGCCAAGCATGGGGACGCACACCTATAGTTCCAACTAATTGGGAGGCCTGAGGTAGGAGAATTGCTTGAGCCCAGGAGGTGGAGGCTGCAGTGAGCCATGATTTCACCACTGCACTCCAGCCTACACAACAGAACAAGACCCTGTCTCAAAAAAAAAAAAAAGACAATAACAAGTGTTGGAGAGAACATGGAGAAATAGGAACACATATGTTGCTGATGGTAATGTAAAATGTTACAGTTACTTTGGAAAATGGTTTGGCAGTTCTTTGAAACGGAACTTAAAAGAGTCATGTGACCCAGGAATTCTTTTTTTTTTTTTCTTTTTTGAGACGGAGTTTCGCTCTTGATGCCCAGACTGGAGTGCAGTGGTGCGATCTCGGCTCGCTGAAACCTCCACCTCCTGGGTTCAAGCGATTCTCCTGCCTCAGTCTCCCAAGTAGCTGGGATTACAGGCATGCACCACCACGCCCGGTTAATTTTGTATTTTTAGTAGAGATGGGGCTTTTCCATGTTGATCAGGCTGGTCTCGAACTCCTGACCTCAGGTGATCCATCTGCCTTGGCCTCCCAAAGTGGTGGAATTACAGGCATGAGCCACAGCACCTGGCCTGACCCAGAAATTCTCCTAGGTACTTACCCAAGAGACATGAAAACATGTTCACACAATAGGTTCATAGCAGCATTATTCATAATAGCCAAGATGTAGGAACAACCCAGATATCCATTATTCACCATGATGAATGGGTAAACGCGTATATTCGATCCACACATTGGAACAGCATTCAGCCATGAAAAGGAATGAAGTGCTGATGCATGCTATGACATGGACAAACCCTGAAAACATGATGCTCCGTGGAAGAAGCCAGATATACAGGGCCACATATTGTATGATTCCACGTGTGGAAAACAAGCAGATTCATAAATCCATACAGCTGGAAAGTAGGTTAGTGATTGCCAGGTGCTGGGGGAGGGGCAAGTTGGGGAGTGACTGCTTATGGGTATGGGGTTTCTTTTAGTTGTTCTTTTTTGTTTTGTTTTGTTTCTGAAACAGGGTTTCACTCTGTTGCTCAAGCTGGAGTGCAGTGGAGCGATCACGGCTCTCTGCAGCCTCGACCTCTCCAGCTCAAGCCATCCTCCTAGCTCAGCCTCCCGAGTAACTGGGACCACAGGTGTGTACCACCATGCCCAGCTAAAATTATTTTTTGTAGAGATGAGGTCTCCCTATATTTCCCAGGTTGTTTTTTTTTTTTTTTTTTTTTTTTTTTGACACAGAGCTTTGCTCTGTCACCCAGGCTGGAGTGCAATGGTGCTATCTGCTCACTGCAGCCTCCGCCTACCGGGTTCAAGCAATTCTCCTGCCTCAGCCTCCCACGTAGCTGGGATTACAGGTGCGTGCCACCACGCCTGGCTAATTTTTTGTATTTTGAGTAGAGATGTGGTTTTGCCATGTTGGCCAGGCTAGTCTCGAGCTCCTGAGCTCAAGTGATCCGCCCATCTCAGCCTCCCAAAGTGCTGAGATTACAAGTGTGAGCCACAGCGCCCGGCCTCAGGCTGGTCTTGAACTCCTGGGCTCAATCAATCCTTCCGCTTCAGGCTCCCAAAGTGCTGGGATTACATCTGTGAGCCAAGGTCTTTTGAGATGATAAAAATGTTCTAAAATTAGATTGTGTTGATGGATGCACAACCTTGTGAATATACTGAAAAACATTGACTTGTATACTTTGAATGGGTGACTTGTATAGCATATGAGTTATATGTCAATAGAGCTGTTACAGAAAGATCCAGGAGGATGGGGAGGAGAGAAGGGAAGCTGAATCATAAATTCTAAATTTCTTTGAAGACAAACTTAATAAAGAAGGATTTAGGTTGGGCACCATGGCTCACACCTGTAATCCCAGCACTCTGGGAAGCCTCGGTGGGAGGATCGCTTGAGCTCAGGAGTTTGAGTCCAGGAGTTCAAGACCAGCCTGGGCAACATAGCAAGACCCTGGCTCTACAAACACCCGCCCCCCCCAAAAAAATTAGCCTGGCACCATGGCACGTGCCTGTAGTCTCAGCTACTTGGGGGGCTGAGGTGGGAGGATGGCTTCAGCCTGGGAGGTTGAGGCTGCAGTAAGCCCTTATCCACAACTCCACTCAGCCTGGGCAACAGAGCAAGACCCTGCCTCAACAAAAAAAATTTTTTATTTAAAAATTTTTGATGAACTGTTACCGATGGAGGGTGTCCAGGTGCTTGGTCTCTTGAATGAAGAATTGGGCAAAACGCACAAAGCAAGGAAATAATGAAGCAACAAAGGCAGAGATTTATTGAAAATAAAAATACACCCCACAGTGTGGGTGCGGCGGAGCATAGGGGCTCAAGGGCTGGGTTACATAATTTTTTGGCATTTAAATACCTTCTAGAGGTTTCCATTGGTTACTTGCTGTACGCCCTATGTAAATGGAGAGGATGTTTCCTGTCATAGCTGAAGTGTGAATCAGCCTTATGTTCCCTGCCTCCAGACCCTATTTTCCTGCCTCAGAACCATTTGAGAATAAGTCGCAAACATGCTGCACCACCAAATACCTAACTCTATTTTCCACAAACAGGGACAAGTTCCCACATGTACACTGTCAGTCAACGGTGAAATTCAGGACATTAACACGGCTGGATCGCTACTGTCTAATCCGAAGACCCAACCACATTCACCACTTGTGCCAATAATGTGTGTTCATTTCACTGTATGTTTTGAAATGTATACCAGATGCATATATTATCTTTATGAAAAAACTGATATTTTAAAAACACTCGACACAGCCAAATGAAATAAGAGCGAACTCATTCAAGCAGGAGCCCCGGAGGACTGGGAGAAACCGGCCTCTCACAGGCCTCCTCACCAGAGCTGGGCTCGCTCCTGGCCACCGCCCACCCACTCCAGGGCCGGACACGGGAAGGGACCGCCCAGACCGAAGGTCGCAGGGGCCTAAAACCCCGGGTCCTGAATGCGCCTGGGACCTGCAGCGAACCTGGCGTCCCCACCTGACTCCAGAATCAGATTCAGGCCAGGCCAGGAACCACCCCAGCTTCCTGCATCCGCCTTGGTCCAGGCAGCAATGCGGAAGGCGGACGCCAGGGGGTCGGAGGCTCAAGGGCGGGGATCGAGACCCAAGGCCTGGCGCGCCCACCAAGATGTGGCTCTGCACTAAGGTTCCGGAACAGCCGGCCCTGAACACCCACGTGCAGCTTCCGATCGCAGCCCTGGCCTGGCTCCTCGGTCCCCGGTTGAGAGACCCGCGACCGCTGCAGGGTGCCTCGCCGAGGGTGGGGGCTCGAGGCGCACAGTGCTCCCAGCCTCTCCCACCCCAACCCCGCCATTAAGGGAAGCCCCAGCGACGCCCTGAACCCTGAAAGTCACACTGGGGCCGGGGCTGCACTTGGCGTCCGCTTCCCCTCCCGTCACAGTGACCAGGGCTAGGACCGGGGTCCGGGCCGTCGGGGAGAGCGGAGGGCGCGTGGGAATGGGGCTCGCTGCGCCAGGGAAAACCCACGCCGTCCTTCGAGTCCTCCCAGCTGTTCCGCAGAGCCGGGGCCGCTGCCATCGCGTCTGCCCCGAGGGTGCGCAGGCGGGTACCTGTCCCGACTCGGGGAACAGCGGGAGCCCGGAGACGCCCGTCGGGCTTCCCAGCCCCACCTGGGACGTCTCTAGGGGCGGGAGGCCAGGAGAGAAGAGGGTGGGAGAGATGAGCTGCAGGGGGATACGGGACCCAGGGACCCGGGATCTTATAACACGCTTTCCACCCGTAGGATTGGGGCCCACAAATGACCAGAAAGGTGGGACTCATTCGCCCCCTTTGCAGATGGACCCATGTTGGCGCCCCTTAGATCTGCAGTGGGGGCACCAGGACCTGCGGTGAGCGCCTCTGCGCCCCAAACGCCAGCAGGTCCGCCCGACCGCATTCCCAGCTGGCTTGCTTTGCACAAATGCTGCGTCAGGGCACGCCCCACACCCACTCCTTCCCAGATCGCGACCCTCACGCCTTCGCAGACAGAAAGTGTCCTAAGCACAGGCAGGCTCAGAGCCCGCCTCCGCCTCGGATTCGCTGTGTGGCCCGGAGCCAGTATCTTGGCCTCTCTGGGTCTCAGTTTGCTCATCTCAGTGAATGGGACACAGACACAGTCGCGCTGCGGGCTAACGCTTTATTTGCCAGCCAAGGCCCCGGGCCCGCCTGGGCTTCTGCTCAGAAGATCCTCACGGAGTCCAGCTGCACGTCCCCGCCCACCTCCACCAGGCGCACGCGCGCCAGCGGCAGGCGGTGGCGGAAGTGGTGGTACTGGGCGTCCCCAACCACGGCCTGCAGGGGAGGGTCGGTGGTGAGGATTCCGGAGGCCCGTGCTGGGTGGCCCTGGGGAAATCACTCATCCCCTCTGGGCCTCAGTTTCCTCACTGGGAAAATGGGGCTATTGTTCATTCTAACTCTTGCGTGAGGATCAAACGAGTTGACTGTGTGGCACAGTAAAAAGCGGCTTTTTTAGTGCTGGTAATGGATATTCTCATTTCAGCGACCATTACCCGCTATTAAAGCGCAGAGGAGGGAGGTGAATTCGCGTAAGCTGTGGGTGGTGGAGGATCTGCCGCCACTCCCACCCGCCAATCCTTGCTAGGACGAGTTCCTGGGCGCTGTTTCCAACCCATCCCTCCCCATGCCTCAAACCCCGGACCTCAGGAAGGAATGAACTGGGAGTAGGGTCTGGGATGGCGAGTCTGGGCCACGCCTTCCCGCTAGGACGCCCACCCCTTGGACACTTGGCTGGTGCTCGCCTCGTCCTGACCCTGCTGTCTCTCTGTCCCTCGGACCCAAGTGGGAGTTGTTTAGGCGAGAGAGAGGGTCGAAGGACACCCTTCTCCGCCTTGGCCACGACTTCCCTACCCCCCTCACCCCGCCCCGAACCTCCCTGCCTTCCACCAATAGCCTGGCTTTGCCCAACCCTCTGCTCCAGGGACCTAAGTCTTGGCGTCCACGCCCCTGTCGCAGAGACGCACCTTGAAGCCGTCGTCTGACGCGATGATGAGCACCTCGAAGGGCTGCCCGCGCTGGAAAGGAACGCCCGGCCCGCGCTCCTCGCGGCCCCAGGAGCCTTGCTCCTTGCTGTTGAAGACCACCTCCGACGTGTCCAGCCGGGGGTTGAAATGCAGGGCGGCATCGGAGCCCTGCTCCTCCCCGCACAGCAGGTTTACATGGAACCTGGAAGAGGGGGATGGTGGCCGTCAGGGCTCAGAAACCACCCAGACCAAGAAATGTTGAGGGTGAGGAATACCGATGTCTACAATTTACTTTGAATGAATAAGTAAATGAAATGTTGGCTGGGTGCAGTGGCTCACCCTGTAATCCCAGCACTCTGGGAGGTGGAGAAGGGAGGATCGCTTGGGCCCGGAAGTTAAAGACCAGCCTGGGCAACATAGCGAGACCCCACCTTACAAAAAAACGAAAGAACAAACAAAACATAAACCGCCCAGACCAAAGTGAAGGTCTTATGGGCTGGCACTCCCCATTCCCAGAGTACCCCCAAATTAACAGGGACCTGAAGACAGGCACACACCGCAGAAGGAGAGGTGGGCGACTAATGACCAGGGAGCTTAGATTCCCAAGGCAGCCAAAATATCATGAGGCCCTTGGCAGAAACCTACCCAGACCAAACTCACTACGCTTAGGGCAGGGTGCCCTCATTTCCAAAGAGCCTGGGAGCTGCCCAGGAGGTCTGGGTGATAGCCAGGGTGCTCCTGATGCTCAGGGAACCCTCAGCTTCTACAGGACAAAGAATAATACCAGGAACCCCAGTATTTCCAGGGTACCTCAGAATCCAGAAGGCCCGAAGTTCCTTAGCCAGGAAGTCAAAGGATGGCTTGGCAAGGACTCCCAGGGTCCAGGGTGTCTCCAGGACTTGGAGTATTTCCAGAGTTCCCTGGGACTCAGACATGGAAGTCATAGGACTATATCTAGGAACCCTGAGATTACCCAGGGACCTCAAATGCTTAGGGAAACTTAGGGACCCCAGCCACAAAGGCACGGGGGCAAATACGAATACATCAGATTTGAGGTCAGAAATGGCCTCGGACTCCTAGCCTGGTGGATACAGGTGGCCTCGGGCCCCTACTTCTGGACTGCAAAAATTGGGAGTCAGCTGATCCTGAGACCTGTACCCTTTACCCCTAGGGCCTGGGGCCTCACCTGCTGGCATTGGGAGGAACCAAGCCGCGAATTCTCAGCACCGTGCCAGGGCGGATGCCCTCGGGCAGTGAGGACTTGTGGGGGACGTTCTGCAAGAGTGGGGTGCAGGGGCCACTGTGAGCCGGTGAGACCGAAGGAGGGAGGCAGAAGGTGGGTCACCCCTCAGAGGAGCCGACCAGGGCTGAGACTGGCAGAAATCAGTGGAAGAGGAAAGGGTGGCGGAGAGGCAGGAAAGAGACCAGAAACAGACAGGGAAACAGATGGGGAGAGCAACAAAGACAAACAGAAAGATCCTCAAAGAGGGCCCCAGAGGAAGCCACAAAGAGGTAGAGGGGACAGTCGGGATGGGGGTTACCCGGAGGCCACAGCCCAGGCCAGTCCGTGGCACACTCACTGCCCACTTGCTCCTTTGAAAGAGGAGCCCCCAGCCCCCTCCCTGCTTGGCCCCGCCCCGGGCCCCTGGAGCACTCACGGACATGGCTGGGACCGGGTTGGGCAGCCGTGGTGGTGGGGCCTGCTGGGGACCTTAAATAAAAGCAGGGCGGGGCTGGCCCTGATGACTCACCCCACCCCTTCCCACCCACCACCCACACCTGGCACGGACCCTGGCCCTGGGGCAAGCCTGGCGAAGTGGGAGTGGCGCCTCTTCTTGGGGGCCCTGATCCCCCCATCACCCAGAGCCCGGGTGCACTGCCCCTCTCCTAGGAGCTGATAATAAGAGCCACCGCCCCTCCACCCCTGTCTTCCCACTGCCTGGCACACAGGAGAGTCTCTCATGCTCATTTTATCCACAGACATGTTGGGTCCTGAGAAGCCAAGCCCAGCGGGAACTCTAGACCCTTCTCTCCAGCTGAGAACCTCCTGCCTAGACTGGAAATGTCTGCGCTGAAATCCCTGCTTCTAAGTCTCCAGTGGAACAGCAGCCACAACAACGACGATAGTGCCAGACAGGGGGACTTCACAGGGTCGGAGGGCGGCCTGGTTGGCTCAGTGCTGCACCCCTGGGTCCTGGAGTGTGCCGGGTTCATGGGAAGTCCTCAGTCAGGAGGGGTGAAAGGAGGGGATCCACTAGGACTACGCTTGTCATTTCCCAGGCCCTTGGGCTGCCCAGGATATGCAGGAAATCACTGATTGGGACCCCACCATTCCAACAGAGAGAAGCATGGGTCACCCCCATTGTACAGAGAAGGAGGCTGAGGCTGGGATGGGAAGTGATTTTCCACAAGCCGGGCAGGACCCATTGCCCCAACCTCTGCCTTTCCTCACCTCTGGGCGTGCCTCTCCTGTGGGTTCTGTCTCTGGGGCTGGCTGTCTGGCTCTGTTTGTCTCTGTCTATAACTGTCTACCGCGTATTCCTGTCCCACTTCTCTCCTTCAAGTCTCTCTTGTTCCTCCTTCCAGGACTGTTACCATCTTCCCACCAATTTTGCAGGTCAGGATGAGGTGGGTTTTAGGGTGGTGGGTGGCCTAGCATTCCATCACCACCTAGATCAAAAGCAGAGCAAGGTGGGGACCCTCCCGCCAGCCCCAATATAGCCCGCTTGGGCCCAAGACTCTAGAAGAGAATCCAGGGTTGGGGAAGTAGACTGGGGGAGGCGGGGGGGGGGGGGGGGGCGGGCAGGACTGAAATCTGTTTCTGAAAGGCAGGGATGGTGTGGGAGCTGAACAGAAACCACTCCTGGCTGGGCATGGTAGCTCACGCCTGTAATCCCAGCACTTTGGGAGGCCAAGGTAGGTGGATCACTTGAGGTCAGGAGTTCAAGACCAGCCTGGCCAACATGGTGAAACCCCTTCTCTATAGAAAATACAAAAAATTGGCCAGGTGTGGTGGTGGACACCTGTAATCCCAGCTACCTGGGAGGCTGAGGCAGGAGAATTGCTTGAGCTGGGGAGGCGGACGTTGTAGTGAGCCGAGATCACACCACTGCACTGCAGCCTGGGCGACAGAGCTAGACTCTGTCTCAAAAAATAAAAATAAAGCCTGTAATCCCAGCACTTTGGGAGGCCGACGCGGGTGGATCACGAGGTCAGGAGATCGAGACCATACTGGCTAACACGGTGAAACCCCGTCTCTACTAAAAATACAAAACAAAATTAGCCGGGCATGGTGGCGGGCACCTGTAGTCCCAGCTACTCGGGAGGCTGAGGCAGGAGAATGGCATGAACCCGGGAGGCAGAGCTTGCAGTGAGCCGAGATCGCGCCACTGCACTCCAGCCTGGGCAACAGAGCAAGACTCCATCTCAAAAATAAATAAACAAACAAACAAATAAATAAATAAAAATAAACCACTCCTAGCAATGCAGCAGCCCTCCTGGACCTTTTCCACTCCCCACCCAACTCCTGCACTCCTGCCCCACCCAGCAGGCTGCTGAGAGGCCTGGGCAGAGGCAGGCTGGCAGTGGAAAGTTTGGGTGGAGACACCAGACCCAGAACCATCCTCCACCCTCTTTGTCCCAGGCCCCCAGCCTCTTGCCCCCTCCCCACACACTCCAAGGCACCAAGGTGGGGGACCAGTTCCTAGGGACGTGAGCTCAGAGAGGGAGGCTTGCAGCTGCATTTCAGTGGGAGCTGCAAGCACCCCCATTCTGCAGAAGACAAAACTGAGGCCTAGACAGGGACAGCTTCTCAGCCAAGGAAGCGGCCAGGCCCTGGGCTCCACAGGGGTGTCTGTGCCAAGGACATGTCATGGGCACGGACAGAGAGGACAGCAGGGTGTCCGGTGATCACACCACCAGCGCAGCTCAGTTAGTTCCCGAGAATGTTCCCTTGAATGGTGAACTCCATCATTCTAACATTATTGACCATTCTAAAGAACACACTCCTCACATTACTGACGCCTCATGCTGTGTACCGTGTTTCCCAGGAACTCAACTTTTTAGTGATCGCTTCACTGTGGCTGGATGTAACTTCACATGCAGCCAACATGCTGCAAGTCCCAACGTGCCTTTGCTGACTGGCCAAAGCTTTCCATTCACTCTATTATTAGCCTGAAGTCCTGACTCCTTTCTGGTAACAGATCTGCATCCTTGATTGCATCCTTGATGGGTTTTTGTTGTTGTTGTTGTTGTTTGTTTGTTTGTTTTTGAGACAGAGTTTTGCTCTGTCACCCAGGCTGGAGTGCAGTGGCACGATCTCGACTCACTGCAACCTCTGCTTCCCAGGTTCAAGTGATTCTCCTGCCTCAGCCTCCTGAGTAGCTGGGATTACAAGCATGTGCCACCACTCATGGCTAATTTTTGTATTTTTAGTAGAGACAGGGTTTCACCATGTTGGCCAGGCTGGTCTTGAACTCCTGCCCTCAAGTGATCCACCCACCTCAGCCTCCCAAAATGCTGGGATTACAGGCATGAGCCACTGCATCCAGCCCTTGATGAGTTCTTATTCAATTGTGTTATCTTTCTCATTAGTTGTGCAATAATTTTTTTTTTTTTTTTTTTTGAGACAGGGTCTGGCTCTCTCTGTGATCATGGCTTACTGCAGCCTTGGCCTCCTGGGCTTGGGAATCCTCCCGCCTCTGGAGTAGCTTGGACTACAGTTGCACGCCACCATGCCCAGCTTTTTTTTTTTTTTTTTTTTTTTTCCTAGAGAGGAGGTCTCACCATGTTGCCCAGGCTGGTCTCAAACTCCTGGGCTCAAGCGATCCTCCCACCTTGGTCTCCTAAAATGTTGTGATTACAGGCCTGGCCACGGTAATATTTGTGTGTCTTTTTTCGGTTTTAAATAACTAATGTGTTTATTTCCCAATTGTTATTTCATTGAGGTATTTTTCCCATTAAATAAAAGGTTCAGATTTTGTTGTTGTTGTTGTTGTTTTGAGACAGGGTCTTGTTCTGTCGCCCAGGCTGGAGTGCAGTGGTATGATCTCAACTTACTGCAACCTCTGCCTCCCAGATTCAAGTGATCCTCCCACCTCATCCTCCTGAGTGGCTGGGACTACAGGAGTGTGCCACCACACCTGCCTAATTTTTGTATTATTTTGTACTGATGGGGTTTCGCCATGTTGTCCAGGCTGTTCTCAAACTCCTGGACTCAAGTGATCCACCTGCTTTGGCCTCCCAAAGTGCTGGGATTATAGGTGTGAGCCCCTGCTCAGGGTTCAGATTTTAATGGAATAGTTCAATGAGTTTTGACACATATAGTCACCTGTGTAACCACCTCCCCAATCAAGTTTCCTGGTGCCCCTAGAAACAGTCACTGCTCCTTCTGCCACATGAAGCCACTGTCACTCCTGAGCAGTTAGTAGCCACAAAGTTTCCTTTGATCCATTGTGGTGGCATGTGCCTGTAGTCCCAGCTACTCGGGAGGCTAGGGCAGGAGGATCACCTGAGCCCTGGAGGTGGAGGCTACAGTGACCCAAGATCACACCACTGCACTCCAGCCTGGGTAACAAGGCGGGCGGATCACCTGAGGTCAGGAGTTTGAGACCAGCCTGGCCAATGCGACAGCGTGGCGCCTGCCTGTAGTCCCAGCTACTGGGGAGGATGAGGCAAGAGAATCACTTGAACCTGGGAGGCGGAGGCTGCAGTGAGTTAAGATCGCACCTCTGCACTCAAGACTGGGTGACAGAGCGAGACTCGGTCTCAAAAAAGAAAAAAAAGGCCAGGCGCGGTGGCTTACACCTGTAATCCCAGCACTTTGGGAGGCCGAGGCGGGCGGATCACGAGGTCAGGAGATCGAGACCATCCTGGCTAATACGGTGAAACCCCGTCTCTACTAAAAATACAAAAAATTAGCCAGGCGTGGTGGCGGGCACCTGTAGTCCCAGCTACTCAGGAGGCTGAGGCAGGAGAATGGCATGAACCTGGGAGGTGGAGCTTGCAGTGAGCCAAGATCGCGCCACTGCACTCCAGCCTGGGCAACAGAGCAAGACTCCAAGATTCCGTCTCAAAAAAAGAAAAGAAAAGAAAAGAAAAATAAGTTCATTTGCCGTGAAAATGAGAAAGTGGGTTGGGACAGACTGATTTTTCTGATTTTAGGCCTCTTTCAGGATATAACTTAGTTGAAAAGTAACTAATCGCACACTAAGTGTTTGTAGGGATTTAAAACCCCAGGTTCTGTCAGTGCCATTTTGTTAGTGATATTTTGAGTTATTGTTTTTTGTTTTATTTTTGATTTTTTTTTAGTGATTGCTTCACTGTGGCTGGATGTAACTTCACATGTAGCCAACATACTGCAAGTCCCAATGTGCCTTTGCTGATTGGCCAAGGGTTTGCACATTAACTCTGTTATCAGCCCGAAGTCCTGACTCATTTCTGATAACAGATCTACGTCCTTGATGGGTTCTTTTTTTTTTTTCTTTTGAGATGGAGTCTCACTCTGTTGCCCAGGCTGGAGTGCAGTGGCTCAATCTCAGCTCTGCCTCCTGGGTTCAAGCGATTCTCTTGCCTTGGCCTACTTAGTAGCTGGGATTACAAGCATGCACCACCACTCTTGGCTGATTTTTGTATTTTTAGTAGAGATGGGGTTTCACCATGTTGGCCAGGCTGGTCTCGAACTCCTGACCTCAAGTGATCCACCCACCTCAGCTTTCAAAAGTGCTGGGATTACAGATGTGAACTACTGTGCCTAGCCAAGGGTCTGGCTATGTTGCCCAGGCTAGTCTGGAACCTGGGCTTAAGTGATCCTCCAACTTCTGGCCTCCCAAAGTACTGGGATTACAGGTGTGAGCCACCATGCCCTGTGGTTTTGGTTATTTTTTAAACACAGTGAAGATACTTCAGGGACTCCTTTGGTTTTATATATTAACATTCCAGTGATGAAAATGATACAGGTAAAAATCTTTTTAGTGAATTCTAACTGTTCCCACAGTTAAAGACATTTACCCACTATGTAACTAATTATATCTTTCCAAGTAATTTGGTAACCACCACTGAAGATTGGCTTACTCAGCTTCTAACTCACTCCCCAGCGGGCCCACCTTTTTTTTTTTTTTTTTTTTTTTTTTTTTGAGACAGGGCCTTAATCTATTGCCCAGGCAAGATCATCATGCACTGCAGCCTCAACCTCCTGGGCTGAAGCAATCCTCCTGCCTCAGCCGCCAAAGTGGCTGGGACTACAGGCATGTGACACCACCCCCAGTTAATTTTTTTTTTATTTTATTTTAGTAGAGCTGATGCCTCACTATGTGGCCCAGGCTGGTCTCAAACTCTGGAACTCAAGTATCCTCCTGCCTTGGCCTCCCAAAGTGCTGGGATTACAGGCGTGAACCTCCGCACCCAGCCTGGCCTGCTTTCTTGCATTAGGCAGTTAAAAACTACATTTCCCAGAGTTATTTGTAGCTAGATTCACATAGGACTGGGTTTCCCCAAGCTGAGTTTGCACCCCTGGAAAACTCTTTTTTTGAAGACATGCCCTCGTGGCCAGGTACTGTGGCTCACACCTGTAATCCTAGCACTTTGGAGGCTGAGGTGGGCAGTTTGCCTGAGCTCCAGAGTTCAAGACCAGCCTGGGCAACATGGCAAAACCCCGTCTCTACTAAAATACAAAAAATTAGCCTGGCATGGTGGCACGCACCTGTAATCCCAGCTACTGGGTAGGCTGAGGCACAAGAATCACTTGAATCCAGAAGGTGGAGGTTGCAGTGAGCAGAATTTGTGCCACTGCACTCCAGGCTGGGTGACAGAGCAAGACTGTCCAAAAAGAAAGAGAGAGAGAAGGAAGGAAGGAAGGGAGGGAGGGAGGGAGAGAGGGAGGGAAGGAGGGAAGAGAGAGAGAGATGAAAGAAAGAAAGAAAGAAAGAAAAAGAAAGAAAGAAGGAAAGAAAGAAAGAAAGAAAGAAAGAAGAAAGAAAGAAAGAAAGAAAGAAAGAAAGAAAGAAAGAAAGAAAGAAAGAAAGAAAGAAAGAAAGAAAGAGAAAGCCAGCCAGCCAAGAAAGAAGTGGTCTTGCTCTGTGGTTTTGCCCTGTCACCCAGCCTGGAGTGCAGTGGCACCATCATAGCCCACTGCAGCCTAGAACTCCCAGGCTGAAGCAATTTTCCTCAGTCTCTGGAGTAGTAGGTAGGACAACGGTTGTGTGCTACCACACTTGGCTAATTTTTTCTTTTCTTTTCTTTTCTTTTTTTTTTTTTGAGACGGAGTCTCGCTCTGTCGCCCAGGCTGGAGTGCAGTGGCGTGATCTGGGCTCCCTGCAAGCTCTGCCTCCTGGGTTCATGCCATTCTCTTGCCTCAGCCTCCCAACTAGCTGGGACTACAGGCGCCCGCCACAATGCCCGGCTAATTTTTTGTATTTTTTAGTAGAAACGGGGTTTTACCGTATTAGCTAGGATGTTCTCGATCTCCTGACCTCATGATCTGCCCGCCTCGGCCTCCCAAAGTGTTGGGATTACAGGCGTGAACCACCGCGCCTGACTCTTTTCTTTTTTTGAGACAGGATCTCACTCTGTCACCCCAGCTGGAGTGCAGTGGTGTGATCTCGCCTCACTGCAGCTTCAACAGCCCAGGTTCAAGCAATCCTCCTGCCTCAGCTTCCTAAGTAGCTGGGATTACAGGCATGTGCCACTGTGCCCGGCTTTTTTTTTTTTTTTTTTTTTTTTTTAGAGACAGGGTCTCACTGTGTTGCTCAGGCTGGTCTTGAACTCCTGGGCTCAAGCGATCTACCAGCCTCAGTTGCCCAAAGTGCTGGGATTACAGGTGTGAGCCCCCATGCCTGGCCCAAAACTGGCTCATTTTTAAATTTTTTTTTTTGTAGAGACAGGGTCTTCCTCTGCTGCCCAGGCTGGTCTCAAACTCCTGGCCTCAAGGAGTCTTCCCAGTTCAGCTTCCCAAAGTGCTGGGATTACAGGTATCAGCCACTGCACTCCACCACCTGCAAAACTTAGAAGGTGAAAATGAGGTAACACTTACGGGAGGGAGATGAGCCTTCTGGCTAGTTAGGTGATGGAGGTATTTATTTTTATCTAGAACAGCCTAGGAAGCTCTGGCCAGGGAATGCTCTCCGCATCCACCCTCTAGCTTTGCAGCACGGAAGCTTATTCCCTAGTCCTCTGAAAATTCTGTAAGCTATTGCCGGGCATGGTGGCTCATGTCTGTGATCCCAGCACTCTGGGAGGCCAAGGCGGGCGGATCACCTGAGGTTGGGAGTTCGAGACCAGCCTGACCAACATGAAGAAACCCCCTCTCTACTAAAAATACAAAATTATCTGGGTATGATGGCTCATGCCTGTAATCCCAGGTACTCGGGAGGCTGAGGCAGGAAAATTTCTTGAACCCAGGAGGCGGAGGTTGCAGTGAGCCAAGATCGTGCCATTGCACTCCAGCCTGGGTAACAAGAGCGAAACTCCGTCTCAAAAAAAAAAAAAAATTCTGTAAGCTGTCATAGCCGCTAATAATCTCTGTAAACTAGCGGAGGAGGGTTCTGTTGCCAGCAACCAGCAACCCCAACATGACAGTGGGAGAAGTGGCTGATACAGGCAGCAGAACTTAAAATGAGGGCGTGGCTGGAGGAGATAGAGGAGAGGCTGATAGGAAGGACTCCTGTATTGCAGGGTGGAAAGCCAGTGTCTCTTGCTACATGGTAACAAATTATCCACTCACACTGTCACCTGCTGTGCCTGGAAAGGCAGATTGCGGGCTGGCCAAGGCTGCAGCCTCAGAAAAATAGTAAAGATGTTTCAGAATGACAACGTTTTCTTGTTTCTTCCACTTTTGGAGAAGTCCTAAGAAGCAATCAAGAGCCTATGGACAGAAACAGAAGGAATTAATCCATCTGTCTTAAACAGGGGATTTTTTTTTTTAGTCAAGGTCTCTTTCTGACGCCCAGGCTGGTTGGAGCGCAGGATCTCGGCTCACTGCAACCAACCTCTGCCTCCCAGGTTCAAGTGATTCTCCTGCCTCAGTCTCCCGAGGAGCTGGGACTACAGGCGAGCACCACCACGCCTGGCTAATTTTTCTATTTTTAGTAGAGACAGGGTTTTGCCATGTTCTCAAACTTCTGACCTCAGGTGATCCACCCACCTCACCTCCAAAATGCTGGCATTACAGGCATGAGCCACCACGCCTGGTCATGTCCAGCTTTTTATTTCTTCTAGAGATGAGGGTCTTGCTATGTTGCCCAGGCTGGCCTTGAACTCGTGGTCTCAAACGATCCTCTTGCCTCAGCCTCTCACAGTGCTACAGGCGTGAGCCACTGCTCCCTACTAGGGGGTTCTATCTTGCTGCATACTATGAATCTTAATTGAATGAAGGTCCCATGTCTTTTTTTGACACAAGGTCTCGCTCTGTCACCCAGGCTGGATTGCAATGGCGTGATCTTGGCTCACTGCAACCTCCGCCTCCCGGGTTCAAGCGATTCTCCTGCGTTCAAGTGATTCTCCTGCCTCAGCTTCCAGAGTAGCTGAGATTACAGGCGTGCGTCACCACACCCGGCTAATTTTTTGTATTTTTAGTGGAGACAGGGTTTCCCCATGTTGGCCAGGCTGGTCGCAAATGCCTGACCTCAGGTGATCCGCCCACCTCAGCCTCCCAAAGTTCTGGGATTACAGATGTGAGCCACCACACCCGGCCATAGTTGGGAGTTTTGAAGAGTCAATGTCATATAAACCAAAAAGGGTGGATGATTGTTCCAAATTCAAAGAGAATGACAGGACAGCCAGATGAAATTTACCAGCCTTTACTGACTGCTGAATAAGGGAGGAAAGTGTGACATAAGTTACCCTTGGGACCCAGGCATTCTACTCCTAGGGATATGCCCAAGGGGAATAAAAACATGTTCGTGCTAAATATTTAAACAAAATGTTCGTAGAAGCGTTCATTATTCATAACAGCCAAACAGTGGAAACAACTCGAATGTCCTTTGCAGGGGAAAGAAAACTTTACCTCTCCCTCCTACGGTCTTCAGTGGGCTTGGGTATAAAACTACCATAAGAATGCCGGGCGCAGGGCTCACTCCTGTAATCCCAGCATTTTGGGAGGCCAAGGCGGGCGGATCACCTGAGGTCGGGAGTTTGAGACCAACCTGACCAACGTGGAGAAATCTTGTCTCTACTAAAAATACAAAATTAGCCGGGCATGGTGGTGCATGTCTGTAATCCCAGCTACTTGAGAGGCTGAGGCAGGAGAATCCCTTGAACCCAGGAGGCAGAGGTTGTTGCAATGACCCGAGATCACGCCATTGCACTCTGTCTAAAAAACAAACAAACAAAAACAAACAAACAAAAAAAAACTGGTATAAGAAGGCTCACGCCTGTAATCCCAGCATTTCGAGAGGCCGAGGCAGGTGGATCACCTGAGGTCAGGAGTTCAAGACCAGCCTGGCCAACATGGTGAAACCCCCGTCTCTACTAAAAATACAAAAAGTAGCCAGGCGCAGTGACACATGCCTGTAGTCCCAGCCACTCGGGAGGCTGAGGTGGGAGAATTGCTTGAACCTGGGAGGCGGAAGTTGCAGTGAGCCGAGATCACACCATTGCACTCCAGCCTGGTGGCAGAGAAGACTCTGTCTAAATAAATAAATAAATATGTTAAATTAAATAAAAATAAAAAGAGTCCAAACCTGCCCCACCAAATAACCCAATCCTCAAACCATTAGCTCACGCTAATGCCTCCACTTCCAGTCCAGCTCCACAGGGCTGGTGCCTACCTCTCCCTTTCCATATCTGTAACTCCCTCCCAGAAAAAAAAAGCAGTTCCAGTCCTCATCTCTGACTCCCACATGGCACCTCCCCCCGAGGCTGGTTCCAATGCCCCTCGTCGGGCACCCACCCCACACAGGTGTCCTCCTCCCATGCTGGGAGTGCAGGCTCCCTGTCACGTGTCCTGCTGGCCCTCACTGGGCACTTACGCGCAGCCTCTGCTGAGCGCTCCTCATCCTGCTCAGCCCTGACCCCCAAACACCTCTCCCAAGGACATCCCACCCCAATCAGCCCATTCAGGGCCACCATGACCTTGCTCAGCCCCACATAATAGCTTTAGGGCCCAATTGTTCAGCAAAGGAAGGAAAGGAAGGAAAGGAAGGAAAGGAAGGAAGAAGAAAAAGCTATGCATGTATTTTACTGTTTAAGCATTGAAATGTACAAGAATCACTAGGAAACTTACAAGAATTACTTGGATGAGTTTATAGAGCAATTGAAACACTGAAAAATGAATAACCTCTAAAATTATGCATTCAGTTTAAAATATTTAAGAGAGTTTAATTAACTAAGTTTATAAATGGAACTGAACACTAGAGAATAGACTTTTTCTTAGCGGTAATTGGATTGTTTTATTAATATTTACTATATTTATAAAAATAGAGTCGTGAGATTTCCAATGGGCATAAAAGCTTAAGAACAAAGTGAGTTTCTGGGGTTTTTTTGTTTTTGTTTTTGTTTTTTTGTTTGGTCTTTTTTTGATGGAGTCTTGCTCTGTCGCCCAGGCTCAAGTGCAGTGGTGCGATCACACACCACAACCTCCGTCTCCCGGGTTCAGGTGATTCTCCTGCTTCAGCCTCCCAAGTAGCTAGGATCACAGGTGTGTGCCACCACACCCAGCTAATATAGATATATATAATTTTTTGGTATTTTTAGTAGAGGCAGGGTTTCACTATGTTGGCCAGGCTGGTCTCAAATTCCTGACCTCAGGTGATCCACCGCCTTGGCCTCCCAAGGTGCTGGGATTACAGGGTGAACCACTGCGCCTGGCCAAGAACAAAGTGAGATTTCTTTCCTTTTTTTTTTTTTTTTTGAGAGGAAGTCTCGATCTTGTCCCCCAGGCTGGAGTGCAATGGCGTGATCTTGGCTCACTGCAACCTCTGCCTCCCAGGTTCAAGCGATTCTCCTGCCTCAGCCCCCCAAGTAGCTGGCATTACAGGTGCCTGCCACCATGCCCGGCTAATTTTTTCTATTTTTAGTAGAGACGGGGTTTCACCCTATTGGCCAGGCTGGTCTCGAACTCCTGACCTCAGGTGATCCGCCCGCCTCGGCCTCCCAAAGTGTTGGGATTATAGGCATGAGCCACCGTGCCCAGCCAAAGTGAGATTTCTAAGTGTCATTTTCATCATCAGAATGTTGATTTACAAAAAGCAGCCCCAGAATTACCTTCACTGTGTATAAAAAATAACCAAAATGTGACCAACAAATGACATTCATGGAGCCTGAATTTTAAATCTCTACAACCACCTAGTGTGCAATTAGCTACTTTTCATCTAAATTATTTCCTAAAAGAGGCATAAAGTAAGAAAAATCAGTCTACTCCCTCTTCTTTATTTTGAGACAAAAGAACCTCGGTGGCTAGTCAATGCTCAGCAGTGGCCAGGCCCAGTGGCTCATGCCTGTAATCCCAGCACTTTGGGAGGCTAAGGCAGGCAGATCGCTTGACTCCAGGAGTTCAACACCAGCCTAGGCAACATCGTAAAACCCTCTCTCTACAAAAAATACACAATTAGCCAGGCATGGTGGCGTGTGTCTGTAGCCCCAGCTACTCGGGAGGCTGAGGTGGTGAGCCCAGGAGGTTTAAGCTTGGAAGATTGAGGCTGCAGTGAGCGGAGACTGCACCACTGCACTCCAGCCTGGGTGACAGAGTGAGACCCCCATCTCAAAAACAAAACAAAACAAAACAAAACAAAAAAATGGTCAGGAGTGACACTGGCCAGTGGCTTCCTGGAACTAGAAGAGAGGCCACTATTTCCTGGACACCAGGAAACTTAATTGAGGAGGTGGTTAGATAGGTCTCCACAGTTCTCAAAATCAGTGAACTATACCTTTAATATCTGCATCTTTTATTTTATGGGAAGGATACCTTGATAGAAAGACTATTGAGAAATATATACATTTATTATTATTATTATTATTATTATTATTATTATATATACTTTTTGAGACAGAGTCTTGTTCTTTTTGCCCAGGCTAAAGCGCAATGGAGCTATCTTGGCTCACTACAATTTCTGCCTCCTGGGTTCAAGCAATTCTCCTGCCTCGGCCTCTCGAGTAGCTGGGAATGCAGGTGTGCACCACCACACCCGGCCTACATTAACTATTTAAAATTGAAAAAAGGTGACCAGGTGCGTTGGTTCACACTTGCAATCACAGCACTTTGGGAGGCTGAGGCAGGTGGATCACCTGAGGTCAGGAGTTCAAGGCCAGTCTGGCCAACATGGTGAAACCCCGTCTCTACTAAAAATACAAAAAGTAGCCAGGCGTGGTGGCAGGCACCTGAAATCCCAGCTACTTGGGAGGCTGAGGCAGGAGAATCACTTGAACCTGGAAGGCAGAGGTTGCAGTGAGCCAAGATCAAACCACTGCACTCCTGCCTGGGCAACAGAGCGAGACTCTGTCTCAAAAAACGAGAAAGAAAAAGAAAAAAGGCTCACGAAAATATTATTTCAGGCCAGGCGCAGTGGCTCACACCTGTAATCCCAACACTTTGGGAGGCCGAGGAGGGCAGATCACGAGGTCAGGAGTTCGAGACCAGCCTGACCAACATGGCGAAACCCTGTCTCTACTAAAAATACAAAAATTAGGCCAGGCGCGGTGGCTTATGCCTGTAATCCCAGCACTTTGGGAGGCCGAGGCGGGCGGATCATGAGGTCAGGAGACCGAGACCATCCTGGCTAATACAGTGAAACCCCGTCTCTACCAAAAATGCAAAAAATTAGCTGGGCGTGGTGGCGGGAGCCTGTAGTCCCAGCTACTCAGGAGGCTGAGGCAGGAGAATGGCGTGAACCAGGGAGGCGGAGCTTGCAGTGAGCCGAAATGGTGCCACTGCACTCCAGCCTGGGCGGCAGAGCAAGACTCTGTCTCAAAAAAAACCAAAAACAAACAAACAAAAAAATTAGCCAGGCATGTTGGTGGGTGCCTGTAATCCCAGCTACTCAGGAGGCTGAGGCCAAAGAATCACTTCAACCCGGGAGGTGGAGGTTGCAGCGAGCCGAGATCGCACCACTGCACTCCAGCCTGGGTGACAGGGTGAGCCTCTGTCTCAAAAAAAAAACAAAAGAAAAAAAAAACAAAAGAAAATATTGTTTCACAACTGATGAGAAACATAACCAACACTAATGAATAAGAGCCCATCGAGGATGCATATCTCAGTTACAGGAAAGGAGCCAGCCTTTTAGACTGGTAACAGATTGACTGCAACCATTTGACCAATCACTTAAGGCAAGTTGGGACTTGCACGTTGGTTGGGTGTGAAGTCATATCCAGCCACAGTGAAGAAATAGAAATAAATAAAAAGATGTTCTTGGGAAACAATAGCAAGGTACAGAATGATGTATCAAGTAATGTAAGGAGTGTCTTTTCTTTTTGTGGACTGAGGTCTCACTGTGTTGCCCAGGCTGGAGAGCTGTGGTGTGATCATAGCTCCCTGCAGCCTCTGATCTCCTGGGCTCAAGCAATTCTCCTGCCTCAGCCTCCCAAGTAGCTGGAATTACAGGCAGATGTGCGCCAACCCACTGGGCTATTTTATTTTATTTTTATTTTTTGTAGTGATGAGGTCTTGCTGTGTTGCCCAGGCGAGAGTGTCTTCTTTAGAATGGTCAATAATGTTAGAACAATGGAGTCCACCATTCAGGGGAACA
Source organism: Homo sapiens (assembly GCF_000001405.40). Lineage (NCBI taxonomy): Eukaryota > Metazoa > Chordata > Mammalia > Primates > Hominidae > Homo > Homo sapiens. The sequence goes on along the minus strand of NC_000019.10, from coordinate 38,775,216 downwards.
TTCTCGGGAACTAACTGAGCTGGGCTGGTGGTATGATCACCGGACACCCTGCTATCCTCTCTGTCCGTGCCCATGACATGTCCTTGGCACAAAGACCCCTCTGGAGCTGAGGGGCTGGCCTCTTCCTTGACTGAGAGGTGGCCCCTGTCTAAGCCTCAGTTTTGTCCTCTGCAGAATGGGGGTGCTTGCAGCCCCTACTGAAATGCAGCTGCTAGCCTCCCTCTCTGAGCTCATGTTCCCAAGAACTGGTCCCTGAGCTTGGTGCCTTGGAGTGTGTGGGGAGGGGGCGAGAGGCTGGGGGCCTGGGACGCAGAGGGTGGAGGATGGTTCTGGGTCTGCTGTCTCCACCCAAACTTTCCACTGCCAGCCTGCCTCTGCCCAGGCCTCTCAGCAGCCTGCTGGGTGGGGCAGGAGCTGGAGTGGCGAGTGGAAAAGGTCCAGGAGGGCTGCTGGGCTGCTAGGAGTGGTTTCTGCTCAGCTCCCACACCATCCCTGCCTTTCAGAAGCATCTTTCAGCCCTACCCGCCCCTCCACCAAGCCAATTCCCCAACCCTGAGTTCTCTTGCAGAGTCTTAGGCCCAAGGGGGCTGTTTCGGGCCTGGCGGGAGGGTCCCCGCCTTGCTCTGCTTTTGATCTAGGTGGTGATGGAATGCTAGGCCACCCACCACCCCAAAACCCACCTCATCCTGACCTACAAACTTGGTGGCATGATGGTAGCAGTCCTGGAAGGAGGAAGAAGAGAGACTTGAAGGAGAGAAGTGGGACAGGAATATGTGGTAGACAGAGTTAGGGGCAGAGACGGACAGAGTGAGACAGCCAGCCCCAGAGACAGAACCCACAGGAGAGGTGCGAGCAGAGGTGAGGAGAGCCAGAGGTCAGGGCAACGGGTCCTGCACGCTCCTGCCTTTGGCAAATCGCTTCCCATCCCAGCTTCAGCCTCCTCCTCTGTACAATGGGGGTGACCCATACTCCTCCCTGTTGGAATGATGGGGTCCCAATCAGTGATTTCCTGCATCTCCTGGGCAGCCGAGGGGCCTTGGAAATGACAGGCATAGTCCTAGTGGATCCCCTCCTTTCACCCCTCCTGACTGAGGACTTCCATGAACTGGGCACACTCCAGGACCCAGGGGTGCAGCGCTGAGGGGATCAGGCAGGCCCCCTGTGAACCCATGAAGCCACCCTGTCAGTCACTAGTGCTCCTATTGTGGCCGCTGTTCCATTACAGAGGCAGAAGCTTAGATTTCAGCACGGATCAGTCCAGGCAGGAGGTTCTCAGCTGGAGAGAAGGGTCTGGAGTTCCCACCCAGATTGGCCTCCCAGGACCTAATATGTCTGTGTATAAAATAAGAGAAATTACTAACAAATAAATACATGAAATGAGATAGAGGCTCTCCGTGTGCCAGGCAGCGGGAAGACAGGGGTGGAGGGGCAGTGGCACAAGGAGCCTTCTCTGCTGTGAGTTTATTACTATTAAACATTCCCTCTTATTATCAGCTCCTAGGAGAGGGGCAGTGCACCCGGGCCCTGGGTGATGGGGGGATCAGGGCCCCCAAGAAGAGGTGCCACTCCCGCTTCGCCGGGCTTGCCCCAGGGCCAGGGTCCGTGCCAGGTGTGGGTGGTGGGTGGGAAGGGGTGGGGTGAGTCATCAGGGCCAGCCCCGCCCTGCTTTTATTTAAGGTCCCCAGCAGGCCCCACCACCACGGCTGCCCAACCCGGTCCCAGCCATGTCCGTGAGTGCTCCAGGGGCCCGGGGCGGGGCCAAGCAGGGAGGGGGCTGGGGGCTCCTCTTTCAAAGGAGCAAGTGGGCAGTGAGTGTGCCACGGACTGGCCTGGGCTGTGGCCTCCGGGTAACCCCCATCCCGACTGTCCCCTCTACCTCTTTGTGGCTTCCTCTGGGGCCCTCTTTGAGGATCTTTCTGTTTGTCTTTGTTGCTCTCCCCATCTGTTTCCCTGTCTGTTTCTGGTCTCTTTCCTGCCTCTCCGCCACCCTTTCCTCTTCCACTGATTTCTGCCAGTCTCAGCCCTGGTCGGCTCCTCTGAGGGGTGACCCACCTTCTGCCTCCCTCCTTCGGTCTCACCGGCTCACAGTGGCCCCTGCACCCCACTCTTGCAGAACGTCCCCCACAAGTCCTCACTGCCCGAGGGCATCCGCCCTGGCACGGTGCTGAGAATTCGCGGCTTGGTTCCTCCCAATGCCAGCAGGTGAGGCCCCAGGCCCTAGGGGTAAAGGGTACAGGTCTCAGGATCAGCTGACTCCCAATTTTTGCAGTCCAGAAGTAGGGGCCCGAGGCCACCTGTATCCACCAGGCTAGGAGTCCGAGGCCATTTCTGACCTCAAATCTGATGTATTCGTATTTGCCCCCGTGCCTTTGTGGCTGGGGTCCCTAAGTTTCCCTAAGCATTTGAGGTCCCTGGGTAATCTCAGGGTTCCTAGATATAGTCCTATGACTTCCATGTCTGAGTCCCAGGGAACTCTGGAAATACTCCAAGTCCTGGAGACACCCTGGACCCTGGGAGTCCTTGCCAAGCCATCCTTTGACTTCCTGGCTAAGGAACTTCGGGCCTTCTGGATTCTGAGGTACCCTGGAAATACTGGGGTTCCTGGTATTATTCTTTGTCCTGTAGAAGCTGAGGGTTCCCTGAGCATCAGGAGCACCCTGGCTATCACCCAGACCTCCTGGGCAGCTCCCAGGCTCTTTGGAAATGAGGGCACCCTGCCCTAAGCGTAGTGAGTTTGGTCTGGGTAGGTTTCTGCCAAGGGCCTCATGATATTTTGGCTGCCTTGGGAATCTAAGCTCCCTGGTCATTAGTCGCCTACCTCTCCTTCTGCGGTGTGTGCCTGTCTTCAGGTCCCTGTTAATTTGGGGGTACTCTGGGAATGGGGAGTGCCAGTCCATAAGACCTTCACTTTGGTCTGGGCGGTTTATGTTTTGTTTGTTCTTTCGTTTTTTTGTAAGGTGGGGTCTCGCTATGTTGCCCAGGCTGGTCTTTAACTTCCGGGCCCAAGCGATCCTCCCTTCTCCACCTCCCAGAGTGCTGGGATTACAGGGTGAGCCACTGCACCCAGCCAACATTTCATTTACTTATTCATTCAAAGTAAATTGTAGACATCGGTATTCCTCACCCTCAACATTTCTTGGTCTGGGTGGTTTCTGAGCCCTGACGGCCACCATCCTCCTCTTCCAGGTTCCATGTAAACCTGCTGTGCGGGGAGGAGCAGGGCTCCGATGCCGCGCTGCATTTCAACCCCCGGCTGGACACGTCGGAGGTGGTCTTCAACAGCAAGGAGCAAGGCTCCTGGGGCCGCGAGGAGCGCGGGCCGGGCGTTCCTTTCCAGCGCGGGCAGCCCTTCGAGGTGCTCATCATCGCGTCAGACGACGGCTTCAAGGTGCGTCTCTGCGACAGGGGCGTGGACGCCAAGACTTAGGTCCCTGGAGCAGAGGGTTGGGCAAAGCCAGGCTATTGGTGGAAGGCAGGGAGGTTCGGGGCGGGGTGAGGGGGGTAGGGAAGTCGTGGCCAAGGCGGAGAAGGGTGTCCTTCGACCCTCTCTCTCGCCTAAACAACTCCCACTTGGGTCCGAGGGACAGAGAGACAGCAGGGTCAGGACGAGGCGAGCACCAGCCAAGTGTCCAAGGGGTGGGCGTCCTAGCGGGAAGGCGTGGCCCAGACTCGCCATCCCAGACCCTACTCCCAGTTCATTCCTTCCTGAGGTCCGGGGTTTGAGGCATGGGGAGGGATGGGTTGGAAACAGCGCCCAGGAACTCGTCCTAGCAAGGATTGGCGGGTGGGAGTGGCGGCAGATCCTCCACCACCCACAGCTTACGCGAATTCACCTCCCTCCTCTGCGCTTTAATAGCGGGTAATGGTCGCTGAAATGAGAATATCCATTACCAGCACTAAAAAAGCCTCTTTTTACTGTGCCACACAGTCAACTCGTTTGATCCTCACGCAAGAGTTAGAATGAACAATAGCCCCATTTTCCCAGTGAGGAAACTGAGGCCCAGAGGGGATGAGTGATTTCCCCAGGGCCACCCAGCACGGGCCTCCGGAATCCTCACCACCGACCCTCCCCTGCAGGCCGTGGTTGGGGACGCCCAGTACCACCACTTCCGCCACCGCCTGCCGCTGGCGCGCGTGCGCCTGGTGGAGGTGGGCGGGGACGTGCAGCTGGACTCCGTGAGGATCTTCTGAGCAGAAGCCCAGGCGGGCCCGGGGCCTTGGCTGGCAAATAAAGCGTTAGCCCGCAGCGCGACTGTGTCTGTGTCCCATTCACTGAGATGAGCAAACTGAGACCCAGAGAGGCCAAGATACTGGCTCCGGGCCACACAGCGAATCCGAGGCGGAGGCGGGCTCTGAGCCTGCCTGTGCTTAGGACACTTTCTGTCTGCGAAGGCGTGAGGGTCGCGATCTGGGAAGGAGTGGGTGTGGGGCGTGCCCTGACGCAGCATTTGTGCAAAGCAAGCCAGCTGGGAATGCGGTCGGGCGGACCTGCTGGCGTTTGGGGCGCAGAGGCGCTCACCGCAGGTCCTGGTGCCCCCACTGCAGATCTAAGGGGCGCCAACATGGGTCCATCTGCAAAGGGGGCGAATGAGTCCCACCTTTCTGGTCATTTGTGGGCCCCAATCCTACGGGTGGAAAGCGTGTTATAAGATCCCGGGTCCCTGGGTCCCGTATCCCCCTGCAGCTCATCTCTCCCACCCTCTTCTCTCCTGGCCTCCCGCCCCTAGAGACGTCCCAGGTGGGGCTGGGAAGCCCGACGGGCGTCTCCGGGCTCCCGCTGTTCCCCGAGTCGGGACAGGTACCCGCCTGCGCACCCTCGGGGCAGACGCGATGGCAGCGGCCCCGGCTCTGCGGAGCAGCTGGGAGGACTCGAAGGGCGGCGCGGGATTTCCGTGGCGCAGCGAGCCCCATTCCCACGCGCCCTCCGCTCTCCCCGACGGCCCCGACCGCGGCCCTAGCCCTGGTCACTGTGACGGGAGGGGAAGCGGACGCCAAGTGCAGCCCCGGCCCCAGTGTGACTTTCAGGGTTCAGGGCGTCGCTGGGGCTCCCCTTAATGGCGGGGTTGGGGTGGGAGAGGCTGGGAGCACTGTGAGCCCCGAGCCCGCACCCTCGGCGAGGCACCCTGCAGCGACCGCGGGCCTTAGCCGGGGACAGAGAAGCCACGCCAGGGCTGTGATCGGAAGCTGCACGTGGGTGCTCGGGACCGGCTGTTCCGGAACCTTCGTCCGGATCCACGCCTTGGTGGGCGCGCCCAGGCTTGGGCCTGGATCCCCGCCCTTGAGCTTCCGTCCCCCTGGCGGCCGCCGCCGTCATTGCTGCCTGGACCAAGGCGGATGCAGGAAGCTGGGGTGGTTCCTGGCCTGGCCTGAATCTGATTCTGGTGTCTGGTGGGGACGCCAGGTTCGCCGCGGGGCCCAGGCGCGTTCAGGACCTGGGGTTTTCTGCCCCTGCGACCCTCGGGCTGGGCAGTCTCTTCCCGCGTCCTGCCCTGGAGTGGGTGGGCGGTAGTCAGGAGGGAGCCCTGCTCAGGTGAGGAGGCCTGGGAGAGGCCGGATTCTTTTAGTCCTCCGGGGCTCCTGCTTGAATGAGTTAGCTCTTATTTCATTTGGCTGTGACGAGTGGTTTCAACATACTATTTTTTTTTTCGTAAAGATAACATATACATGTGGTACACATTTCAAAACATACAGTGAAATGAACATATTATTGGCACAAGTGGTGAATGTGGTTGGGCCTTCGGATTAGATGGTAGCGATTCAGCCGTGTTAATGTCCCGATTTTCACCGTGCCTTACAGTGTGCACGTGGGAACCTGTCCCTGTTTGTGGAAAACATAGTTAGGTATTTGGAGATGCAACATGTTTGCGATTTTTTCTCAAATGGTTCACCGAGAATGGAGATTTGGAGCTGGGCGCGATGCCTCAGGCCTGTAATCCCAGCACTTTGGAAGGCTGATGTCGGAGCATCGCTTGAGGCCAGGTGTATGAGACCAGCCTTGATAATATAGCAACAGCCCGATCGCTACAAAAAATTTAAATATATAACAAATGGAGATTTATACTGTTATTTTTGTGTGTTTGTCATTTATAAATATACGTGTATATATGTATATGCACATATATGTACACATACATCTATCCTCTTTACTGGGAGAATACTGCTGTTTCCCTGGTCTTCATTTCATGTGTATCTTTCAGAAAATCCCCTGTGGACCTCTGCACATATGCACGGGTAGTTTCTTCCCCTCCATGCATAAATGGTAGCACCCTCCACCCACTGGACGGTTTTCATGGCTTAGGAACGTGAGTCCCAGCAGCATTCCCTGAGTTCCTACTATGTGTAGCCGCTGCGCTAACCATTCCTTCAATCCCCGAAACAACCTTCTGAAGGAGATCCTCTATGCATAGTTTCCTAATGAGGAATTTGGTGCCCACGAAGGTTGAGTGAATTGGTTTAAGATCACACATCAAGTAGATGGTGGACCCAAGTGAATGCGATTCCTCTCCTTGGGGTCTTAGCCTCTGGAAATTACATTTTGTTTGCTTTCATTTATTACTTTATACATATGTGTGTGTGTGTGTGTGCGTGTGTGTGTGTGTTTGTGTATATGTATATGTGTATATGTGTGTGTATATATGTATATACATATATATATATCCGTTTTTGTTTTTTTTTTTTTTTTTGAGACAGAGTCTCGCTCTATTGCCCAGGCTGGAATGCAGTGGCGCAATCTTGGCTCACTGCAACCTCCACTTCCTGGGTTCAAGCGATTCTCCTGTCTCAGCCTCCCGAGTAGTTGGGATTACAGGTGTGTGCCACCATGCCCAGCTAATTTTTGTATTTTTAGTAGAAATGGGGTTTCACCATGTTGGTCAGGCTGGTCTCGAACTCCTGACCTCAGGTGATCCACCCACCTCAGCCTCCCAAAGTGCAGGGATTACAGATGTGAGCCACTGCACCCAGCCACTTTTTATATATTTTCAAAGACAACGTCTTGCTCTGTCTCACCCAGGCTGGAGCATAGGGGCATGATCCCAGCTCACTGAAGCCTCGACCTCCAAGGCTCAAGCGATCCTCCTGACTCAGCCTCCAGAGTACCTGGGACTACAGGCACGCACCACCGTTCCTGGCTAATTAAAAAAAAAAATTTTTTTTTAAGGACAGGGTCACTCAACCTCTGTAGGCATCAAATTCCTCATTGGGAAGTTTCCCAATTGGGAACTCAAGGAAGGGTTGGCACAGTGGCTAGACACAGTAGGAACTCCTGGACTCAAGCAATCCTGCTGCCTCAGCCTCCCAAAGTGCTAGGAACAGAAGCGTGAGCCACCTCACCTAGCCTTGGTGTTTTTAATATCAACTTCATTGAGATGTCATTTATACACAGTAAAATTCTTCCTTTTAAAGTGTACAGTTTTGGCTGGGTGGGGTGGCTCACGCCTGTAATCCCAGCACTTTGGAATGCCGAAGCAGGTGGATCACCTGAGGTCAGGAGTTCGAGACCAGCCTGGCCAACATGGTGAAACCCCATCTCTACTAAAAATACAAAAATTAGCTGGGCGTGGTGGCGCATGCCTGTAATCCCAGCTACTATGGGGGCTGAGGCAGGAGGATCGCTTGAACCTGGGAGGCAGAGGTTGCAGCGACCCGAGATGGTGCCACTGCACTCCAGCCTGGGCAACAGAGCAAGACACCATCTCAAAAAAATAAATAAGTAAATAAAAAAAATTTTAAAAAGTGTACATTTCCGTGAATTTAGACAAACACATCCCATTGTGTGGCCACCATGATCAAGGTAGAGTCTACTTATGAGATTTCCATCACCCCTCCCAGCCACACCCCTGGCACCTGGGTGGTGACCACTGATCCACTCTCAAGCTTCTTAAATTAGTTTTTCCTGCTCTAAAACTTGGTGGAGGCTGGGCGCGGTGGCCCTCTCCTATAATTCCAGTACTTTGGGAGGCTGAGGTGGGTGGATCACCTGAGGTCAGGAGTTCAAGACCAGCCTGGCCAACATGGTGAAACCTGTCTCTACTGAAAATAGAAAAATTATTTGGGCATGGTGTCGCATGCCTCTAGTCCCAGCTACTCGGGAGGCTGAGGCAGGAGAATCGCTTGAACCTGGGAGGTGGAGGTTGCAGTGAGTCGAGATCACGTCACTGCACTCCAGCCTGGGGGACAAGAGCGAAACTCCTTCTCTAAATAAATAAATAAATAAATAAATCTGGGTAGAAAAGTATAGTACTCTTTTTGTAAAAGTCTGGCTACTTCTGCTTAGCGCACATAATGTTTAAGTTCATTCGTGTGTTTTCTTCATGCAGTTCATTTCTTTGGGTTGTAATCCATTGTGTGAACCTGAGTTTGCTGATCTGTTCACCTGTTGATGTACACGTGAGTTGTTTCCAGTGTGGATGTTTATGAATAAAGATTGTATGAAAAGTCTTTTTGTGGGCTGATGTTTTGATTTCTTTTGGGTAAATACCCAGGAGTTGAGTTGCTGTGTCATATAAGTGTATGTTTAAGTTTATTTATTTATTATTATTATTATTTGAGCCAGGGTCTCCCTCTGTCACTGAGGCTGGAGTGCAGTGGCACCACCATAGCTCACTGCAGCCTCCACCTTGGCTCAAGCAATCCTCCTGCCTCAGCCTCTAGAGCAGCTGGGACTATGGGTGTATGCCACTATGCATAGATAATTTTTATTTGATTTTATTTATTTATTTATTTATTTATTTATTTATTTATTTATTTTTGAGATGGAGTTCCACTCTGTCACCCAGGCTGGAGTGCAATGACGCGATCTCTGTTCACTGCAACCTCCACTTCCTGAGTTCAAGCGATTCTTGTGCCTCAGCTTCCCGAGTAGCTGGGATTACAGACGTGTGCCACCATGCCCGACTAATTGTTTGTATTTTTAGTAGAGGCAGGGTTTCATCATATTGGCCAGGCTGGTCTTGAATTGCTGACCTCAGGTTATCCACCTGCTTCGGCCTCCCAAAGTGCTGGGATTACAGGCATGAGCCACCACGCCCAGCCTAATTTTTAAATTTTTTTTAGAGGCAAGGTCTCACTGTATTCTCCAGGCTGGTCTCAAACTCCTGGGCTCAAGCAATCCTCCTGCCTCAGCCTCCCAAAATGGTGTGGTTACAGGCATGAGCCCCTGTGCCCTGCCCAATATGCTTACCTTTATAAGAAATTTCAGGTCGGGCGTGGCGGCTCATGCCTGTAATCCCAGCACTTTGGGAGACTGAGGCAGGTGGATAATCTGAGGTCAGGAGTTTGAGACCAGCCTGACTAACATGATGAAACCTCGTCTCTACTAAAAATACAAAAATTAGCCAGGTGTGGTGGCAGGTGCCTGTATTCCCAGCTCCTCGGGAGGCTGAGGCAGGAGAATCGCCTGAACCCGGGAGGCGGAGGTTGCAGTGAACCGAGATCATGCCATTGCACTCCAGCCTGGGCGACAGAGCAAAACTCCGTCTCCAAAACAAAACAAAACAAAAAACAAAATGAACAACAACAAAAAACACTTCAAGTTTGTGATCTGCTCAGGAAAAAAAGAAAGAAATGGCCAAACTATTTTTCAGTATGATTGAACCACTCTATACTCCCAACCTTCAGTATATGAACATTTCAGCTAAGCTTTATCCTTATCAATACTTGGTATTGTCAGGTTTTGGGGTTTTTTTGTTTGTTTTAATTTTATCCATTCTAGTGGATGTTTATTGATATTTCATTGCTGTTTCCATTTGCATTTTCCTTTAATGTTCTTGACCATTATTTGACATGCCTGTGGCCATTCGATATCCTCTCTTGTGAATCGCCTGTTCAAATCTTTTGCTCATTTTCAATTGGATTGTTTATTTTCTTCTTATTGAGTTGCAAGAGCTTTTCATATTTTCTGGATATTTCCTTTGTCAAATATATGTAATATGAATATTTTCTCTCCTTCTGTGGTTAGCCTTTTCATTTTCTTTTCTTTTTTTCTTTTTTTTTTTTTTTTTGAGACGGAGTTTTGCTCTTGTTGCCCACGCTGCAGTACAATGGCAGGATCTCGGCTCACTGCAACCTCCACCTCCCAGGTTCAAGCAATTCTCCTGCCTCAGCCTCCAGAGTAGCTGGGATTACAGGCGCCCGCCACCACGCTAGCCAATTTTTGTATTTTTAGTAGAGACGGGTTGTCACCACATTGGCCAGGCTGATCTCAAACTCCTGACCTCAGGTGATCCACCCACCTTGGCCTCCCAAAGTGCTGGGATTACAGGTGTGAGCCACCGTGCCCGGCTAGCCTTTTCATTTTCTTTATTTTTAGTTTATTTTATTTTTTGAGACAGAGTCTCTGTCGCTCAGGCTGGCGTGCAGTGGCACAATCTCAGTTCACTGCAACCCCCTCCTCCCAGGTTCAAGTGATTCTCCTGCCTCAGCCTCCCAAGTAGCTGGGATTACAGGCACCTGCCACCATGCCTGGCTAATTTTTGTATTTTTAGTAGAGATGGGGTTTCATCATGTTGGCCAGGCTGGTCTGGAACTCCTGACCTCAGGTGATCCACCCGCCTCGGCCTCTCAAACTGCTGGGATTACAGAGGTGAGCCCCCACGCCTGACCGAGCCTTTTTATTTTCTTAAAGATGTCTTCCTCAGAACAAAAGTCTAATCGTGATGGCGTTCATTTTATCAGTTATTTTTTCTGTTATGTAGTGTGCTTTTGTGACCTACTTAAATCTTTGCTTAAGAAATCTTCGTGAGAAACATTTGTCACAAAGATTTCTTTTTACATTTTATTGTAGAAGGTTTATAGTTTTAGCATTTAAGTTTAGTTTTTAAACCTTAGTTAATTTTTTTTTTTTTTGAGATGGAAATTCACTCTTCTCAACCAGGCTGGAGTGCAATGGCGTGATCTCGGCTCACTGCAATCTCCACCTCCCGGGTTCAAGCGATTCTCCTGCCTCAGTCTACTGAGTATCTGGGATTACAGGCACCCGCCACCACGCCCGGCTAATTTTTGTATTTTTAGTAGAGACAGGGTTTCACCATGTTGGCCAGGCTGTTCTTGAATTCCTGACTTCAGGTGATCCACCCGCCTTGGTCTCCCAAAGTGCTGGGATTACAGGCGTGAGTCACAGCACTCGGCCTAACTTTAGTTAATTTTTGTCTCATTAGTTAATATATTATTTCTAGTTAATTTTTAGTTATTTTTAGTTAATTTTTGTGTGTGGTATGAGTTAAGGGTCAAGGTTCTTTTCTCACTCTATAGATGTCCAGTTATTTCAGCACCATTTGTTGAAGTGACTGTTTTTTCTCCTCATTGAATTATATTGGCAATTTTGTTAAAAATTAATTGACCATTTTTGTTGTTTTAAATCTGGACTTAATCATTCTTCTGATTCCTTGATTTATATATCTATCCTTATCATGATAGCATATTCCTGATTACTGTAGCTTTATAGTGAGTCTTTCTCTCTTTTTTTTTTTTTTTTTTTTTGAGACGGAGTCTTACTTTGTCGCCCAGGCTGGAGTGCAGTGGCGTGATCTCTGCTCACTGCAAGCTCCGCCTCCTGGGTTCACGCCATTCTCCTGCCTCAGCCTCCAGAGTAGCTGGGACTACAGGCACCCACCACCACGCCCGGCTAATTTTTTTGTATGTTTAGTAGAGACGGGGTTTCACCGTGTTAGCCAGGCTGGTCTCTTAACTCCTGACCTTGTGATCCACCTGCCTCGGCCTCCCAAAGTGCTGAGATTACAGACGTGAGCCACTGCGCCTGGCCTTTTTTTTTTTTTTCCTTTAAAAAAGACGGAGTCTCTCTCTGTCACCCAGGCTGGAGTGCAATGGCACAATCTCAGCTCACTGCAACCTCTGCCTCCTGAGTTCAAGCAATTCTCCTGCCTCAGCCTCCTGAGTGCTGGGATTACAGGTGCCTGCCACCATGCCCAGCTAATTTTTGTAGTTTTAGTAGAGATGGGATTTCACCATGTTGGTCAGGCTGGTCTCGAACTCCTGACCTCAGGTGATCTGCCCACCTCGGCCTCCCAAAGTGCTGGCATTACAAGCATGAGCCACTGCGCCTGGCTTCTTCTTCTTCTTTTTTTTTTTTTTTGAGACAGATTCTCACTTTGTTTCCCAAGCTGGAGTGCAGTGGTGCGATCACAGTTCACTGTGGTTTCAACCTCCTGGGCTCACCCTCCTAAGTAGCTGGGACTACAGGCACATGCCACCACACCCAGTTAATTTCTGTATTTTTTGGAGAGACATGGTCTCGCCATGTTGCCCAGGCTGGTCTGGAATTCCTGGGCTCAAGCCATCCACCCACCTTGACCTCCCAAAGTGAATAGTGAGTCTTAAAGTCACATTATATGCCTTGCAACTTTGTTCTCCTTTCTCAAAATTGTTTTGTTTATTCTATGTCATTTTCATTTTTCAATACATTTCAATGGATACTTGTACAAAAATTGTATCTGTGTTTCTATTTTGTTCTTGAGTCAGTTTTGGTAATTTGTGTCTCTCTAGGGATTTGTTCATTTCATTTAAATTGCCTAATTAGTTGACCTAAATCTGTTCATAATATTCCCCTGTGATTTTTTAAAATTTGTGTACCATGTTAGTGTTTTTCCCTCCTTCATTCTTGCTTTTGGTAATTGAGGGCTTCTGTCTTTTTTATTTTTCTTACTCTTTTGTTGAACTTTTTAATGAGCTAACTGATTTCATTGAAAACCAGTATACTAGTTTGTTTGTTTGTTTGTTTGTTTTTGAGACAGAGTTTCACTCTGTCGCCAAAGGCTGGAGTGCAGTGGTGTGATCTCGGCTCACATCAACCTCCACCTCCGGATTCAAGCGATTCTCCTGCCTCAGCCTCCTGAGTAGCTGGGATTACAGGTGCCCACCACCATGCCCCACCAATTTTTGTATTTTTAGTAGGGACGGGGTTTCACCATGTTGGCCAGGCTGGTCTTGAATTCTTGATCTCAGGTGATCCACCTGCCTCGGCCTTCCAAAGTGCTGGGATTACAGGTGGGAACCACTGCACCCGGCCCAGTTTTGCTGATCTTTTCTTTTTTTGAGACAAGAGTCTCACTCTGTCACCCAGGCTGGAGTACAGTGGCATGATCTCGACTCACTGCAACCTCGGCCTCTTGGGTTCAAGTGATTCTCCTGTCTCAGCCTCCAGCTGGGATTACAGGTGTGTGCCACCATGCCCAGTTAATTTTTGTATTGTTAGTAGAGACAGGGTTTCTCCATGTCGACCGGGCTGGTCTCGAACGCCTGACCTCAAGTGATCTACCCACCTTGGCCTCTCAAACTGCTGGGATTACAGGTGTGAGCCACCACACCTGGCCTGTTAATCTTTTCAATACCGGTTTTGTTGATGTTTTCAATGAGCCAATTTCAGTTTCATTGCTTTTTCTCTATTGTTTTTATATTTCTGTTTCATTGCTGTCCATTTAGATCTTTATTACTTCCTTCTTACTATTTTCTTTGAGTTTGATTTACTCTTCTTTTTCTAGCTTTGGAGGTGGAAGCCTAAATTATTGATTTTAGGCCTTCTTTCCATTCTAATGTGTTGGGGTTTTTAAAATTTTCACCAGGCTGACTCAACACTAATATGTTTTTTAAGCTATAAGTTTCCCGCTAATTACTACATTGCCAGCATCCTGTACATTTTTATTTCCTGTGTTTTTGTTTTTATTCAGCTCAAGGTATTTTCTAAATTCATTTTTGATTTTTTTTTTTTTTTTTTTTAGATGGAGTCTCACTCTGTCACCCAGGCTGGAGTACAGTGGCGTGATCTCAGCTCACCACAACCTCCACCTCCCAGGTTCAAGCAATCCTCCTGCCTCAGCCTATCAAGTAGCTGGGACTACAGGCATGAGCCACCACGCCCAGCTAATGTTTGTATTTTTTAGTAGAGACACGGTTTCACCGTGTTGGCCAGGCTGGTCTCGAACTCCTGATCTAAGGTGATCCACTGGCCTTGGCCTCCCTTGGCTGGGATTATAGGCATGAGCCACCACACCTAGCCAGATTCCTTCTTTGACACATAGGTCATCTACAAGTATGTTGTTTAGTTTTCTTATATTTAGAGATTTTCTAAATTTCATTTTATTGTTGGCTTTTAGCTTAGTTCCATTATAGTTAGAAGTAATACTTTTTAAATTATTTTTTATTTTTACTATTATTATTTTCTAATAGAGATGGGGGTCTCATTATGTTGCCCAGGATGGCCTCAAACTCCTGGGCTCACGAGATCCACCTGTCTTATCTCACATAATAATTTCTTTCCCTCCCACCCTCCCTCCCTCCCTCCCTCCCTCCCTCCCTTCCTTCCTTCTTTCTTTCTTTCTTCTTCTTCTTTTTTTTTTGAGATGGAGTCTCTCTCATCCAGGCTGGAGTGCACTGATGCAATCAGCTCACTGCAACCTCTGCCTCCTGGGTTCAAGTGATTCTCCTGCCTCAGCCTCCAAGTAGTTGGGACTAAAGGCAGGTGCCACCACACCTGGCTAATTTTTGTATTTTCAGTAGAGATGGGGTTTTGCCATGTTAACTGGGCTGGTCTGAAACTCCAGACCTCAGGTGGTCCACCTGCCTAAGCCTCCTAACATGCTAGGATTACAGGCGTGAGCCACTGTGCCCGGCCCAATCCTATGTCTCTCTCTTTTTTTGTGTGTGTTTTTTTTTTTAGATGGAGTCTCTCTCTATTGCCCAGGCTGGTGTGCAGTGGTGTGATCTCAGCTCACTGCAACCTGGTTCAAGTGATTCTCCTGCCTCAGCCTCCCGAGTAGCTGGGACTACAGGTGCCTGCCACCACACCCAGCTAATTTGTATTTTTAGTAGAGTTGGGGATTCACCATATTGGCCAGGCTGGTCTCAAACTCCTGATCTTGTGATCTGCCCGTCTTGGCCTCCCAAAGTATTGGGATTACAGGTGTGAGCCACTGCATAGCTGGCCTCTCCTTATCTTAAAAAAAAAAAAAAAAAGAGGAGATTGAGGCAAGGCGAAGTTTTAAATTTTTAAATAATAATAACAATAATAATTATTATTATTATTATTTTGAGACAAGATCTCGATCTGTTGCCCAGGTTGGAGAACAGTGGTGCAATCTCGGCTCACTGCAACCCCCGCTTCCCGTCCTCAAGCCATCCTCCCACCTCAGCCTCCTGAGTAGCTGGGAATACAGTCGCACACCACCATGCCCAGCTAATTTTTGTATCTTTTCTAGAGACAGAGTTTCACCATATTGCCCAGGCCGATCTCAAACTCCTGGACTCTAGGGGTCTGCCTGGGTCAGCCTCCCAAAGTGCTTGGATTACAGGTGTGAGCCACCATGCCCAGCCAAGGGGAAGTTTTCAAAGGCAAAATGAGGAGGATTACATAAAGTGTTTTGAATCAATTATCCTTGGCTACGAGACTTGAAACAAGGGTGGCATCAGTCCAAGGTTGGACAGGCAGTTACTGGACAAAAGTACTTTCTGTGTAACGTTGCAGTGGACTTTGTGCGAGGTTGTGGTTTTTGGAGAGTCTTCCGCAATCGTTCCTATCAGGCATTTGTGCATGAGCACGCTCCTTTCATGACCTTCCCGGTTCCTTTTTTTTTTTTTTTTTGAGACGGAGTTTCACTCTTGTGGTCCAGGCGCTGGAGTGCAATGGTGCGATCTTTGCCTCTTGGATTCAAGTGATTCTCCTGCCTCAGCCTCCTGAGTATCTGGGATTATAGGTGCCCACCACCAGTCCCGGCTAATTTTTTGCATTTTTAATAGAGACAGGGTTTCACCATGTTGGCCAGGCTGGTCTCCAACTCCAGACCTCAGGTGATCCACCCACCTCGGCCTCCCAAAGTGCTGGGATTACAGGTGTGAGCCACCACACCTGGCCCAGTCTCTGGTTTTCTATATGGTCATCTATACGGTCTTAAGTTCTAAGAAATGCATGGTTAGGCAATTTCGTCAGGGTGTGAACATCATAGAGTGACTTATGCAAACGTAGATGGTACAGCCTACCCCACACCTAGGCTATATAAAGTAACCTACAGCTCATAGGCTACAAGCATGCACAGCATTTAACTGTACTGAACACAGTGGGCAATTGTAACACAATGGTAAGTATTTGTGTATATAAACATATCTGAACATAAAAAAGGTACAGTAAAACTATGGTATAAAAGATGGAAAATGGGCCAGGAGCAGTAGTTCATGCCTGTAATCCTAGCACTTTGGGAAGCTGAGGTGGGCAGATCACTTGAGGTCAGGAGTTCGAAACCAGCCTGGCCAACATGGTGAAACCTCGTCTCTGCTAAAAATACAAAGAAGTTTAGGCCAGGCACGGTGGCTCACGCATGTAATCCCAGCACTTTGGGAGCTGAGGTGGGCGGATCACGAGGTCAGGAGTTTGAGACCAGCAGGACCAGCATGGTGAAACCCCATCTCTACTAAAAACACAAAAATTAGCCAGGCATGGTGGCACGTGCCTGTAATCCCAGCTGCTTGGGAGGCTGAGGCAGGAGAATCGCTTGAACCCGGGAGGCGGGGGTTGCAGTGAGCCAAGATCATGCCACTGCACTCCAACCTGGACAACAGATAGAGACTCTGGCTGAAAAAAAAAAAAAATACAAAGAAGTTAGCCAGGTGTGGTGGTGCACGCCTGTAATCCCAGCTATTTGGGAGGTTGAGGCAGGAGGATCACTTGAACCTGGGAGATGGAGGTTGCAGTGAGCGGAGATCATGCCACTGCACTCCAGCCTGGGTGAGAGAGTGAGACTCCATCTCAGAAAAATAAATAAAAGATGACAAATGGTACGCCTGTATGGGACACTTACCAGGAATGGAGCTTGCAGGACCGGAAGTTGCTCCAGGTGTGAGTGAGTGAGTGGTGAGTGAATGTGAAGGCTAGGACAGCACTGTACACTCCTGTAGACTTTATAAGCACTGTACTCTTAGGCTACCCTAAATTTAAAAAAATAAAGTAATTGTGCTACAGCATTGTGATGGCTGCAGCATCACTAGGTGATAGGAGTCCGGCTTCGTTGTAATTTTATGGGACATTGTCGCATGTGCAGTCCATCACTGACTGAAACGTGGTGATGCAGCACCCGACTGTGTATGTCACCTAGTCAGGGATACAGGCCAGGTGTGGTGGCTCACGCCTGGAATCCCAGCATTTTGGGAGGCCGAGGTGGGATGATTGCTAGAGGCCAGGAGTTTGAGACCAGCCTGGGCAACATAGTGAGACCCTGTCTCTACAAAAAAAAAAAAAAATCAAAAATTATCCAGGTGTGGTGGTGTATACCTGTGGTCCCAGCTACTAGGGAGGATGAGGCAGGGGGATTGCTTGAGACTGGGAGTCTGAGGTTACAATGGGTTATGATCATGCCACTGCACTCCAACCTGAGTGACAGAGCAAGATCATGTCTCTAAAAAAATACAGTGCTATATAACTGGGTTTTTTTTTTTTTTTTTTTTTGAGATGGAGTCTCAGTCTGCCACCCAGGCTGGAGTGCAGTGGCGCGATCTTGGCTCACTGCAACCTCTGCTTCCTGGGTTAAAGTGATTCTCCTGCCTCAGCCTCCCAAGTAGCTGGGATTACAGGCACCCGCCACCATGCCCGGCTAATTTTTGTATTTTTAGTAGAGATGGGGTTTCCATGTTGGCCAGGCTGGTCTTGAACTGACCTCAGGTGATCCCCCCCACCTCAGCCTCCCAAGGTGCTGGGATTACAGGCGTGAGCCACTGTGCCTCGCGTTTTTTTGTTGTTGTTGTTTTTGAGACAGAGTCTCGCTCTGGAGCGCAATGGCATGATCTCAGCTCACTGCAACCTCCACCTTTCAGGTTCAAGCCATTCTGCTGTCTCAGCCTCCTGAGTAGCTGGGACTAAACGCGTGCACCATCACACCCAGCTAATTTTTTGTATTTTATTTATTTATTTTTATTTATTTGAGATGGAGTCTTGCTCTGTCGCCCAGGCTGGAGTGCAATGGCGTGATCTTGGCTCACTGCAACCTCCACCACCTGGGTTCAAGCCATTCTCCTGCCTCAGCCTCCTGAGTACCTCGGACTACAGGCAGCCACCATCATGCCTGGTTAAGTTTGTATTTTTGTAGAGACAGGGTTTCACCATGTTGACCATGCTGGTCTCATATTCCTGACCTCACATGATCCACCGCCTCGGCCTCCCAAAGTGCTGGGATTACAGGCGTAAGCAACCATGCCCGGCCTTATAACCTTTCCTTTATTTATTTATTTATTTATTTATTTATTTATTTAGATGGAGTTTCGCTCTTGTAGCCCAGGCTGGAGTGCAATGGCATGATCTTGGCTCACCGCAACCTCTGCCTCCCAGGTTCAAGCGATTATCCTGCCTCAGTCTCCCGAGTGGCTGGGATTACAGGTGCCTGCCACCATTCCCAGCTAATTTTTATATTTTTAGTAGAGACAGGGTCTTGCCATGTTGGCCAGGCTGGTCTTTAACTCCTGACCTCGGATGATCCACTGTCCTTGGCCTCCCAAAGTGCTGGGATTACAGGCATGAGCCACTGTGCCTGGCATAACCTTTACTTTAAACAATTTTATATATATATATTTTTTACAATTTTATTTATTTGTCTGTCTATTTATTTTGAGACAGAGTCTTGCTCTGTCACACAGGCCAGAGTGCAGTGGCACAATCACAGCTCACTGCAGCTCCGACCTCCCAGGCTCCAGCAATACACCCACCTCAGCCTCCTGAACAGCTGGGACTGGACTATAGGTTTGCACCACCATGCCTGGCTAATTTTTGTATTTTGGGTAGAGATGGGGTTTCACCATGTTGCCCAGGCTGGTCTTGAATTCCTGAGCTCAAGCAATCCACCCACCTTGGCCTCAAAGTGCTGGGATTACAGGTTTGAGCCACCATACCCGGCCTTATATGGTTTTTTTCTTTTTTTTTTTTTTTTTTTGAGATGGAGTCTTGCTCTGTCGCCCAGCCTGGAGTGCAGTGGTGCAATCTCAGCTCACTGCAAGCTCCGCCTCCCAGGTTCACGCCATTCTCCTGCCTCAGCCTTCCGAGTAGCTGGGACTACAGGCACCCGCCACCACACCCGGCTAATTTTTTTTGTATTTTTAGTAGAGACGGGGTTTCACCACATTAGCCAGGATGGTCTCGATCTCTTGACCTCATGATCTGCCTGCCTCGGCCTCCCAAAGTGCTGGGATTATAGGCGTGGGCCA